>NC_000016.10:48198863-48501894 GCF_000001405.40 Homo sapiens
TCGTCTGTACTACAAATACAAAAATCAGCCAGGTGTGGTGGCGTGTGCCTGTAGTCCCAGCTACTCGGGAGGCTGAGGCAGAATTGCTTGAACCTGGGAAGTGGAGGCTGCAGTGAGCTGAGATTGTACCATTGCACTCCAGCCTAGGCAACAGAGTCAGACTCTGTCTCAAAAAAATATATATATATATCTATATATATATAAAGTTACAAGTATCAACATGGAAGATCTCAAAAAACATAATGTTGAGGGAAAAAATGAAATTACCAAAGGACACAGAAAGTAAAAAATAAATTCTATAAAGTTTAAAAATATGCAAAAGGAATTTCTTCATGTCTAGAGATTCATGCATACACTGTAGAAGTATGAAGACATGCATGGAAACAATAAACAACAAAGTCAGGAGAGCAGAAAGGGAGAACTGGAACAGAATTGGAGAGTGGAATCAATGTTTTATTGTTTAATCTGGGTGGTAGATACATGGGTTTTTATTAATTATTTTCTAAACCTTGTTTAGGTCTTAAATATTTTATACCAAAAAAAAATAGTAAAGCAAAAATAAGGGGCGAGAGAAAAAGAAACAGAAGAAGAAGGGGGAGAGAAAATAATAAGGCACTGTGGCCAATGCCATAGATGAAAATATTCAAGGGAAAATGACCCAGGAGAAGCACCACCAGAAGCAGTCATTGCACTGCGGTCATCATCGGTAAGAAAACACACTGAGATGGCTCTCAATCTAAGAATGGGAGACTTGGGGAATTCTTTTCTGAGAGATTGGTTTCTTTTTCTTTTCTTTTCTTTTTTATTGATTTTTTTTTTTTTTTTTTTTTTTTTTGAGACAGGGTCTTGTTCTGTTGCCCAGGCTGGAGTGCAGTGGCACTCACAGCTCACTGCAGCCTTGACCTCCGGGGCTCCATCCTCCCACCTTGGCCTCCCCAGTAGCTGGGACCACAGATGCACCACAACACCTGGCTAATTTTTTTAAATTTTTGTAGAGATGGGAGGTCTCTCTACGTTGCCCAGGCTGGTCTTGAACTCCTGGTCTCAAGCAGTCCTCCTGCCTTGGCCTCCCAAAGTGCTGGGATTATAGGCATGAGCCACCGTGCTCGGCCTGTTTTCATTTTTTATAAGTTGAAAAGCAGGGGTCTACTCAAAAAATTTTGAAGATAAAGGAGACCATAAAATTTGTTCTCAATTTTTACCAGCACAAAAATCTTCTACCAGTCTGTTTGCTTTGTGTGGAAAGCAGAGGAAATCCAAGTTTTTTACAGCCCTCCCCAAATGTGGAGGAGTCTAACCTGAGATGAGGACAGCTGCTGGGAGGCTGTTATTGAATCACACTCTGAAATGGCAAAGGCTTGAGGATCTACGTTATCCGTCAATCACAGTCAGAGCCCTGGAAGGGTGCTAACCTGCAGCTGGTGGGTCACCAGGACGACCGTCTTCCCCCTGAGTGTCTTCTTAATGCACTCCTCAAAAATGTGCTTCCCCACGTGGGCGTCCACAGCAGACAGGGGGTCGTCCAGCAGGTAGATCTGACGGTCGGAATAGACGGCGCGGGCCAGGCTGATCCTCTGTTTCTGCCCCCCAGAGAGGTTGAGGCCCCGCTCTCCAATCTGCAGACAGGCAGTAAAAGGCACCATGTCCAGACAGCAAGCACAGCCAGGTGTGCTCAAATGGGTAGGCAGATGTAGCAGACAGAACCCCCTCAGTACAGACCAAGATATGCACACACTCCAGGATACCTGATAATTTGGCATTCTGGACTTAAAAATACATATATATCTCACTCATATGTGGGAGCTTAAAAGCTGATCTCGTGGAGGTAGAGAGTAGAATGATGGACACCAGAGGCTGGAAAGGATTTTTGGGGGTAGGGAAGGGAGGTGAGAATGAAGAGAGGTTGGCTGATGGATACAAACATCAAGTTAGATAGAAAGAATAAGTTCTAATGTTTGATAGCAGAATAGGATGACTATAGCTAACAACAATGTATTGTATATTTCAGCAGAGCTAGTAGATAGGATTGAAAAGTTCTCAGCACAATAGAAATGATAAATACCCTAAATGCCCTGACCTGATCATTACATATTCTACAGATATAACAAAATAGCACAGGTACCCAAAAAACATGTACAAATATTATGCATCAATAAAAATATTTTTCAAAACGTGGTTAGTAGGGGATGAATAAATTGCTTCTCAATTAATTAAAAATCTTACAACTCTCCATGTATCCCCTGAATCTAAATTTAAAGATATATGACTTTTAAAAAATTGTAACTCTTACTTAGATACAATTTTTCTAAACCTATCAACTTCTAGGAGGCAAACATTAAACTATTAAAAATTCAGATAATAAAATAAGTCACTTATTCCCAAGTCAGAGCACTGTCTCACATATTATTCTGGTTTTATTTATTTGGTTTTTTGAGACAGGGTCTCCTCTGTTGCCCAGGCTGGAGTGCAGTGGCACCAGCAATCATGGCTTACTGCGACCTCCGCCTCTCAGTCTCAAGCGATTCTCCCATCTCAGCCTCCTGAGTAGCTGGGACTACAGGCGGTGCCATCACACTTAGCCAATGTTTTTAAACCTTTTTTTTTCTTTTTCTTTTTTTTTTTTTTTTTTGTAGAGATGAGGTCTCACTATATTGCCTAGGCTGGTCTCAAACTCCTGGGCTCAAGCAATTTCTCCCACCTTGGCCTCCCAAGGTGCTGGGGTTACACTGGACCTGGCCTTATTCAGGTTTTTAATCTCCATTGACAGCACCTGTCAACTTGTGGGACCATTGGCCTGGGTTACAGGTGTCGTCAAAGACTATTTGCACTGTGTGCACCCACTCAACAGACCAGAGCTACAATGGCTGCAAGGAGCTTTACTGACGCTGGAAGGACCATCTCACACGGCACCTGCTGTGATAGGAGTTGAGGGTGGAAACCCAAGTTACTGAGCATGTTTTGCAGATTAGCACTCCAGGCAGCTGCCAGCTGGCCCATCCCTCCTTGAGGCTCTGAGGAAGTGGGAGCTGGAGTGTAAGTCCTAGTTCCTGTTCTATCCTGACTGCTTGAAGTCTCTGTAGAGAAGAATCAGAGTTGAAATGGTGGCAGAGAAAACTCCTGTCCCTGCCGTGCTTCCAGGTCACCACTGTGTGACCTTGGACAACCTGCTTGATCTGGCCAAAGCCCAGTTTCCCCATTCATTCATTTACTTATTCATCAAACACTATTCAATGCCTACTGTGCTCTTACAATAATAGTTAACACTTACTCTAGGCCGGGCACTAGTCAAAACACTTTGTATTAACTCATTTAAACCTCAAAGCAATCCGATCAGGTCAGTACTCTTATTTATGCCATTTTACAGATGAGACCTTGTTCTTCCTATTGAAGAAACAACCTTGAATAAGATCATTGAGCTCTCTGCCATCAAGGATTTATAGTCCCAGCTTTAAAAGAAGAAGAATAGGCCAAGCGCAGTAGCTCATGCCTGTAATCGCAGCACTTTGGAAGGCCGAGCTGGGTGGATCACATGAGGCCAGGAGTTTGAGACTAGCTTGGCTAACATGACGAAACCCTGTCTCCACTAAAAATGCAAAAATTAGCCGGGCCTGGAGGTGCATGCCTGTAATCCCAGCTACTCAGGAGGCTGAGGTAGGAGAATCTCTTGAATCTGGGAGGTGGAGGTTGCAGTGAGTCGAGATCGCACCACTGCACTCCAGCCTGGGTGACAGACAGAGAACAAGACTCCCCTTCAAAAAAAAAAAAAAGAAGAAGAAGAATTAAGAGACTACCCTCCTGAGGTTATTGAGATTATCGTGACTCTCACCTAAGACACTACATTCAAGTCACTAGAATAGCACCTTGCATGTAGTAAGTGTTCAACAGACTGAGATATTATTAGACCATTAATATCAAGAAGGCAATGCCACTTTTATCTCGGGTGAGGGTCGTATGTGTATTAAGGTGGCTGCAGATGTAAAAGATTGGAATTATCGGGGAAATGTTACAGTCAGAAATTTCCCCTGAGGGTCATGGCTGATGTTGCACCAGCCGGAGTGGGGCAAGGGCGATGCAGCGTTTCTCATCTTGACAGGGTCTCCGCTCTTGCTTCAGAAGAAGGAGCTTGAGGTCAGCTCTCCACCTCTGTGGGATAAGGTACCCACTTTCCTTTCCAGGTGCCTCTATAAGCTGAGCCCCAACCTCCCTCAGTGAGGGAAGCTTTGCTCCTCCTGCAGCAGCTGCAGGAAAAACTCCAACTGCTTTGGGAGGAAGAGCTGGGATTCCTCCCTTCCCTGCCTGGGGAGGCAGCATGAACATAAGAGCACCAACATTACACAGAGAAGGCAGGCTCGCCTCCCTCTCACCTCTGTCATGTCTCCAAAGGGCAGAAGTTCCAGGTCCCGATTCAGGGAGCAGCAGTGGAGCACCTGGAGGTATCTGTGAAGGACAGGGAGCCATAAGGCACAGGGGACCAGCCCTCCCGCCCATCACCCTTCCCAGTGTCGAGAGGAATGGTCTTGATTTTCATGCTAAGAAATTTAGACTTGATGGTGTTTAATGGTATAACACTGAAGGCTTTTTTCATTTCCTTCCCTCTTTCATTTCTTTTAAATTAATACACACTCTTAGTAAATATTTGACCAGAATAAAAAGATGCAATAAAAAGCAGTTCTCCTTCCCATCTTTGACCTTCATTTGCTTTTCTCAAAAGCAGTCACTCTTGGCCAGGCACGGTGGCTCATGCCTGTAATCCCAGCACTTTGGGAGGCCAAGGAGGGCAAATCACCTGAGGTCAGGAGTTCGAGACCAGCTTGGCTAACATGACAAAACCCCGTCTCTACTAAAAATACAAAAATTAACTGGGCGTGCTGGTGCGTGCCTGTAGTCCCAGCTACTTGAGAGACTGAGGCAGGAGAATCACTTGAACCAGGGAGGCGGAAAGGTTGCAGTAAGCCAAGATCACGCCATTGTACTCCAGCCTGGGAGACAAAGTGAGACTCCGTCTCAAAAAAAAGCAGCCACTATTACAGTGTCTTACGTATTTATTCAGAAATAATCTATTCGTATATGGATGTGTACTGCATGGTACTGCATGTATAGGTTATTATTGTTTTAATGGCATTTTAGTATTCCATTATATGGTTGCACCATAAATTATTTAACCAGTGGCCTAGTGATGGACACTGGAATTTTTTCTACTCTTTTGCTCCTGTGAGCAATGCAGTGTGAACATCTTTGTATATGGGTCTTTGCTTCCATGGGTGAAAATATCTACACATTAAATACCTAACAGTGAATTTGCTGAGTCAAAGGGTTGGTGCATTTTTATTTTAACAGATATTGCAAAATTTCTGTATGAGTTCTATCAGTCTCATAGAAGACCCTAAAGAAGAGCAATGACAAGATGAGAGCTGGGACTTAGGATGATTGCCCTGGAGACAATCTTACGCGGGGTGGAACAGAGCAGGAGATTAGAGACAGGGACCCAAGGGCAGGGGCAGTGGGAACTGTTCAAACAAGAGATCACAGGCTGAACGAACTAGAAACAGAGATGGAGAAGACAGAAATACAAGAGATATGTAGGAGACAGGCTTATTCACGATCGGTGACCAATTACCAATTAGATGTGGAAGAAATCAGAGGAGGAGACATCTGGCTTCCCGGGGTGCAAGGTTTGGGTGATGCCATTAAACTGAGTTGCACAATTTGGGAAAAGAAGCCAGGGGTATGGGGCTGGGCAGGCAGGGTGCTCATGAGTTGGTATTGGACATAATTGTGAGGTGTCCACAGGACAACTAGACAGAGACAGCCAGTTCCTACACCTCCATATCTATGTTGTTCCCGGGGGCAGATTGCAAAACCAAGCAAACAGTCACAGGTCAGAGTCCACCATAGTTGGAAGCGTAGCTGTAGCATTCAGAGCAGTTTTCCTGGACCCTTCACTGAACAGGCTTCACTCATGACATTCAATCTCATGTCTTGGGCAGGTTAACCCGAGAATTCTAGGGCAGGGAGAAGCCATAGAGGGAAAGGAGGGATATGGACAAGACTTGGGAGATCCACGGGGCCATAGATTCAAACTGGTTTCCTCTATGTCACAGAACCTCATCACTCCCATTTGTTTTCCTTTTCACAGAACCTCATCGCTCCCATTTGTTTTCCTTTTCACTTAGGGGCCAAGATTTAACGAATACAAATGAAGTTCAAATGTAGCAATATTGGAGGGGGAGAGTGTATTGACTATTTTGAGCCAATATAGCGTAATAGTTAAGCACGAAGTTTCTGAAAGCAACTGGGTTCAAATCCTGGCTCTATCACATCCCACCACCTGGGTGACTTCGGGCAAATTATTTAACCTCTTGGGGCCTCAGCTGATTCATCTGGAAAATTGATATGATGGTATTTCTTTCACAGTGAGGGGTGAATATGATAATGCGTTTAAGTGGAGCACACAAGTGTTAGCAGTTGTCAGGTTACCGTTTGAAGCTGGAGGTGCCCCCAGACCAGCCACATGCCCTGTACTCTCCCTTTCCCCTCCCAGGAGCTTACCGGGCCTTGTCATATGCGCCTCCCATGAGGATGTTCTCCCTGATGTTCCCGCTGACGATCCAGGCCTGCTGGGGGACATAGGCCAGGCTTCCCTGCACCCCCACCGAGCCCTCGAGCAAGTGCATCTGCGGCAGAATGAGTCCAGCCTCAGGACCAATTGGGCCAAGGGACAGAGCCTGCCTGGCTCAGCAGGCACAGTGCCCAGGGCCCCACTGCCCTCCAGGACCTTGGGGGCTCTCCTAGGTAAAAGGGACTTTTAATGTGGCCCTACCAGGCCCACCAGCGAGTTCCAGGGACCGGCCATGAGAACATGTGGAAGCAGCTGGAGATAAGCCCAGCCAGGTCCTGCTTGGACTGAATCCAAGGTCTGCACTAAAGACACTCCATACGTTTTTTCCTCTTTTTTTTTTTTTTTTGAGACGGAGTCTCGCTCTGTCGCCCAGGCTGGAGTGCAGTGGCACGATTTCGGCTCACTGCAAGCTCCACCTCCCGGGTTCACACCATTCTCCTGCCTCAGCCTCCTGAGTAGCTGGGACTACTGGCGCCTGCCACCACGCCCGGCTAATTTTTTGTATTTTTAGTAGAGACAGGGTTTCACCGTGTTAGCCAGGATGGTCTCGATCTCCTGACCTCGTGATCTGTCCGCCTCGGCCTCCCAAAGTGCTGGGATTACAGGCGTGAACGTTTTTTCCTCTTATTTGTCCCAGCCCCATTCCCTGGCAGCCAGTGCCTCCATGGTCTTCACCATGCACACCAAAAGTTCCAGGCTATCTCTGAGCATGCCTGGGTATTATGGAATTATTATTGTTAGGTAGGATAATGTTATCATGGTTAGGCAGAAAAATGTTCTTACTTTTGGACATCACGATGAAGTATTTAGAATGGAAAGTGTTATAACCTCTGTAATTTAAAGTATTCTACAAAATATATGTCTATATAGTAAGGTAAATATGCAAAAACTATCAACTGCTGCATCTAGATGGTGGGTATATGGATCCCTGCTGTAGTGTTCTTCCTGTTTTTCTGCCTAAGTTCAAAACAACACGTTAAAAACAAATAGAGATAGACACTCATCCCCAGCACCCTGACTTGGGACCTCATCATTCTTAATCCTTTCTCTTTTATACCCTAAAATGTTTACTTCTAGTTTGGAGCCAAGCTTTAATGAATAAGAACAAAACTTTAAAATGGCATCTCTGTCTTCCTTTATTAGAAGGAAAGTGACAGGCTCATTTACATAGGAAACTGACAAACCACTGGGCACGTAGGAGGTGGTCTTGCCTGGAGGCTGCCAGGCAATGCTGCTGTGATGTAGAACAGAGCTCTGACCTCAGGTGGACCTGGGACTCAGCCCTGGCTCACCCCTTACCTGCTGTATGACCTTGGATGAGTCACCTCTCAGAACCTCACGTACTCATCTGTAAATGGGTCATCGTGAGTATGCCTTTGTCATGGGAGGTTACCAGAGTTAAAGGGGAAAATGGAAAGCTCTTTGCACAGGACTTCGCATGTAAGTACTGAAGCTAGTTTTACAATTTTTTTTAATGGAGTCTTTCTTCTTTGCAGTTGCAAAGAAACCGGGGAAAGGCCATTCCACATGCAGCACGTGGCTGATGTGTTAAGAGAGAGCTGGCTTTGGTAACATAACCGCATTCCAAGGAGGGGATGAGTTTGGCAATGTTCATTTGGGAGAAGGAGCTGAGGGAAAAGCCGAAGAAAGGAAGGAAAACTTCTCCCAGTGTTGGGGGAACAAGGGACAATGGACAGAAGAAGAAGGGGGAAGAGATGGCAGCCCAGGAGGGGGTGAGGTTGGGGCTCCCTGGGGAAGGGCTGGTGTAAGACGCTTGAGGGAATGTGACCAAAAATGCATAGCAGGCGTCATGGGTGCTTTTAGTGTTCGTTATAAGGTGTGCAGTGTGACCCCAAAGGATCTGGGGAATGGGTTTGGGGTTTTTTTGAAACTGGAGAAATGGCCGGGCATGGTGGCTCACATCTATAATCCCAGCACTTTGGAAAGCTGAGGCAGGTGGATGACTTGAGGCCAGGAGTTCGAGACCAGCCTGGTCAACATGGTGAAACCACGTCTCTACCAAAAAATACAAAAATTAGCTGGGCATGGTGGCGCATGCCTGTAGTCCCAGCTACTCAGGAGGTTGAGGCATGAGAATCACTTGAACCCTGGAGGCAGAGGTTGCAGTGAGCCAAGATCACACCATTGCACTCCTGACTGGATGTGTCAAAAAAAAGAAGAAAGAAAGGAAGGAAGGGAAGGGAAGGGAAGGAAAGGGAAGGGAAGGGAAAAAGGAAAGAAAAGAAAGAAAAAAGAAACTGGAGAAAGGGTGTGTGAGCCACACATCCACATGGCAGCAGACCTCAAACTCGTCCACAGGGGATGGAATGGGGGGTTCAAATCTCAAGGGCAAGGGCACCCAGCAGGCATAGGTACCCCACTGCCAGAGTACGAGTAAGACTGCCCCATCCCATCCAGCAGGGCTCCTCTCCCCAGCCTTCCTTCCTTCTTTCTCCCTGTTTCTCCCCCCACATTTCTCTTCCGACGCCATCCTAAAAGGCACATACATCCCACTCCTCAATGTTATGAGTCTGGCTTTACAAAATGATTTTTATGCTCTTTTTTTTTTATAGGGACCATTGCAAGAGGGTATTGCAGTGTGGAAGAGAGACTAGACTCAACTCTCTGTGAAATAATTTGTATGATCATATTAACTTTGTGTTAATATCCTGTATCCTCACAGAGCACAGGTGAGGACAGGTCTCCAGGTGACATAAGAGGCAGCTTGCACCAGGAGCGCTGCCACAAGGTGAAGAGAGAGGGCCACCTTGATCACGCACCTCCCGCACAGTGCAAGCACAACCATTTTTGATTTATAAAAATCCCACTTGCTCAGACCCCTGTGAGGAAGAAAGCAGTGGGGGGCCCCGCCTGGGGCACTGGAGCTTGGGAGGGCCTGGACTGCCTGCAGACAGGCAAGCATGTGGCCACAGATCACTTACCTCCTCCAGGATGGCTGACAACAGGCTGCTCTTACCACTCCCCGTGTTGCCGCAGACCCCTAACATCATCCCCTGCAAGCCAAGGAGGACATACAAGTGTTGGGACAGCATAGCCCTGGCATACCCACCTGCCCATGGCGGCTCAACTGTTTAGAACCCAAAACAACACACAGAAAACAAAATAACCACACAGAGCCCAAGACTCCTCAGACAGGCAAAGCTCAAGAGGAGCTTTGTGCTCAGTCCCTGGAGGCAGGTGGGGTGACCCGAGAGGAAGGAGATCACAAGGGAAAGGCAGAGGGGAATTCAGGGGTAGGTGGCAAGAACCCTGAATTCCAGATTTGTGTCTATTCTATGCAGCAATCCTGGGAAAGCCACTTAGCCTCTCTGGGCCTCAGTTTCTCCATTTGTGAAATGGGAATAAAGAAGCCAGCCTCACAGAATTTCATGCATGCATGCATGCATTCATTTATTGAAGCATTCATTCACCCATCAAATAGTGATCTGAGTTTCCTCTATGGACCTAGTAATGAAGAAAAGACCTCACATTGAGCTCAGAATATAAGCTGAGGGGATGGGAAGACAGAGAGACTACATAAATAAATAAATATCAGATGGAGATAAGTGATATGAGTAAAATGAAGTTGACTCTTATGACAGACAGAAAGTTGGGGGTTGAGGCAATTTTAGATGGGTCAGCCAGGGAAGGCTTCTACAGAGCAGGTGTCATTGCTGCCCAAGAGCTGTGAGAACACTGGTGGGAAAGAGTTCAGAGGTACAGGTACAGATTTGGAGGAACCCGGGCTCTAAGGGCAGTGAAAAGTCACTGAAGGGTTTAAGGAGAGTGACTTGCATTGGCTTATGTTTTAGAAAGATCCCTCTGTCATGGTATAATGCAGCTGCCCCCAATCTTTTTGGCACCAGGGACCAGTTTCATGGAAGACAATTTTTCCACCAACTGAGGGATGGCAGGGGATTGGTTTCAGGATGAAACTGTTCCACCTCAGATCATCAGGCAAGATTCTCATAAGGAGTGTGCAACCTGGATCCCTCTCATGCACACTTCACAATAAGATTCGCTCTCCTATGAGAATCCAATGCTGCCGCTGATCTGACAAGAGGCGGAGCTCAGGCGGTGATGCTCACTGGCCTGCTGCTCACCTCCTGCTGTGCGGCCTGGTTTCTAACAGGCTGTGGACCAGTGCAGGTCTACCGCCCAGGTGTCGGGGTCCCCTGGTATAATGGATTTTGGAGGGTCAGAGAGACAGAGGATGGGAGTGGGGCGAGAGATACAAACTACCTATTGGGTACAATGCACTCTATCGGGTCACGGGTGCACTAAAATCTCGACTTCACCACAATACAACTCCTCCGTCTAACCAAAACCCACTCGTACCCCAAAAGCTATTGAAATAAAAAATATATATTAATTATTTAAAAAAGGAAAATCCCTCTGTCTGCTGTATGGTAGAAGGCTCATAAGAAGGCGAAAGTGGGAGCAGAGAGGTGGATGAGGAGGTTCTGGGAGCGGCGTGACAGTGGCAGGGATAGGGCAGTGGAGGGGCTATGGTGAGGGTGGCAGGTTTGGGGCAGATGTGGAAGTCAAGCTGACAGGCCTTGCTGGTGGATTGGATTCGAGGGAGGGAAGGAAAGGAATCAAGTGTGACTTCCAGGTCCTCAACCACTGGAAGGATGATGGTGCCATCTCCCAGGAAACGGAAGATTTGGGGAACTCGTCAAAGGGGGTGAATATCAAAACCTTATTTCATTTTAAATGCTTGATGGACATTTAAGAGAGATATTAAATAGGCAGTTGAGTCTGGAGTCCAGAAGATACTTCAAGGCTAGAGATAATAGCACAGAGATAGAATTTAAAACCGCAGGGCTAGAGATGATCACCAAGGAAGAAAGTATAAATAGATAAGAGACAGTAGATATTAGATATTAACACCTATTACTACTAGATATTATCTATTTTTTAGACATTTATCATTATATATAGATCAATATCTATATCTATTCTATATCAATTATTATAAGGTATCAATATCTACATTAATAGATAACAGAGAAGAAAAGAGGAGGGGCGAAGAGGAGACAGCAGGAAGCTAATTTTTGTAAACATTAGGCAGAGAAAGAACCAGATAAGGTGAGTTCACAGAATAACCAAATTCAAACACAGGATAGTGCTTGGCACATACGAGGAATGTAATAAATGTTAGCTGGGTCTCCTTTCCCTTCTCCTTTCTGTGTCCTTAGTTCTTCCAAGGACAAGCACACAGTACTCTCATATTATTTTGGGTCTTACCTAAGCCAAAAAAATTTTAAATGATAGATTAATTCACATTAAAAAATGAACGATATCCTGTGTTTGCCCTCCATGAAAAATTTGAATTTTAAGGGGAGAGATCTTGGAGAGGGCAGTTTTTAACCAAGGAAATGGTGGGGCACCTGGCCAAGCTCCTAGCCTCAGGTCCTGAGAGCCTGGCAGCTGGCCTGCCTGCGTGGCCTGAACAAGGCTACCTTGGACACCACCAGGTTGATCTTGTGCAACTCTGGGCCCAGGCTGTTCCCTTCTTCCTCTGGCCCGAGGGCATCTCTAGGCCTGGTCATCCCCTCAGAAGCATGCCCGTTCCTCTCCAGCTCCAGTGCCCCATTGACGATCCCGGGACAGGTCTGTTGCCATGACAAGGTGGCCTCCTCAAAGACCAGAGCTTTGCTGGGGTCTTGTAATGTCTGGACATAGAAAACAGGGCTCTCCTGGAGGAAAAACTTCTGTAAAGACAGAAAAAAATAGAGGGAGGAGGAATACAGTTCTTTAGTTCAGCAGGAATGTGTTCCCAGTTTTACAAGTCTGCCAGTTGGTATGGTTTTGTGAATTTCTAATAAGCAGTAAAAGTTTGCAGAAGTACCACCAGTTAGGAAAGGCCAGTTTCTGTGGGTGAAAATTCCAGGTCAGTGTTTTCCAAATTTCAGACCACCGGGCCACTCTTCCATATTTGCAAACACTGCACTGTCAACTGCAACTCTGCGCTCAGGAGGTTGACTAAGGCCTAACCTACATTAGCCTCATCCCAAGTGATGATAGCCATTGACTCATAGGATTGATGTTTTTCCAATTAAATTCTATTTAGATTGGGCTGGACATAATGGCTCATGTCTGTAATCCTAGCACTTTGGGAGGCCAAGTCGGGGGATTGCTTAAGCTTGGGAGTTTAAGACCAGCCTGGGGACCATAGTGAGACTTCCATCTCTTTAAAAAAAAAAAAATCTACTTGTAGCTATTGAAAATAAAAAGCTCTGTCCGTGTCCCACACTGGGGAAAGGTCATTTGGGGTCATACATTTCAAAAGGTGATCATCAGCAGGTCAATTCTCTCTGCATCTCCAGCTCCCTGTCTATAAAGCACAAGGGTTGAACTACATAAATTCAAGCAATTAAAAGAATGGAGGGGAGTATGATCCTATGGAAGTCAGGTTACATTCACATATCCCTACCTGGAGATATGCTTAAGAGATCTAGAAGGATGCTTCCTGACATTTTGGACTCTCTTACCCATCCTTCTGAGCTCAGATTGTGGCTTCCTCATCTCTGCCCCCTCCACAGGTGAAAACAGGCACAGAAGGGGAGAATGAATGGGTGAACCCAGTGTCCCATGGGAAGGAAGGCAGCAGTAGGAGCCTTCTCATAGCTGCTGAGAAGTCAGGGAAGCGCACTGGGCTGGTGATAAGCAAAGCACTGTTTGTGTTACTCAGAGCAGCCAAGCTCATTCCAGCCTCAGGGCTTTCACACTTGCTGTTTCCTCAGCCTGGTCATCATCACTCAAAGTCATCTTCGCAGGGGCCTTCCCTAACCAGGCTCTTCCTAGGAACCCCCAGCCCTCCCCAACTTACTCCCTAGAACAGGCGTGTCCAATCCCTTGGCTTCCCTGGGGCACACTGGAAGAACTGTCTTGGGCCACACAGAAAATACACTAACACCAATGATAGCTAATGAGCTAAGAAAAAAAACAGCAAAAATAAAAATCACCTAATGTTTTAAGAAAGTTTACAAATTTGTGTTGGGCCACATTCAAAGCCATCCTGGGCCGCATGCGACCTGTGACCCAGGTTGGACAAGCTTGCTCTAGGACATCACATTGTTTTATTGGCATCATGGCTCTTCATGTGATCTGATCTAATCCTCTTTGATCATTAATTTACTTGTTAATTGTCTGTTTCCAATACCAAATCAGAACTCCCTGACAGCAGGGACCCCTGTTCAATACAGTATTCTCAGTGCCTGGCTTGTGGTAGGAGCTCAATAAATATTTTTTGCATTAATGAGTGAATGAGTGATAATAGGTCGTGGACTGCATGTATGTAAAAGTGGAGTGACTACAAAATGACTTTTAAGAATTGGTTTAGATTAGGGTTTTCAAACTCAGATGCCAGCTATGTAAATAAGTGAAGTGGACCATTTTTAAGATGATAAATGGTAAGTAAAATGCAGCTCCAGGCCTGGAGGTGCAATAGGGTATGGTAGAGACTGCAGCAAACTGCAGCTAAATGCCTCCATCTAAACAAGGCAGGTATTGCCTCAACTCCAGCGGCTTGTGGCCATGGTAGAATGTGGTCCAGGGTCACTAGACCTTCTAATCATTCAAGAGAATTCAAAAATCTGGGTTTTCACATAAAATGTCCAAGTTTTTCAATGCAAGCAACATCTATGGTGTTTTTCTAAAACAAAACTATCTATTGGGGTAACTCTATGCAAACCTGGATAAAGTCTGCAGAGCATCTGTCTGAGACCTGGTTTGGACACACTATCCTAAGATCTTCTTGGGGACTGAGACCTGACCCGATTCATCTGTCTTCCCAGGCTCCACACCAGCCTTGGAACAGGAGGTCACTGAGTTAGCTAATCCCTCTCTCGACCTAGGCCTTGGCCAGGGGACGTGTTCTGGAGGAACATCATGGGGGCTGAAGGCAGAGGAGCGTCCAAGCAGGGGGCCTACAGCCAGTCCCCTGATGACCTACCTTGAACCTCATCACTGCAGACTTGGAATTCGTGAGACCTTTGACTGCAATAGGCACAAAGAACACTGACAGCCGAAGGAGATTCAAGGAGGCCAGCATGCTGAAGGCCTGGATAAGAAGGGGAGGAGGTGGTGAGGGTCGTGGCCCTTCCTGCTTCCTCCATTCCCTGTCACCCGCATCCCTGAGCCACATCCTCAGCATCCAACAAGCAGTTGCTTCATCCAACAGAGGCTAAGCTAGTGTTTGGAGGAGACTGGAAAAAGCTGGGGAAAGAGCACTCGTCCTGGAGTCTTAGAGTCAAAGGCCTAGTCCCTGTTGCAGCTTAGCCACTGACATCTCTAGCTTTGGGCAGGTTGCCCCTACCACAGCCCAGTTTCCCCATTGGCATAGTGAGAAAAATCATAAAGTGTATACAGGAATAAAGTTGGGAAAAAACAAGAAAATTCATGTGAGTGAGCATTGCTTCCTTTCAATGTAGCTTGGTGCTATTCTTGCTGTCAAGGTCCTATTTCTTCTTCTTTGCCTTAGATGTTTGTTTTCTTTCTAACATTCAACATCTCCTTACCCTTCATGCCTAACCCATGCTGCACTGTGACTATAGCAAAACACCTTAGGCTCTCAGGACCCAGAAGGTGCCCTCCTGGAGGTGCCGAAAGAACCTTCCAATCCATACCCATCTCTCCTTCTTTCTTCTCCTGGCTTCATCCAAAAATGAACTCCAATGGAGCAGGAATGCCTTCGTCTAGACCTGCCTTGTGTCATCTCAGTGTGAGCCTCAAGTACCTCTGAAAGTATTCCTTCTATAGCGCCCCCAACACCCTCAGACTTCTCGGGGGTGTTTTCCTGGTGCATGCCTGAGCCAAGCAGAGGGGCCAGCCATCTGGGGCACACACAACCCCTTGGCTGCAGACTCTCAAATGCTTCCCTTCTTGCTCTGGGTGCTGCCTCCTGGCCTCCCCAGTTGGATTACCACCCCTCCAAGAGCAGCACCCTGTCTTATTCTGCTCAAAGAGCAGGGATTCCTAACACTGAAAGGCAGCTGCCACTTCTCAGGGCCAGGTTCCGACCACGAAGGGAAGGACTGAAGACGCTATACCTTTGTATTTAAAGTGCACTCCCAGGGCCCTTATTTAGGGATTAGAGGAACTCCACAACCTCAAGGTGTTATTCAAATTGTCAGAATTTTAACTACAAGTACCACCTCCCCCACACCCCCGATGGTTCTGCTGTCCAGCCCGCCCACAGGGCTATCCAAGATGTCACTTTTTCAGATGGGTTGAGATGGAAGACAGCACTGTACTTTTGTCTGGAAAATCAAAATCAACATATAATGTCCATTTACAAAGCCTTCAGACCTTTGAGGGGCATGGCTAAAAAAGGACACGTGAGAAAATTCCCAATCATGATGGGGAGAAAACAAAGCCCCCCAAACCCTTACCATTGACGCTGTGAGTTTCAGCTTTAAGGATGTGTGGATGAGAACCCAGACCGCTGTGGCCACTGTGGGGATGATGAACAAGGTTATACTTGTCAGGCTCTGGACAAGCCCGCACTTCTCCAATAGTTTCCTTTCCTTCCTTCTTAGGTCTGGGAAATAAAAAAGAAATACACCAAAGATAACCACAAGAACATTCTCCAAAGAGCACAGCACCATCCCCAAAGCATTAAAAAGAAAAAAAATCCTCAAGAGGTGAGAGGGGCTCGGCTTACCATGCCATCACCAGGTTTGGAGCAGAAAGTCAGACTTTCCATACCTTCAATGATTTTTGCAAATGGTTTCTCCCATGTGTACATTTTAATCAGCTTAATGCAAGTGAGAACTTCACTGGTCACACGGATGCGCTGGTCGCTGACCTCAGATGTGTGATGCTGAGCCTTCACAGCCATTCTTGTCATGAATACCTGGAGTCAGGATACAGCAAGTTTGGAGTTGATCTGCAAGGGCTTCCTTTGACAAGGGCAGGAGAGTTCAGCCTGGCATAAGTAGGGCAACTGGGTGTATTTCCAAAGAGAGGTTTTCCAATCAAAGCTCTCCAGGCCACTATGCCTTAGAGCATCCCAGGGGCCTTTCTTTCCTGAGTCCCAAGCCAGGCTATGGCTACTTAGACAGAAACTAAACCGAAATGGTTCCTCTGTCTTCTGGAACCCTAAACCCTCTAATAATTAAAATCATCTTTCCATCAGAGTGACTGCACTCAGGAAAACACTCAATTTCAATAATTCAGAGCACACATAATCCAAGAATCATTTCTGTTTTCTCAATTTTATTTCACCTGAATCTTTGGCAACAAATATGCTTCCCTTTCCCCATTATACTGTGCTCAGACAAATGTTAAATGCTGGCTGTGTTATTACATCAGCACATTCTGGGGAGAAGAGACGGAACAAAAATCTCGCACAGAGATTATCTACAAAGGAAAGTTGTCGAAGCAGATAATCTCCCATAGAAAGCTACGAGGTAGACTTTGCACATCACATTCACCTCTTATTTACTTCTTAACCGAATGTTGTGGCCAGAGAATAGTTTGAAGTAGGGAGTGGAGCTGAATCTTAACCACAATGGATTGAAAGGTCAACAAGAATCAATGTTCTCACTCAGAGCTATCCCAGATTCCAGAGCCCTGGGACTTCTGGGGCCCAGCATCAAATGGGTGACAGAGAAAGACATTACCGCCAGTGGGAAAACCAGGAGATAGCATAAGATGGCAATAAATGCAGTGTATCCAATAATGAAGTAGGAAGAAATGCTGCAGATGACCAGCGATGCGCAGGTGATCAGTACTAGGGGTCCATAGCACACCCCTTCAAACAGGTAGTTTACATCACCGGTGAAGAAGCTGATGGCCTGCAAGACAGCAAGTTGATGGGCACAGATGTCACCTCCCTGGGTACACAGAAGGGGTGGCAGGTGGCCTCCCCATGCCCTCTCCTAGCAGGAAGGCTTGAAAGGAAGGGTGGAAGAGTAGAGACAGACACCCCAGGTTCACATCTTTCTTCTCTCTGGCTGTGTGACTCTCAACAAGTTACTTTACCACTCTGAGCCTCAGCTTCTCCATCTGTAAAGCTGGAATAATTATACTTACTTTATATGGGTTTTGTGAGATTTCAATAACATAGAAAGTGTCTGCACACATAGAATGTGCTCAATAAAAGGGATATTTTACTACGATTAATACTACTACTATTACTACTGCTACTGAAACCATGACCCAAAGAGTTAAAGAAACCAGTAACTAACAGAAATTCTTGAGTTTGTAGGATAGCAGTTACAGAAAGAAACAACTTGCTGAAAGTCCCTCTGCTTTTAAGATAACAGAACTGGCTAAAATCGGTGGAACCAGTATGGCTAACTAGAGTCTGTACAGAACCAGCTTGCTAACGTCACAGCCTAAATTTTCACCACATATTTCATACTAATTCCCTGTGAATTTGCAAATGGGACCCATGAAGAGACATGAAGAGATCACTGCATATACACAAGGGCTTTTCAGACCTCCCCTCTCATTCCACCAATCACCTACTAATCTCAGAATCCACCCCTTAAATCTTTCCTAATAAAATCACTGTCTTAAAGCAAGGACAAGGAGACAGATCTGGGCTGGACTCCTGTCTCCTTGTGAGCCAATTTGCAATAAAAAGCTTTTCTTTTCTCAAAAACCCAGTGTCAAAGTATTGGCTTCTAGCACATTAGGCAGTGAGCCCCTTTTGCTTGGTAACACCACTAATATCTATATTCCAGAGAATTGCTTCTATTCTTCACTCGATTCTATTCATTCTACTACTAATAATAATATTAATTAAATTTTCTCCTTTTTTTTCTTTTTTGTTATAGATTCTTCTGCCTACTTCCCTCCTCCCACATATACTGCCTGGCTCAACGCTATATAAAAAGTAACATTTGGCCGGGCACAGGGAGGCCAAGGTGGGTGGATCACTTGGGCCCAGGAGTTTGACACCAGCCTGAACAACATGGTGAAACCCCGTCTCTATAAAAAGTAGGAAAATTAGCCAGGCACGGGGGCACATGCCTGTAGTCCCAGCTTCTCAGGAGGCTGAGGCGGGAGGATTACTTGAGCCCGGCAGATCAAGGCTGCAATGAGCTGTAATCATGCCACTGCACTTCAGCCTGAGCAAGAGAATGAGACCTAGTCTCAAAATAAAAACAAAAACACAAAATCTTACATTCCAAATCAGGAAATCTTTAAAGAACAATTCACTAATGTTTTCTAGAATTGCCAGTCTGAATCCCTTACAAAGTGATTTGCTTTTAACTTTCACCTAAACTCCTTCCAGTTTCCAGGACATGCCCTAGTGGGAGCCTTTAAAACATTTAAAAGTACATCAGGGAGCATAAATTGGTATAGCCACTCTGAAGGGCAATTTTAAAGTATCTTTTAAGATTAAAAATTGCACAAAACTCTATGATCTGGCAATTTCATTTTTCTGTTGCGAAACATTCACACATGTTAGATGAAGCACATACAAGGATGTTCATTACAGCACTGCTTACACCAGCCAAATGCTGGAAACATCTTACAAGTTGGTGGAAAAGGATTTAAAAAGTCCATCCCAGGCTGTGCAAAGTGGCTCACATCTACGATCCCAACACTCTGGGAGGCTGAGGCAGGATGATTGTTTGAGGCCAGGAGTTCAAGACCAGCCTGGGCAACATAGCAAGACCCCATCTCTAAAAAAAATTAAAAATTAGCCAAGCATGGTGGTGTGTGCCTGTAGTCCTAGCTACTCAGGAGGCTGAGAGAGGATGATTGCTGGAGCCCAGGAGGTCCAGACTGCAGTGAGCTATGGTGGCACCACTGCACTCCAGCCTGGGTGATAGAGTGAGAACCTGTCTCAGACAACAACAAAGTCACCCCAGAAGTAGTAGGCAATCTTGGGTCCTAGAGCTAAACTGTCAGAGCTCATGCCCCAGACTTGTCATTTACTAGATGTGCAACCATAGACAAGTTACTCCACGTCTCTGTGCCTCTGTCACCTCATCAGTGAAATGGAAATAATAATACAACCTACTTTCTCATATTGATTTGAGAACGGTGCTAGATAATGCATATATAGCACTTTATTCAGGCATGTCAAAAGTACTGTAATTATGATTCAGCATCACTGAATAAAATAATGATATGGTTTGGCTGGGTTCCCACCCAAATCTCATCTTGAATTGTAGCTCCCACAATCACCATATGTTGTGGGAGGGACTATTCTCATGACAGTGACTAAGTCTCACAATATCTGATGGTTTTATATGGGGGGAGTTTCCCTACACAAGCTCTCTCAGTCTCCCTTGTCTGCCACCATGTAAGATGTGCCTTTCACCTTCCGCCATGATTGTGAGGCCTCCCCAGCCACGTGGAACTGTGAGTCCACTAAGCCTCTTTTCCTTTATAAATTACCCAGTCTTGGGTATGTTTTTATCAGCAGCGTGAAAATGGACTAATACAAATAAGGACGATCTATGTGTGCTAACTGGAAAGCTCTGGAAAGCTCAGTCACAATAAGCAGGAGGGAAAGCTACAAAGCAACACAAAGATGTAGTATCATTGATGTAAAAAATCCCCCAAAAGCTATGTTCTACATTTTCTATTGGCAAAACCAAGAGGAGGACGCTATGTAAAACATAGTACCACTTACATAAAAATACACAAACACAAAATCCAATGTTTTTTATGGGTACCTTGCATGTGTACCTAAATGGACTGTTTTGGTTTTGGGTTTTTTTTTTTTTTTTTTGAGACTGGGTCTCACTATGTTGTCCAGGCTGGGGTTCAGTGGTACAATCTCAGCTCACTGCAACCTATGCCTTCTGGGCTCAAGCCATCTTCCTTCCTCAGCCTCCTAAGTAGCTGGGACCACAGGCGCACGCCACCACGCCCAGCTAACTTTTTGCATTTTTGGTAGAGATGGGATTTCGCTCTGTTGCCAAAGCTGGTCACAAACTACTGAACTCAAGCGATTCATCCAACTCGGCATCCCAAAGTGCTGGGATTACAGGTGTGAGCCATCCTGTCCAGTCAAATGTGCTTTAAAAGGTCTGAAGTACAAAAACCAAGTTGCTAATGGTGCTAATCTCTGGGCACAGGGGAAGAAACTAGGCCTAAGGCAACTTCTATACTATTTTATTTTGTTTCCAAGGAGAATGTATTCAGATAATTTTAAAAAATTAATTTTAGTGCAAGAGAAAGGACAAAGAAATGTTTTTAAGTAAAAGAAAATTTTTTAATTAATTTAAAAATAAAATGTAGGCTGGGAGCTGTGGCTCATGCCTGTAATCCCAGCACTTTGGGAGGCCAAAGTAGGCAGGTCACCTAAGGTCAGGAGTTTGAGACCAGCCTGGCCAACATGGTGAAACCCCGTCTCTACTAAAAATACAAAAATTAGCCAGGCGTGGTGGCACACACCTGTAGTCCCAGCTACTCGGGAGGCTGAGGCAGGAGAATCGCTTGAACCCAGAAGGCAGATGTTGCAGTGAGCCAAGGTTGCACTATTGCATTCCAGCCTGGGCAACAATAGGGAAACTCCAGCTCAAAAATAAATTAATTAATTGAATTAAATTAAAATGTATATAAGCAACTGCCTAGAAATCCTTACTTCAGAAATTACTTCCATCTCCACTCTCAAATAGACCATTTTGTTTTATGCTTCTATGAAGATGTTTGAGGAAACTGGATTTTGCATACAGCAGGTGCTCAGAATATACAGAAAGGAACCAAGCTAGGCCTTAGCACAGGGCTCCTTAGTGAGGCGGGTGACTGCAAGGGTTGAAGACCCGGACTCTGCAGCCAGGCACCATGTCCAAATTCAGGCCCCAGCACTTAGCAATCACATGACCTTGTACAAGTTACCTACCCTTTCCTTGCCTCAGTTTCCTCCTTTGTGACAATGGGGACAATAACAGAAACTGCCACACAAGAGGGATGTTAGAGAACTGACCAAGCGAATGTAAGTAATGACTTGGAGCAACGTATGGCTAAGAGTAAGTTAGGGGTTGTTACGATGACTTTCCTGAGATAAACAGGGAGATCTTTTAGCTGTGGGTCAAGTGCAGGAGGACAGTGGAGCTCAAGGCCTAATGGAAACTAACACTAATTGTACAGCTTACACTTGTCAACCACTACCCCCGTCTACATGCTTTACATGTACAAACTCACTGAATCCTATGAGACAACAATCCTATGAGGTTGGTTCTATTATTATTCCACAGCTTCAGAGAGGCTGAACAAATTACCTAAGGCCACAGAACCAATAAAATGGTGAACAGTAATAACCATAATGATTCCAATAAATACCTAATGTTTGTTAGTGCTTGCATTTATGGAACGCCTCTACTTGATGGCAATGAATAATTCAGCAGATGTTTTTGGAATATCTGTTCTGTGTAATTCAGGTGTTGGGCCTTTTGAGAGACAGAGTGGTGAATCTGAAATGGTTTGTGTCTTTGAAGGGGGCTCATATTAGTAGGGCAGCCAGATTTGTGCAAAAAGAACTGCAAATGCTTAGCAGGGAATGCCAGTAGAAGGCTGGGTTTGGAGATCCCGTCACGGAGGAGAGGAAAAATAAACTGGGTCTTGAAGGATGAGTGGGATTTTTAAAGGGCTGGGAGTGGGAGTGACATAAGCAAAGTCACCAGGAGGGGGATGTGCCCGGTGTAATTGAGGACTGGAGGTTAAGCCCAGCCTAGGTGGCAGGAGGAAGTCAAGCTAGGGCTAGAGGAGAGGACACAGGAAGAGATGAGGCTGGAAAGGGGCTAATAACAGATCACAAAGGGGGTTGGCTTAAAGGAAAGGAGCCAAAGCAGTGTTGCCTTTTCCAAAAATTAAAGTATCTGTTTCAATATCAAAGTAACCCACAACCCTCGAGGCAATTGGTAAACCACAGAAAAATAAAGATATCAAAATGAAATAGATGAAATCCCAGTATCCCCCACAACTATAGGTCATAAGTTGGAGTTTCTTCCTCCATTTCTGTCAATGGTTGTTTGTGTTATGCTGTAAAAAAAAAAAAAGCAAGAGTAAGAATGGACAGTAACAATAACCAGGCAGGTGAAAGGATTCCTTTTTTGCAGATAAGGAAATTAAAACTCTGAGATGTTACCAAAAATTGCTTTTCCCTGGAAGATTTCCCTAAGCCATCAAGTCTTCCCATACCCTCACCCTCAGGTTGGCTTAGGGGACGCACTTTCCAACATGCTTCTATTTGGGATTTGTGTCTTTTTGTTCAGGGGCCTATCCCCAGGGTCTAGAACATAATCTGGCTCAGAATAGGCCTCAGTAACTATTTGGGGTGTGTGTGTGTGTGTGTGTTTGAGACAGGGTCTCGCTCCATCACCTAGGCTGGAGTACAGTGGTGTGATAATAGTTCACTGCAGCCTTGAACTCTTGGGCTCAAGCGATCCTCCTGCATTAGCCTCTCAAGTAGATGGGACTATAGGTATATACCACCATGCCTGGTTAATTTTTGTCTTTTTTTTTTTTTTTGAGACAGGCTGTCACTCTGTTTCCCAGGCTAGAGTGCAGTGGCGTGATCATGGCTCACTGCAGCCTCAACCTCCCTGGGCTCAGATGATCCTCCCACCTCAGCCTCCTGAGTAGCTGGGTCTACAGGCATGTACCACCAAGCCCAGCTAATTTTTTTTTTTTTTTTGCAGGGTTGGAAGTAGAAATAGGGTCTTGCCATGTTGCCCAGGCTAGTCTCAAACTCCTGGATTCAAGCAATCCTCCTGCCTTGGCCTTCCACAACTGGGATTACAAGACATGAGCCACCACAGATGGCTGATTTTTGTTTTTGCTTTGTTTTGTTTTTTGGTAGAGACGGAGTCTTTCCATGTTGCCCAGGCTAGTCTTGAACTCCTGACTTAAACAATCCTCCTGCCTGGGCCTCCCAAAGTTCCTACTTGTTGAATGAATGGATAAATCCTCTCTAGTCTCTGAATGTAAGTGGCATTTCCTGCATTATTGTTGACCTGCTTTCATGACACACAGGCAATTGTTAATGGTTATCCACACTCAACCTAGGAATTATTTTCTTTCTCTTTCTCCTTCCTCTTCTAACCCCCTTTTCTCCCTCTCTTGGCCCCCAGGGCAGTTATGTCCGGAGGAAGGGTAGGGAAGCATGGCCCAGAATAGGCAGTCCCAGCTGCTTACCTCTCCTGAGGTGATGTGTATTACAGACTTAAATTGGATGAGCTTCTCAAAGGCAAAGGAGGAAACAGCTGCTCGGAACCTGATGGCTGTGCGTTGGTTGATGATCCAACTGGAGGAGAAACTCAGAGACTTCACACATTCGGAGAGAAAAAGGGCAAAGCAGAGTCCCACTCCATGGACAACATTCCCCAACTGCTCTTCTGAATATTCCAGGATCTTTGGTATAATCAATATCTACAAGGAAATGGGAGTTTGGATCATTCAGACCACCCTGCCAGACACGTTTGATGTTTTGTTGCTGGAAGAAGGGTTGGGAGGTCTGATTCATGCTGGGGGTTTGTTGAAGGATCAAAACTGACTCAAGTACAATCCTGCCCTCAAGAAGGTTAAGGTCCAGTTGGAGGAGACTTAGGAGTTCAACTGACCCAGTTCTGCAACCTTAGGTGGCTGTCCTCATCCTGACAGGAGACAGGGGACACACACAAAACAGTGATTTAGGCGTTAACAAAGTGGCTTTACAAAGGTGTAGACAGAATATAGGAAATCCAACAAGGCCTGGTGGAGCACCATGAAGCTGGTGACAGCAGGGAACAGTGGCCTCCTTAGACTTAAGGGGCAAGAGCAGGAAGAGGTTCTGTGGCCCAAAAGGGGTGAGGCACACAGAGAGGGTCTGGACAGGAGCTCTGGTCACCAGCCTCCAAGGACAAGGAGGGAGGCCGCCTGGGGAATATGTATCTTGACCTCATCTTCTTCCTCCTTCCAGTCTCCTATTAGAATCTCCCACCGGTCAACCCCAACCAGAAGCCAGAGGGCAGTGGGGGTCCATTAATGTGATCCACATTAGGGGCACAGGGCAGGATGGAAAATGATGGAGAGTGGATCTAGAGGACCCGGCACCTAACTGTCACCCGACTCAGTTATCTCTGTTCTGTCATCGACTGCTGTTTCTTCCTGACCTACCTTCACCTCCCCGTAGCTGGTACCAGTGCCTCAGTTTTCTTCTGGGAAGACTCCCACCTCCCCCATTGGTGCAGTCTAGGCTGGACTGTAAATCAAAGTACCCCGCTTCTTCTGGCCAACCAGTGATCATGTGACCCCAGCTGGCCAATCAGACTCTTTCTCTCATATGAGACTCTTGGGCTGAGGAACTGGAGAATGATGGGAAATAGAGCACATTCATCCCAACCATGTTACCTGGAGAAGACCATTATTTCCTGCTACCTACATTCCCAGAGTTGCTCAGCCATTTCTCAGAGGAGCTAACATGTGCTGAGCCAGGCCATGTTCTAAATGCTTTATATACTTATCTCATTTAATGTTACCCTATGAGGCAGCTCTCCATTTTACATGCAAGGGTTTCCATAAGGTCTACACCTGAGGGTCCCATGGGATTCCATGGGGAAACCAAGTCGCAGAGAATGTGACTATATTGCTAGAAGTCACCCAGCAGCTAAGTGCCAGGGACATGGTTTGAATCCAAGCAGTGGCTACAGGGCCACTCCTTGGTGGTTAGCTACTCCTAACCACCATGCTCTACTGTCCTCAAAAGGTCTTCATTTTCTAGACAGCAACTGAAAGACAAATGCATCTCTAACTCCTGGCATGGACTTGAACATGCCCGCAGTTCCATCGCTAAACCTCTGAAGCCTAGAGTCCCCCAAACCTCACCAAGTCTGCCACTTACTGGCCCGAGTACACTGGCAATGCAGAAGCAGATGCCCAGAAGTGCATCGAAAATCAACCTTGTTCTCTGGAACCTCAGCATCACCAGAAGCACTGAAGCTTTTTCAATCCCTCGCCTTGAGACTTCTTCTTCCCAAAGGCGGTGAAGCCTTGAAAAGAGGATAATGGAACTGGTGGAATCTCTTTGCATGTGACATCCAAACATCCTAGTTCTTGCTAGCCAGGAGCTTTGTTGCAGAAATTTTCAAACATAACAGAATAGAACAATGTAGTAATCTTCTGAGTACTCATCCCCCTTTCCAGAATCAAAAATGTTTGACATTTTTGTTTCATGTCTCTTCCCTTTGACTTTTGTTTCCTGGAGGATTTGAAGCAAATCTCAGTCATCATATCATTTTATCTCTAAATGCTTCAGTATATATCTCTTTCAGATAAAGTCCTTTAAAAAACCATAGCACAGGGCCAGGCGCAGTGGCTCATGCCTGTAATCCCAGCACTTTGGGAGGCTAAGGCGGGTGGATCACTTGAGGTCAGGGGTTCGAGACCAGTCTGGTCAACATGGTGAAACCCCCATCTCTGCTAAAAATACGAAAATTAGTTGGCACGGTGGCATGCGCCTGTAATCCCAGGTACTTGGGAGGCTGAGGCAGGAGAATTGCTTGAACCCAGGAGGCAGAAGTTGCAGTAAGCCGAGATCATGCCACTGCACTCCAGCCTGGGTGACAGAGTGAGACTCCATCTCAAAAAATACAAAAAACAAACCAAAAAAAAAATAGTAACAATAAAATAACACTACAGTCGGGTGCCTGTAGTCCCAGCTACTCGGGAGGCTGAGGCAGGAGAATGGCTTGAACCCGGGAGGTGAGTTGAACCAGTGAGCCGAGATGGCGCCACTGCACTCCAGCCTGGGCGACAGAGCGATACTCTGTCAAAAAAATAAAATAAAATAAAATAACACCACAGTAACAATAATTACTTAATGGCATTTAATGCCCAGTCTGTATTGAAATTTCTCTAATTATTTAAACATGTCTTTATAGAGTTAGTTTCTCTGAATCAAGATCCAAACAAGGTCTAAAGGAGAAATCTGATAGAACTCTTGAGCTGCATTTTAATCTGTAAGCGTTTCCCCTTGTCTGCATTTCTATGCCATTTATTTGTTGGAGAAACTGATTTTTATTTATCCTGTAGGATCTCCCACACTCTGAACTGGACTGATTGCATCTCCATGGTGTTGTCTAACATAATTGTTGATCCCTTGTGCTTCCTAATAAACTGGTCACTAGACCTAAGGCTTAATGAAATCCAGAATTCCAGCCGTTTGGCAAAAAAAAATGTAAGAGGTGATGAGTGTACTTCCTGTCGCCTCACATCAGGAACCACATGATGTCTGGTGTCCCACTTTTAGGAATGTTGGTGGGGATCAGTGGGTTAAGGTGTGTCAGCCTGGCTCCTTCATTATCAAGATCTCCAACACTGATGACCATTGCCTAGCGCCACCTCCACTAGTGCTGGAAAAATGATGAGTTTTCTAATTCTTCCATTCCTTCTGTATTTCGTAGTTTGCGTATATAGTGAGATCTCATCTTTAAACAAAAAACAAAAACGGAGTGATTGCAAAAGTGTTTGTGGACAGACATTGTAAGTAACGAAATTAAAAAGAGAATCAGTGAACTGGAAGAGAATGGAAAGAAATCAGGAGATCTTGTACTCACAATGGTTAGAGAAGAACAAGCAAACTCAAATTGACTTAGCTGGTTACCTATTAAGCATCAAGTGTGTTTCCAGGTACATTATTATTATTATTATTATTTGAAATGGAGTCTCACTCTGTCACCCAGGCTGGAGTGCAGTGGCGCAATCTTGGCTCACTGCAACCTCCACCTTCCGGGTTCAAGCGATTCTCTGTGTACTTTAAAAAATGAATTTATCACCTCTTTTGTTTCTTGCAACAATCCTATGAAGGACCATGAAATAAATTTATGATCCACTTTTTTTTTTTTTTTTTTTTTGAGATGGAGTCTCACTCTGTTGCCCAGGCTGGAGTGCAGTGGCGCAATCTCGGCTTACTATAAGCTCTGCCTCCTGGGTTCACGCCATTCTCCTGCCTCAGCCTCCTGAGCAGCTGGGACTACAGAGGCACCCGCCTCCATGCCTGGCTAATTTTTTTGTGTTTTTAGTAGAGATGGGGTTTCACTCTGTTAGCCAGGATGGTCTCGATCTCCTGACCTCGTGATCTGCCCACCTTGGCCTCCCAAAGTGCTGGGATTACAGGCGTGAGCCACTGCACCCGGCCAATCCATTATTTTATACATAAAGACACAGGGCCCAGAAAGGGAAACTTGTCTGATATCATAGTAAGAGGTGAGATTCTGACTAATATCTGGCATTATCCAAAAAGTATTTCCTGGAACCATTTCTTTTTTTCTTACCAAATAGGTCTGAGAAGGAATGGGTCAAAGTTTACCCAGTTTCTGTACTCCATGTGAAAACATGTGCCTTCAATGTGTTAAGTTGCTTTGTAAATCTCCAACACCTGGCTATAACACAACATTTCACAAACTCCTCTGACTACTGAATGCTCTTTATGGGGAGGCTCTTATGAGACTATAATTTCCAGAACACATTTGGAAACTCATTTTCCACCTGGTATCTCTCATGAAGCAGCTAGAGGTAGGAACATGAATACAGGATCTTTAAAATCACATATTCATATTCTCCCACCTTTTGTCCTCATATTACCGTGTGTGGTGGGTGGTACAAGAAATTTAATCACACAACTAGTTAGCGGTGGCTTGAGCACTGGGAGACTGGGCCACTTACCCAAAGTAATACTCAGTGCCACTGTTGAATGCCTGATCCAGAAGAGAAAATCAAAAGGGACTAGAAGTGGTCATTTCTAACTTTCTTGGGACAGGTGTGGTGGCTCACACCTGTAATCCCAGAACTTTGGGAGGCCAAGGCAGGTGGATCACCTGAGGTCAGGAGTTCAAGACCAGCCTGGCCAACATAGTGAAACCCCATCTCTACTAAAAATACAAAAATTAGCCGGACGTGGTGGCAAGCGCCTGTAATTCCAGCTACTTGGGAGGCTGAGGCAGGAGACTCACTTGAACCCAGGAGGCAGAGGTTGCAGTCAGCCGAGATTGCACCACGCTGCACTCCAGCCTGGGTGACAGAGAAAGACTCCATCTCAAAAAAAAAAAAAAAATAGTGATAAAAATAAAAGAAAAAAATGAAAAATAACTTTCTTGGGTTCACAAGCCTTGTGGTAAGTCTGATAAGAGATGTGAATTCTTGCTCCAGAGAAAGATCTCCAGCCCGTATGTACAAAATATCCATACCATTTTAGGAGATTCATGAACCCCACGTTAAAAACCCTCACCTAGTATGAGGCCTCTTCCTACAGGAAGAGCCAAGTCGTCTGGCATGGCCCCTCCCTACCACCCTTAGGCATCTCTGGTCATTATCCCACCAAGAGATTGTCTTTTAACCTATCCACTGGTTTGCCCAGCGCAGCTTCACCTTTGGACATTTTTGTCTGAGGCATCATGGACTGACAGTGGAGGGATGGTGTTCTCATCTAAGCGACTCCGTAAGCTTTGGATCATGAGCGGGGTGAGCCATGACACGGTGAGGTAGGAGAACAGGCCAGCATTGTCCAGGGGCTGGGGGGCAGGAAACCTAGTAGAGGGGCCACAAGGATAAGAATGAATTCAGGATCAAGATTTTGCAAGGATGAATGACAACCATATTAAAACACAACGAGGTTACCCAGATCTACACACAAACATGTTTTCATGACTCTTATTTGTAAGTTGAAAATCATAAACAACAAAAGTGCCCATTAATTGAGGAATTATTTAAACAAAAAGAGAGAAATTATGATCTACCCATACTATAAAATGCAAATGCAATGTAGATGTTTGGGGTTTTTTTTTTTTCAATAAGGTTTGTTTATATGTAAAACACAGGAAGAGTTCCAAGCAAAAGCCAAAAAAAAGCCACTTGCAGATTAAAAACTCAGTATTGGCTGGGCCCAGTGGCTCATGCCTATAATCCCAGCACTTTGGGAGGCCGAGGAGGGTGGATCACCTGAGGTCAGGAGTTCGAGACCAGCCGGGCCAACATTGTGAAACCCTGTATCTACTAAAAATACAAAAATTAGCTTGGTGTGGTGGTGTGCACGCCTGTAATCCCAGCTACTCGGGAGGCTGAGGCGTGAGAATCGCTTGAACCCGGGAGGCACAGGTTGCAGTGAGCCGAGATCACGCCACTACCACTCCAGCCTGGGAGACAGCGCACGACTCCGTCTCAAAAGAAAAAAAAAACTCAGTATTTTTTTCACTTATATAAAAAAGGAAGAAAGGAGAGAAAGCAGACAAAACAGTATGTACATTTATATCACATTGCTGATAGTGGTTGACATTGAAAAAGGAGTTGGAGTTGACAAAGAAATAGGAAGAGAGGTCCTCAAGGCTTTAATTCTTCTGTGAAACTTTTACAAACAATAAAATTGAATACATAAATAATTAAAGATGATAAGGTATTACCTTTAAGAATGATTTACAAATACCAAAAATGACTAAATTAGGGTATTGGGATTATGTGTCATTTTTCCACTTTTTTTTTTTTCAAAATTGCCTTTAAGTTTATGTGTTTCAATGGGAAGAAAATGCAATTCGAAAAGAGACTTGAGGAGAAAGATGGGAAGATGAAAATGCCGAACTTATAAGATTTCTTTTGGGGGGTAGGGGAGAGGGACTATGACGTCTTTTCTCTACCCTTTCATATCCTCACAGCATTCTCAACAAGGCTGGCCACATGCCATTGCCAGGGATATTGGAGCAAGGAGCGGGTGAGGGGAGGGCAAGAGATTGTACCATTTGTGATCACAAAAGACAGGGCAAGACCTATGAGCCAGTGCTAATATCTTAAAGCCCCAACAGAAACAATATATTTATCTAAGATGAGGTTACCCAGGTGAATGAAAGTACCAAGGTTCTTTGTTCTTGGTGGAGATAACATAATTCAATATGGTAACAATGTAACTAGTATTGACAGAAGCTCAGATTTTAAAAATGGGCAAACAAATGCAGTTTGTTGATAGATAAAAATCTTAGAAAACATGTTGGAAATCAACTTGGTTACTCCCATAACCAAGGCTGGTAACTTTTTTTTTTTTTTTTTTTTTTGAGACGGAGGCTCGCTCTGTCACCCAGCCCGGACTGCGGACTGCAGTGGCGCAATCTCGGCTCACTGCAAGCTCCGCTTCCCGGGTTCACACCATTCTCCTGCCTCAGCCTCCTGAGTAGCTGGGACTACAGGCGCCTGCCACCGCACCCGGCTAATTTTTTGTATTTTTAGTAGAGACGGGGTTTCACCTTGTTAGCCAGGATGGTCTCGATCTCCTGACCTCATGATCCACCCGCCTCGGCCTCCCAAAGTGCTGGGATTACAGGCGTGAGCCACCGCGCCCGGCCGGCTGGTAACTTTAATGTGGCCTTTGAGAACCTGTCTGATCCGCTTGCCTCTGCAGCCTCACCTCATGCCACACCCACATCACACAAGACTCTCCAGTGACACTGGCCTCCTTCTTTCTCAGTTCCTGGACACATCATGCTGTGTTCCTTGCCCCTCCAGGCAAGGCTGTCCCACAGGCTGTTCCTTGATCATTCTTCTCCTACTCTTGCTTAGGAAATTCTTGTTCTCCCTCTAGGTGTCACTCAGCTTAAGCCACTCAGAACCTACCAAGTTGTCATGGTTCTCCGGTCCCTCAACACTCGCATACTTCTTCACAGCACCTTCCTCAAACAGCTTGTAATCATGTCATGCACAAGTTTATTTGCTTATTGTCTTTCTCTCCCATGTGAGGTCCATGATGGCAAAGATCACGTCTGTTTGCTCACTGTTCTTCCCCTGTGATGTAGCACAGTGCCTGGCACATGTAGGTGCTCAATGATCCTTTCTGTATGAATAAATAATGAATGAATGGCTATGACGATGTGCCTCCCTGGTGTGCCTCAGGCTGCTCTGAAGGGATTTGGCTGTGTAGGGATGTAGTTATGCAACCTTCGTGAGAGGTCTAGTTGGGAGGGTTGGGGATCATTGCCCTGGTGGATACAGCTCTCTCCCACCACCCCCATCAGGACTCACCTCGGCTTGGGACGGAAGGGAATCATGGTTCTCAAGGCAGCATCATACTTCCCCCACGGTGGGACAGCTGCCCTCCCTGGAGCCTCAGGATTTCTCTCTTGCTGACTCCAGGGGCCATCTTGGAGAGTATAGGTTTTCTTGGAAAAGAAAAACAAAAGAGCATCAGTTTCAAATCTCGTAAATTCTGTCCTGAGGGAATGTTGGACCAGCTGCCCATGGAGAAATGGATTTTTCCATATCCTGCTTCCTAAAGAAAGGCTTCCATACCGAGAATAAGCAGGGGACCGAGAGTCAGGGCAACTGGATCCCAGCACTCGCTCTGACCCACATTTGCTGAGTGAGTCTGGCCCAGTCACTCTACCTCTTTGGATTTTTATCTGACAGTAAACAATTTAGACAGGAATAAAGGGTGCCATAGTTAGTTACCTGCAGAATGAGGGACCAAGTCACTCTTTGAGGGTAAATCTACTAAAAAGAAACCAACAAGTAAAAAAGCAAATCCTAAAATATTATATGTTTCCCTTTTGACAACTAAAATAAAAGGACAGGTAATTTTTAGGACTTCATATAGAATAAATAATATATTCTATATAAAATAATACTTTTTAAAAGCACAGCAAGGATTGACAGAAAGAGATTCAGAATAGTGGTTACATCAGGTAGGAAGGGTTGGGGAATGACATGGGGGAAGACCAATTGCTGCGTGTGATTGCCAAGGTCCAAGCTGATGTATTGGTGATGGGTTTGCAGATGCTTATTATTATTATTATTAATATGAGTAAATGCATAGATAAATAGGTAATAGGTGATAGAGAGATAGATACAATCTAATCTCTATATAATATTATGCATAGAGATATGCATAAACCATGAAGGTATGCCATGATGATGGATTATAATTGATCTCATTGTGGAAGCCTGAGGTCTATTTGAAAAAAATCAAGAGTAGCTGGGTGGGGTGGCTCATGCTTGTAATCCCAGTGCTTTGGGAGGCCAAGACAGGAGGATGGAGGCCAGGAGTTCATGACAAGCCTGGGCAACATAGGGAGACCCCCATTTCTGTGAAAAATTTAAAAATTAGCTGGGCGTAGTGGTATGTGCCTATAGTCCCAGCTAGCTACTCAGGAGGCTGAGGTGGGAGGATCATTTGAACCCAGGAGGTGTCAGTGAGCTATGATTGTGCCACTGTACTCTAGCCTGGGTGACAAAGCAAGACCCTGAGTCAAAAAAAAAAAAAAAAGAGAGAGAGAGAGAGCAAAAAGAGAAAAGAAAAAAAATTCAAGGGTAAATAAGTATGGGAAGAAATTGTTTGACGTAATTTATGACCGTGGAGAATATTCTGCCAACTCAGTTTCCTGGTGTGCTGATGCTAAGAGATCTACTTACATAAATAAGTCCTGAAACCATGTCATCGCCTATGTCGATGCCACGATTCACGAGGCCACCAGAAGAGTTGGGCACCCAGTATGTCCTCTTCCTAGTCATTTTCAGTTCCTGCCAATTCTTCGTTTCCCAGAATCAGAGAATATGAAAAGACAGCAGGAGTTAGAAGAAGCTTAGATCTCGCCTTGAGCAGCCAGAAGAGGGGGCACTACCCTGCAGGGAGCATATTGGGGCCATGCAGAGGTTTGGGTGCCTGCTCTTTCCTCTCCTTAGCCTGTGCTTGATCCCTCTTTTTAAACATCTTCTCAGGCCTCAGGCCCAAATCACTTAGTGAAACCTTCTCTAACCACCCTCCCCAACCCACCCCCAACACCGCACCCTTGATCCTGGGCAATCTCCTTTGATGTATCAAACCCCTGCTCATAAAATCAGTCTTCTTGCTTTATCCCAGTCTTTAACTGTGTATTTGTTTGAATCATTATTTGTTCAGACTTCATTTATGCACTACACAGAGAGCCTCATGAGCACAGGGACATGTCTGCTTTCCTCGCTGTTGAATTTCCTGGGCCTGGAACGTGCTGGGAGGAGAGCAGGTGCTCAATAAATGAAGAATGAATGGACACATATGTGAATGAAAGAAACATCATTTTCCCTGCTTTCACTCTTGGTTTTCACAGACCCCAGAAGGAATCTGGGGACAAGTTAGGAGACTTAAATAATCAGGGTTCTTTTTTTAAAAAAAAAATATGACTTTCATATTTGTTTTTCTGAGTATGTGACTCACTCCCTGCTTGACTCAGAATATTCATGTGCCTGGGACAGGAGAGAAGGTAGTAATTAGGAATATTCTGAAGAGATGGAAAGAGAAAGTGTGCAGCAGAGCCAGGGCCATGAGGGTGCAGCCTGTGCCCCCCAGGGCCCCACACTCAGAAGGGCCCCAGGCTCAGTTGAATGCTTTTCTGTTGCCATCCTGAAATTCTTAATAAATTTGAACAAGAAGACCCACATTTTCATTTTCATTTTCATTTTGCACTGTTACCCACAAATTATGTAGTTGGTCCTGGTGTTCAGATATAGCTTTTACCATTCAAATACTGAGGCTGGGTATGATGGCATGCACCTGTAATTCTAGCACTTTGGGAGGCTGAGGCGGGAGGACTGCTTGAGCTCAGGAGTTTGAGACCAGCCTGGGCAACATGGCGAAACCCTGTCTCTACCAAAAATATAAAAAATTAGCTAGACGTAGTGGTGCACGCTTGTGGTCTCAGCTACTTAAGAGGCTGAGGCAGAAGTATAACTTGATCCTGGAAGGTGGAAGTTGCAATGAACTGAGATTGTGCCACTGTACTCCAGCCTGGGCAACAGAGCAAGACCCCATCTCAAAAAACAAAACAAAACAAACATTCAAATATTGGATTGTACTTCAAGCAAATAGACTGCAAGCTAACCCATTACTTTGTGAGAAGTTACTCTAGATTTCTTTGTCCCACTCCTTCCCATCCCACTTCCTTTTACCAAATCACAACCAGATCTGGTAGAGTCAGTTGCTGGAATTTTCCTACAGACCATATAAGATAGGCTTCCCAGCCAGGGCACCAGGCCATAGGCTTACTTGCCATGTAGTGGTAGAATGTGGACACTTCAGGGATGATAGAAAAGAGAAAAGAGAGAGAAGGAGGTGTATTAGATAAGAGAGAGTGACACACACTCTTTACAGCTCTGGGAGGAAGACTGGCTGCCATGAACCAGCCTAGAATATAGCTGCATTAAATTAAAACTGGCATGATTCCCTAGAATGAGGCCCTGTGGATGGGGCCACGGTATATTGCTGTATGATTTATTCACACACAAAGATCCCCAGTAAAGGGAATAGAGCAAGGGGTGGAGGCAGCAAATTTCAGAGTGCAAGTCTCATATCCTTGCAAAGGGCTGCCTCAGTGCTGTGCTCATAAACGTTTATATCTGTAACAAACCTGTGGTTGCAATTGGTGATTAAGTATAGTTCCAATGCTACTTGACATTTTGCTCTATGTTAACAAGTAAGAGGAAAGTGCAATACCAGAGATATATGTTGGTTGAATCTTCACTCATTTGCCAATGACCTGAGTAACTTTGCTGAATAGTTTTCAAATGCTGAAAGAATATTCCCTTATTTTATTTTACTACTCACAATGTAATGGCTACAGGCACCACACACTTGTACATTTAATCTGCATTATTAACATTTCCTACATTTCTTTCTTAAGACTAGACAATCAACAAAATGATAAATCCAGCCCTGATATGTAGCCTTTGCCTATTTCTGTGGTGTAAACACACCCATCATGGCCGATTTCGTGATGTGATACCAACATAACTCCACTGAATGCAGAGCTGGGAAGAGATGCGCAGCACGGCATCATCATATACTGTTTCTACCATAGAGATATAATAGATGTAAGTAACCTCAGAAGTATAAATAACAGCAAAAGGTAGCAAAATAAGTAGGAAATGATACATTTTGAGTATTATCTTTGTTTTTGATGTAATTTATTTAATTGTAAGTTTATATAATTTTTTTTTTATTAATGTTTGTGTTTAGCAGCTATGCTCTCAAAGTTCATGAAAATTTGACCGATGATTGTCATGAGGCAGTATGAACAGGTACTAGCCGACCACTGTGGCATCCATCTTGCGAGAGTGCTGCCTTTTCCTAAATCCTCGTCTTGCCGGGCACATCATTTTCCAATTCACTTCTAAGTGCTCTATGGGCTGTGGCTGGCTGTGCCTGGTGGTTAGCTTTCTTGGCTTCCCTGTGGTATAGATGGGAACAAGAAGTTGCTAAAAGTCTGGGTGAAGGGCTTCCCAGAAGTGTCATAGTGGACAACCCAGGTTGCAAACAGCTGAGAGTCATGGAGAGATCTTGGAGGGGGTTATGCTGCCAACAGAAGTGGGACAGGGGAGGCCTAGCAACTCAGAGAACATCCCCAGGTGAGTGAGCCAAAAAAGGATTACTGTGCAAGCCAAGATCCAGCTGGCTTGCAAAGACAGCAGGACAGGCAGTGAGCAAGTAGACAAAAGACCTCCCCTGGGAAAGCCTAGGAGCAGAGGTCACTGTGCCCAGGTTCCTGATTCTTTCTCTGCCAGGTGACAACTCCTAGACAGAGCCTTTAGTGAGAATTATTTGATAAAATGACTTAAATTATTGGCTCAAACAAGGTCTTAAAATGGTAAGCCAAAACATTTATTTTTCCCTCATTAACCAGCAAGTGGGGGATCATGAGGAAGACCAGATTTATAAAGACCAAGTAAAGAAATTAGATTTTCTCTCACCTTTCAGCTATAGTATGATTTGCCAACCTGGTTTATTCAAATACACCTGCAAAGAGAGGTAACGAAGGTTTCACAACTAGAGATGCAAAGAGATGCAAAGAGATGCAATGAGGGTTACTCATCACATTCTGAAATTACCATTTCTTTCCTTGTTGGCTTATTTGTTTTCTGCATACCTCATTAGAATGTAAGCTCTTTGAAACCAGGGACCTTGTCTGTCCTGTTCACAAATGTGTCTTTGGATCTAGAAGAGTGCCCAGCACATAGTGTGACTCTTTCCTATTCAAGATTCATCCAGGAAACTAACGACATGGAAAATGAAACCCAACGAAAATTAAGAAAATGCAAACATTGTAATAGTTATGTTTGCAGAACATCAGTCGCTCATCCCAAGCAAACGAGCTCGAGCTCAGCCACACATTAGCTTGGGCCTCCTTCCAGTTCCATGGGGCCCATCTCCACTTCCTGGACTGACCAGGGGAATTCCCTCCAGAACCTTCCTTGGCAGTCCCGGAAGCATTCCCTGGACTCCCAATTCTCTTTCCGGAAGAAAATGGAGCTGGAGTTTATTCACTCTAATTGGTGTAAGACCATCATTGTAGTCAGGATGGAAACCAGGACATGACTGGGAATAAAATAGAGAGGAAACAGCAGATGCTTCCAGCCCTGTGTTTTCCCAATCCCCAGAGGCAAAGGTCAGGATGACAAATTTGGTTTGGACGTGGGTTGTTTGCGTATGGTGAAACAGACTGTGAACAGGAGGGGAGCCACTGGAGCGGGGTAACCTGTATCATGGGCTTTCTGGAGGAGCTGATTTATTTCCATGTTCTTATGCAGCAGGGTCTAGTGTCCAAGATCAGAAGGTACATCAGTGGTTAAGGAAGTGTCCAGGGCAAGGAGCCAGAAGCACCTGCCAGCTGGGCCCTAAAGAAGTTTAAGTGATTAGATCTTACTCCTCCTGTACCTCGCCCTGTGCTATTTAACTTTCTCTGCTCTTAGGTTTATTTCCTTCTGTTAGTTTCAGTAGCTTCAGGAGGGCATCTTGTTGCCTGAAGAATCCCCACATCTCAGTACCTGGCCTTCTCCTCAATTTCAGAAGCTAGGATGATCCTCTCACCTTGATCTTTGCATTAGTCCTAATATCTGACAAGAATATTCTCCTCCCACCTCCTTGCAGAGCTGGTTCATTCTTGACATTCAGGACTCTACTCAAATGCCACCTCCTCAGAGTAACCTTCCCAGATCCCCTCTCTCCATACCACCTTCTGCATATTTTCCTAATCTACTTCCTTTACTCATCACATTCTGAAATTGCCATTTCTTTCCTTGTTGGCTTATTTGTTTTCTGCATACCTCATTGAATGTAAGCTCTTTGAAACCAGGGACCTTGTCTGTCATGTTCACAGATGTGTCCTTGGGTCTAGAAGAGTGCCCAGCACATAGTATATGCATAACAAATATTCAATGGATCAATGAATGAAGTACATGCAGAGTCTGTCAAAAAAGGAGCTAGGAAAGCCACACAGTCACGAAAGACTTCACATTTAAATTCTTGGTGTTCTCCAAAGTAGGCTGACACATCCCATCACAGAGATACAGTGACAGGATTGAAAGAGGGTTTTCATCAAGCAGGCAGGTTAAACTTGGGCCTATTCCCACACCACACCACATCTTCTATAGAGCAGCATTAATTTGTGTTTTAAAAACTAAATCCAGCCATTATTATGTGAACAGAACATTTATATAGTATTGTTTATTGTGGTTGTTGGGGCACATGTATGTATTAGGCCATTGATGCCTAGTGTTCCATTATGGGAATGCTAAGCATGTGAAAGTTATTTATATCCTACTGCTCAAGGTCATCACCGAGGTCTGATTGCAAAAATCCAAAAAAATTGCAACCTCCGGCATAAGTGGGTTAAAATTATTAAACATTAGTGTTTTAAAAATATACCATAAAGTTTGTAAGCTGGTTTTAGAAGTTCTTTGTTAAAACTCTGGAAGCCTGAATGAATGCAGCCCCTCCCCTCTTACCCTTGGAGAGACCCTTGATGAAAAGGTAAGCGCTTGGGAATCTGGGCCACATATGTTTTATCTCTGTACCACCCTCAGAATCTGTCACAAGGTAGGGCACATTGTACATATCCAGAGAAGTGAATGAGACCCTCATTATAGCCAGGATCTTCAGCTACTGGCTCAACCTCTCTCCAGGCCCTGGTGGCTTAGGCCCCAACCTAGGATAATCCTTCTCAACTGTTTTTCCTTAAATCTTCATGTCCAATCCATCAGCATATTCTCTTGAAGCTACAATCAAACATAGCTTGACAGCAACTGCTCCTAGTCTAAGTCATCACTTCTTGCCTGGACAACTGCAACCACCTCCTGACTGGCCTCCCTGCTTTTGATCTTAAATCCTTACGTTCCATTCTCCACATAGCAGTCAAAATTAACTTTTGAAAATATAAGCTAGATAATGTTATTCCTCAACTTGATCTCTCCCATGGCTTCCGTCAGGTTTAGAGTAAGACCCAAACTCCTTACCAGAGCCTACAGAGCCCTCTATAATCTGACTCTGCCCACCTTATTGCAACTGAAATCACTAGGTCCCAAGCTCAGACATTCCAGGAACAGGTTCCTCAAACACCCTAAATTCATTCTAGCCACAGGGTCTTTGCAAGTGCTGCTTTTTCTGCCTACAACAGTGCCCTTGGCCCCCACCCCCTAATCTTTGCATTGATTTATGCTTTCTCATACTGCAGGGCTCAGTTCAAATGTCGTCTTTTCAGAGACCTTCCCTGACCATCTAAAAGGCTTATTACTATCCAGAAATATTTTCCTTATTTCTTTCCTTGCTTATTGTTTGTTTTTCCCACTAGAATGTCAGCTTCATGAAAGCAGAAATCTTGTCTGTCTGATTCCCTGATGTATTCCCCATTACCTAGAATAGTGTCCAGCACATCATAGGTGTTCAAAAAATATTTTTAGTGAATGGTTATTGAAATGAATATTAAGCAATGTGAAAATGATGTTCAGTGAATGAATGAAAGAAGGTGGGATCCTGTCAGACAAAGAGCTTTAGGCAGGAGCTTCTAAGTTTCTATATTTGTGTCTCTCCCACAGCACCTAGTAACCTGATTTCTCTTTCCCTTATCTGTTGCACACATATAAACACACAGTTCTGTCTGCCCTACCTCATACTCAGATGTCTATGGGTCTGTTCCCCTGGCTGAGAGATGCTTGAGAGTAGGACCTTGTTTTGGGACCTGTCTACCCTTCTGCAATTAGCTCAGGGCCTGGCACTGAGAAGTCGCTTAACAAATAACTCTTGATATGAATGGACTTTCAACTCCTTCTGGAATTCTGAAAGCACTGCTGGACTTCACATTGGAGAAAATGTTCCACCTGCAACCTAAGGCCAAACCCAAGTCAAATCTCAACATGCAGAAATGGTCAAATCCAAAACAATTCAAGCAAAAAAAAACAAAAAAAAGATAATATTATCGGATTAGAATCCATAAAAACTAGGCCGGGCGCGGTGGCTCACGCCTGTAATCCCAGCACTTTGGGAGGCCAAGGCAGGTGGATCACAAGGTCAGGAGATCGAGACCATCCTGGCTAACACGGTGAAACCCCGTCTCTACTAAAAATACAAAAAATTAGCCAGGCTTGGTGGTGGGAACCTGTAGTCCCAGCTACTTGGGAGGCTGAGGCAGAAGAATGGCATGAACCTGGGAGGCAGAGCTTGCAGTGAGCCGAGATCTCGCCACTACACTCCAGCCTGGGCGACAGAGGAGACTCTGTCTAAAAAAAAAAAAAAAAAAAAAAAAACCATAAAAACTAAATATCTGTAAGACCATACTAACATTAAAAAGTAATTGAGTAAGTAAATAAATGGGGGAGATGGAACAGCTCTTTCTTATAGTAGAATTCTAAATAATAAATGTAAAATTACACCTACAACCACCTGATCTTCAACAAACTTGACAAAAACAAGCAATGGGGAAAGGATTCCCAATTTAATAAATAGTGCTGGGAGAACTGGTTAGCCATATGCAGAAAATTGAAACTGGACCCCTTCCTTACACCTTATACAAAAATTAACTCAAGATGGATTAAATGTAAAACCCAAAACTATAAAAACTCTAGAAGGGCTGGGCGAGGTGGCTCACGCCTGTAATCCCAGGACTTTGGGAGGCTGAGGCGGGCGGATCACGAGGTCAGGAGATCAAGACCATCCTGGCTAACACAGTGAAACCCCGTCTCTACCAAAAATACAAAAAATTAGCCAGGTGTGGTGGCAGATGCCTGTAGTCCCAGCTACTCGGGAGGCTGAGGCAGGAGAATGGCGTGAACCCAGGAGGCGGAGCTTGCAGTGAGCTGAGATCGTGCCACTGCACTCTAGCCTAGGCAACAGAGCGAGACTGTGTCACAAAAAAAAAAAAAAAAAAAAAAAAATCTAGGTAATACCATTCAGGATATAGGCACCGGCAAGATTTCATGATGAAAACAACAAAAGCAATTGCAACAAAAACAAAAATTGACAAATGGGATCTAATTAAGCTAAAGAGCTTCTGCACAGCAAAAGAAACTACCAGCAGAGTGAACAGACAACCTACAGAATGGAAGAAAAATTTTGCAATCTGACAAAGGTCTAATATCCAGAGTCTAGAAGGAACTTAAACAAATTTACAAACAAATTTAAAAACAAACAACCCCATTAAACAGTGGGCAAAGGACATGAACAGACACTTCTCAAAAGAAGATATTCATGTGGCCAACAAACATGAAAAAAAGCTCAACATCACTGATCATTAGAGAAATGCAAATCAAAACCACAGTGAGATGCCATCTTACACCAGTCAGAATGGCAATTATTAAAAAGTCAAGAAACAATAGATGCTGGCGAGGTTGCAGAGAAAAAGGAATACTTTTACACTGTTGGTGAGAGTGTAAATTAGTTTGACCATTGCGGAAGACAGTCTGGCAATTCCTCAAAGATCTAGAGGCAGAAATACCATTTGACCCAGCAATCCCATTACTGGGTACATACCCAAAGGAATATAAATCACTTTATTTTAAAGGTACATGCACACGTATGTTCACTGCAGCACTAGTCACAATAACAAAGACATGGAATCAACCTAAATGCCCATCAACAATAGACTGGATAAAGAAAATATGGTACATGCACACCATGGAATACTATGCAGCCATGAAAAGGAATGAGATTACGTCCATTGCAGGGACATGGATGGAGCTGGAAGCTGTTACCCTCAGCAAACTAACACAGGATCAGAAACCCAAACACTGCATGTTCTCACTTATAAGTGGAAGCTGAAGGATGAGAACACATGGTCACATGGCGGGGGAACAACACAATGTGGCCTGATGGGGGCAGGGGTAGGGGGAGACAGAGCATCAGGAAGAAAAGCTAATGGATGCTGGGCTTAATACCTAGATTATGGGTTGATCTGTGCAGCAAACCACCACGGCACATGTTTACCTATGTAACAAACCTGCACATCTGCACATGTACCCCAGAACTTAAAATATTAGGTTGGTGCAAAAGTAATTGCGGTTTCTTGCCATTACTTTTGCACCAACCTAATAAAAGTTGAAGGAAAAATAAATAAATAAATAAATATGAAATTATCTCCTTACATAATACTTACTAATTACAAAGAGAAAAATAGTAACTTACAGTGAAAAAATCTGGCAGATACCACCTTCACCAAGTAGTCAAGATTCAAATCGTCATTAATAAGACATTTCACCATCATATATCACATGGCCACAGCATCACTTTTTTTTTTATTTTTTGAGACAGAGTTTCTCTCTTGTTGCCCAAGCCAGAGTGCAATGGCCTGATCTCAGCTCACTGCAACCTCTGCCTCCTGGGTTTAAGCAATTATCCTGCCTCAGCCTCCCAAGTAGCTGGGATTACAGGCACGCACCACCACACCTGGCTAATTTTCTGTATTTTTAATAGAAACGGGATTTCACCATGTTAGCCAGTCTGGTCTCGAACTCCTGACCTCAGATGATCCACCCATCTCGGCCTCCCAAAGTGCCGGGATTGCAGGTGTGAGCCACTGCGTCCAGCCCACAACATCTCTTTCATGGTATTTGGCCCCAAAATGCATATCATTGATCTAATCGTGAGAAACAGTAGATAAACTCCAATTGAATGAACTTCTACAAAATAACTGACTGATATCCTTCAAAAGTATCAAGGTTTTCCCACTGCTCAACGAAATAAAAGAGGACACAAACAAATGGAAGAACATTCCATGCTCATGGATAGGAAGAATCAATATCGTGAAAATGGCTGTACTGCCCAAGGTAATTTATAGATTCAATGCCATCCCCATCAAGCTACCAATGACTTTCTTCACAGAATTGGAAAAAACTACTTTAAAGCTCATATAGAACCAAAAAAGAGCCGGCATTGCCAAGACAATCGTAAGCCAAAAGAACAAAGCTGGAGGCAACATGCTACCTGACTTCAAACTATACTACAAGGCTATGGTAACCAAAACAGCATGGTACTGGTACCAAAACAGAGATATAGACCAATGGAACAGAACAGAGCCCTCAGAAATAATACCACACATCTACAACCATCTGATCTCTGACAAACCTGACAAAAACAAGAAATGGGGAAAGGATTCCCTATTTAATAAATGGTGCTGGGAAAACTGGCTAGCCATATGTAGAAAGCTGAAACTGGATCCCTTCCTTATACCTTATACAAAAATTAATTCAAGATGGATTAAAGACTTAAATGTTAGACCTAAAACCATAAAATTCCTAGAAGAAAACCTAGGCAATATCATTCAGGACATAAGCATGGGCAAGGACTTCATGACTAAAACACCAAAAGCAATGGCAACAAAAGCCAAAATTGACAAATGGGATCTAATTAAACTAAAGAGCTTCTGCACAGCAAAATAAACCACCATCAGAGTGAACAGGCAACCTACAGAATGGAAGAAAATTTTTACAATCTACCCATCTGACAAAGGGCTAATATCCAGAATCTACAAAGAACTTAAACAAGTTTACAAGAAAAAATCAAACAACCCCATCTAAAAGTGGGCAAAGGATATGAACAGACACTTCTCAAAAGAAGACATTTATGCAGCCAACAGACACATGAAAAAATGCTCATCATCAGTGGCCATCAGAGAAATGCAAATCAAAACCACAATGAGATACCATCTCACACCAGTTAGAATGGCAATCATTAAAAAGTCAGGAAACAACAGGTGCTGGAGAGGATGTGGAGAAATAGGAACACTTTTACACTGTTGGTGGGACTGTAAACTAGTTCAACCATTGTGGAAGACAGTGTGGCAATTCCTCAAGGATCTGGAACTAGAAATACCATTTGACCCAGCCATCCCATTGCTGGGTATATACCCAAAGGATTATAAATCATGCTGCTATAAAGACACACACACACGTATGCTTACTGCGGCACTATTCGCAATAGCAAAGACTTGGAACCAACCCAAATGTCCATCAATGATAGACTGGATTAAGAAAATGTGGCACATATACACCATGGAATACTATGCAGCCATAAAAAAGGATGAGTTCATGTCCTTTGTAGGGACATGGATGATGCTGGAAACCATCATTCTGAGCAAACTATCGCAAAGACCGAAAACAAAACACTGCAAGTTCTCACTCATAGGTGGCAACTGAACAATGAGAACACTTGGACACAGGGTGGGGAACATCACACTCAGGGGCCTGTCGTTGGGTGGTGGGGAGTGGGGGGGAAGGGATACCATTAGGAGATATACCTAATGTAAATGACGAGTTAGTGAGTGCAGCAAACCAACATGGCACATGTATACATATGTAACAAACCTGTACGTTGTGCACATGTACCCTAGAACTTAAACTATAATAAAAAATAAAATTAAATTAAAAACAGAAAAAAAATAAAAGTATCAAGGTTGTAAAAAAAAAAAAAATTGGACGGGCGCAGTGGCTCAGGCCTGTAATCCCAGCACTTTTGGGAGGCCAAGGCGGGCAGATCACGAGGTCAGGAGATTGAGACCATCCTGGCTAACATGGCGAAACCCCGTCTCTACTAAAAATACAAAAAATTAGCCGGGCGTGGTTGCGGGTGCCTGTAGTCCCCAGCTACTCGGGAGGCTGAAGCAGGAGAATGGCATGAACCCGGGAGGCGGAGCTTGCAGTGAGCCGAGATCTCGCCACTACACTCCAGCCTGGGTGACAGAGCGAGACTCCGTCTCAAAAAAAAAAAAAAAAAAAAAAAATTGAGGACTTGCCACAGATTAGAGAACACCTAGGAGATTTCATAACAAAACACCTAGGAGATTTCACAACAGGATCCTGGATATTGGATCCTGGACCAGATCCAATGAAGGACATTAGTGGGAAAACTGGCAAAATTTGGGTAAGGCCTATAGGTTAAACGATAATAATGTTAATTTCCTGGTTTTGATCATTGAACTATGATTATGTAAGATGATAACAGACGAAACTGGGTGAAAGGTATATAGGAACTCTGCTGTAGTTTTGTACATCTAAAATCAATTCGGGCCGGGCACGTTGGCTCACGCCTGTAATCCCAGCACTTTGGGAGGCCGAGGTGGACGGATCGCTTGAGGTCAGGAGTTAAAGACCAGCCTGGCCAACATGGTGAAATCCCCTCCCTACTAAAAATACAACAATTAGCTGGGTGTGGTGGCGGGCATCTGTAATCCCAGCTACTCGGGAGGCTGAGGCAGGAGAATCGCTTGAACCCGGGAGGCAGAGGCTGCAAGCCGTGGGTATCGCGCCATTGCACTCCAGCCTCCGCGACAGAGCGAGAATCTGTCTCAGAATAAATAAATAAATAAATAAATAAATAATTAGTTCGAATCAAAAGTTAAAAACACTTCAAGTATATGTAAAAAATCGAAGAAAACGTTAAAAACACTTCAAGTATATACAATTCAAATAAGATCATCCTTCCAAATATACTCTGTAAGTGAGGCGAAGGTCGCTGCACGCTTGAGTGCACGTCTTTCCGCATAGGTAGGACGCTCAAGTCTTACCGGGAGGCTCTCCTAGAGAGCAGCGCGAAGCCATGGCTTTTGGGCCCGGGGACGGACCGTAGCGCGTAGCCGGAAGCGGAGGCGTGGAGGCGGGTCTGAGGTTTGGTGACTGCGGGGCAGGCCGGGGGCAGCTGTCTGTCTGGCTCTTTTTGACAGCCCCCAGTGCGAAAGGCTGCCAGCATGTCATCAGTGAGCCCCATCCAGATCCCCAGTCGCCTCCCGCTGCTGCTCACCCACGAGGGCGTCCTGCTGCCCGGCTCCACCATGCGCACCAGCGTGGACTCGGCCCGCAACCTGCAGCTGGTGCGGAGCCGCCTTCTGAAGGGCACGTCGCTGCAAAGCACCATCCTGGGCGTCATCCCCAACACGCCTGACCCCGCCAGCGACGCGCAGGACCTGCCGCCGCTGCACAGGTAGGCCTGGCTGCCCCCGCGGCGGCGGCGGGCGGCGCGGCCTCCTCCGGGGACCTGGGCCCAGGCCACGGCCTGCCTTGAGCGCGAGGCTCAGTTCGGGGCGGCCTTCGCGGCTCGGTTCCGCCTCTCTGGTGCTATCACTTGCAAAATGGGGATGTCAGATACCTGCCCCATGACCATGAATGAGATCGTTCATGAAGTAGTGCCTGACACCTGGTGAAACTACGCAGTTCCCTACCGTTCTGGATAATTTAATTTGAATCCTCTTCCCCCTCTCCGCAATTCCTCGCCCTCGGTCTTCAGCCTCCTAGGCCAGTGCTTTTAACTTTCCAGGCCCTTTCTTTCTCCCCGGTGATCTCTGCCTTCACTTGCCTTCGCTTTTCACCTTTCTCCCCACTGCCCTTTACTCCTATCCGCCTCCCCTTTTCTGTCACCCATCATTTTTGTCCGCTGAGGCATTCTCTGCTCCGTGAGTTTTAACTTTTCCTGTTTCATTCCTAAACTGCACTATTTGTGGGTGCCTTTCTTCTATACTCCCTGCCACCCTTCTCCTTCTCCCCCTAATCCTTCTGTTTCCCTTTGTAAAGGGCCTTTACTGCTCACATTTTCGCTGGTCCCCCTTTCTGGAACTTTCCTAGCTTCTCACCTCTGCTCCTTCACTCATAACATTTCTTAGGCCCCAGGCTTACTACTATATTGCCCAGTACCCTCGCCCTATTGGTGTGACTTTGGGTGAGAGCTTTAACCTCTATTTCTTTTATTCTGCAATTTGGAAACTGACAGCATCCATCTCTTAGGCAAGTTATGAAGAATAAATTGAATAATGTGTATATTCCACTTTGCACCATGCATGATGGATGACTTTGCTGTCCAGTACTGTGTAGTGCATGTGGCTCGTCAAATTGAGATGATAGAATTGCCAGTTGTCCTGGTTTGCTGCGATTGTCTGTTTTAGCATTGAAAGTCCTATGTTTTAGCCCCTCCGTCCCAGGGAAACCAGGAGGTTGGTCACCCTAAATGTGCTGTAAGTGTACAATACACGCCAGATTTTGAAAAAACTTTTTGATTAATACATTTTATATGGATTAAATGTTGGAAAGGTAATATTTTGAGTACTTGGGGTTAATAAAATGTTAAGATTTCTGCTGTTTTTACTTTATAATGTGGCCACTAAAATTTTATATGTGGTCCACATTATATTTTTATTGGACAATGCTGGTATATCGTATGCTCTCAACAAGTATCTTCAAACTCACCTGCCAAGCACCCGCCTCCTATTCCTAACTCTACTGGAGGTGTTGTGTTTTCAGTTTAGAGCTTCTCCTTTCCTGGCAGTTATCCCTTATTTTTAAATTAGGGGTTCCTGACTCTGAATGGATTTCCGGAGGGTTGGACATGTCTTATTTTTCCTCAAAATCTTGTGACTATGTACATTTTTTTAGGAGAATCCTTTGCTTTCTTCAGATTCTCAAAGGAGACTGGTACCTCCCCCCACCCCCGTTAAAAGAAAGCAAAACAAAGCAACAAAGACCAACAAACCTTCCACAGCAGCCCAGTATTCATTTATATTGTAAAAGCCTTGATTTTCTCAAGCATGGAAAATATTTTGGCTCCCATCTGACCTGCTTTGGTTATTGCCTGAGTGGAATTGGTCACATTCCAAGTTTCAGTACTCTTTGATAAATTGTATTGGATTCTAGTTTCCCAACATACGACTCTGCTCCTTCTGCTTACTTTTCCCAAATTATTTTGCCTTCTGTGCCCAGGCACACTTAGTTCCCTGTCTAGGCAAGAGTGGTCATTATTAGACTTCATTTTCTTTCTACTGTGCATATGTATTGATTAGCCATGGGCACATTGTGAACTTGAAAAGTCGATTTAGTCACATTTTAAGTTTCACTATTTGTTGGTATTATTCTGGCAAGATTTTGGAAGGTTTTTATTATTTATTCATTTGTGTATTTTTTGAGACAGAGTCTCATTCTGTCTCCTCCGCTGAAGTGCAGTGGCGTGATCGTAGCCCACCGCAACCTTGATTGAACTCCTGGGCTCAAGTGATCGTCCTGCCTCAGCTTCTGGAGTGGCTGGGACTATAGGCGTGCACCACTACACCCAGCTAATTTTTAAATTTTTTGTAGAAATGGGGTCTCACTATGTTGCTTAGGCTGGTCTCAAACTCCTGGACTCAAGCTATCCCCTGCTTTGGCCTCTGGAGTAGCTGGGACTATAGGCAAGCGCCACCATACCCTTCAGGTTTTTAATTTATTTTATGAAAATCCCTCCAAAGCAACAATCCTCAATTCTCCTGCTTGAAAGTAATCACTAATAATCAGGTACTGTGTGATCTGATCCTTGATGTTCATATTATTGCCTTTAACTGAGTAGCAATGTTAAAATTTAATCATTTAAATTAGAAAACATATATTGAAAAGTCTTCATAGAAGTCCGGCATTATAAGAACTCATCAGACCATCTAGTTATCCTAGAAGTATTGTTTGCTACTTAAAAAGCCTATGTGGAAAGATTGTACCATATTCCTTGGTAATAGTTTCCAATGTCTTTTTTTCTCTAATAGGGCCTTTAAAACACTCTACTTAAAAAAAAAAAAAAAAAAAGGCTTTAACAATACCAATACTGAGTAATCCATAGCATTAGCCTGTTTCCACGCACAAGTCTGTCCTTCCCCAGTTACCTGCTTTTCTGTATGGTAGCCCAGAGGCCAGAAGAGGGGCTCTGTTCCTTTCTCTTGTTTCCTTTGCGCTATCCAGGTGACGCTGGCACAGCCTTCAAAGAGCAGCAGAAGTAATTTGCTCCCAGCGTTCTTTGCCACACAGAGTGGCAGGATTAGATGTTGACTTACCTCTGCCACTTCCTTGGTGGTTTTGAGTAGTACAGTCCCTTTCTGCACGTTAGTGTGCAGGCATGTTGCCTGCAGGAGCCTTTTTAAAGGAGGAGCTTTGGACTTGTCCTGCAGTATAGAACTTGGCTGGCATGCTGACCCAGGGCACCCTGCATTTTTCTGCTTAGTAGAACTGCATTTTTAGTGCTTCCTGAGTGACCCATTGTTTTCTTAGTGAAAAGGGGTCATAATTTAGTACTACCTGTACAATATCCTTTCAAGCATTTCAAGATGGTCATCCAGCTTTCTTCCAAATTTACACTTTTCAGGGTACATGGCTTCATTTCCTCATAGTGCCGACTTCTCAGTCTCCCTCACCAGGCTGGTGTCAAACTTGTGAGCTCAAGTGATCCTCCTGCCTCTGTCTCCCAAAGTGTTAGGATTACAGGCGTGAGCCACCATGCCTGGCCTATGTTTATAATTCTTGTAGGTAGAAGTGGTACCTATTGTCCATTGTAATGAGAAAAAAGTAAAATTTGTCTTAAAATATAATTAAGGAACTCAATTTATTAAATTTAAATTTATCCTTTAAATTTTAAATTTAAATTTATTTCTTAAATTTATTTCTATTACATTTTCTTGTAACCATGTACACCTAAGTTGTTCTACTTTAATTTTTTTGAGACAGGGTCTCACTCTGTCACCCATGCTGGTGCAGTGGTGCCATCTCAGCTCACTGCAACCTTTGCCTCCCAGGTTCAAGTGATCCTCTCACCTCAGCCTCCTGAGTGTCTGGGATTACAGGCATGTGCCACAATGCCTAGCTATTTTTTTTTTTTTTTTTTGGTGGAGACGGGGTTTTGCCATGTTGCGCAAACTGGTTTCGAACTCCTGAGCCCAAGTGATCCACTTGCCTCGGCCTCCCAAAGTGCTGGGATTATAGGTGTGAGCCACCATGCCATGTTCTACCTTTTTGAATCTCATTTACTCACTTGTAATAAGGAAATAATACTACCTTCTTCATGGGGTGAAGGGAGGTATAAAATGAAGTATACATATGAAAGCCTTTTGAAACTGCAAAGCATTCTAAACCTATATCCAAATGGGTAGTTTTAAATGTAGATTTTCACAAAAGGGGATTAAAGAGAGGAGTGGGGAGGCCCCATATTATTCCAACACGGGCTGAACTGAACTAACATCATTGCAGGAAGGTCTTGGAAGATTAAAGATTCCAAGAAAAATTAAGGGCTTTGAGTAAAAAAATTTTTTAAAAGTGGCTGGGCCTGGTGGCACGTGCCTGTACTCCCATCTACTCATGATGCTGAGGCGGAGGATTACTTGAGCCCAGGTGATCGAAGCTGCAGTGAGCTATAATCGTACCACTGCACTCCAGCCTGGGTGACAGAGCAAGATTCTGTCTATAGGAAAAAAAAAAAAAAAAAAAGCAAGTGCTGGGCATATAGGCTGGAATTAGATATTTACATAATATCCTCATCTTGGAAAACTTTTTCCAGTAGTGCTGCTTTTAGATTTTCCCACTACTGCAGTTGATGGTTCTTAAATATGTTTGGAACTCTTATATTATTTAGGTCAGTTTCCAAATTACACAAATTGTAACCATTGTAGTCAGACCTCACTTGAATGAAAACAATATTTTACAAACTCTGAGGGTAGATTCGAGTTAGGATTTGGATTAAAACATTATCTTAAAACCTCTGAGGGTAGATTCGAGTTAGGAGTTTCAAAACTTCTTTGAACAATATCATAATTAGGATGTAGATTTACAGAGCTACTAGCTAAAGGGAAGGACACCAGTCATTGGGATGTATAAGTTTGGATCTGTTGCAAAATTAAAATGCTGCCTTTTGAGCATGCCTAATAATGCACATACAATAGAAGAGCCAGAATTTTTAGAAAAATGACTGACTTGATATACAACCTTTTGTATATCATAGAAGGAAAATATTAGTTGAGTATTTTGTTTATTTACCTGTTTGTATATATAAAACCTGGGGCCCAATATACAATAGATTCTTTTTCACTATGCTTTTCACCCACAGTGTCTCACCAGGTACTCTGTTTCTAGCCATCTATAATTTCATAGATGTTTTTCTTTAAAAGGGATGTATTCTAGGCTGGGCGAGGTGGGTCTTGCCTGTAATCCTAGCACTTTGGGAGGCCAAGATGGGAGGATTGCTTGAGGCCAGTAGTTGGAGATCAGCCTGGTCAACATCATGAGATCCCATCTCTGTTAAAAAAAGAAAAAAAAATTTTTTTAAAGGGATAATTTCTAGTCAACTATAAGTGATTTTAAGTAAAAAGCAATTAAGGCATGTATACATCTGTACCTTTTGTAGGCATAGTATAAATTCAGCTTAATCTCTTCAGTTTGGAACATCTTCCTTTCACAGCAAAAATATTGTATTTGCTTTATAAGAAAACCCCTTTTGGCCAGGTGTGGTGGCTCACGCCCGTAATCCTAGCACTTTGGGAGGCTGAGGTGGGTGGATTACCTTAGGTCAGGAGTTCGAGACCAGCCTGGCCAACATAGTGAAACCCTGTCTCTACTAAAAATACAAAAATTAGCTGGGCGTGGTGGTGTGTGCCTGTAATCCCAGCTAGTTGGGAGGCTGAGGCACGAGAATCCCTTGAACCCAGGAGGCAGAGTGCAATAAGCCGAGATCACGCCATTGTACGTCAGGCTGGGCGACAGGGTGAGACTCCCTCTAAAAAACAAACAAAAAAACCACAGTGGCTCACACCTGTAATCCCAGCACTTTGGGAGGCCAAGGTGGGCGAATCATGAGGTCAAGAGATCGAGATCATCCTGGCCAACATGGTGAAACCTCATCTCTACAAAAAATACAAAAAATTAGCTGGGCGTGGTGGTGTGTGCCTGTAGTCCCAGCTACTTGGGAGGCTGAGGCAGGAGAATCACTTGAATCTGGGAGACGGAGGTTGCAGTGAGCCAAGATTAGGCTACTGCGCTCCAGCCTGGTGACAAAGTGAGACTCCGTCTCAAAAAAAAAAAACAAAAAACAAAAAACAACTCTTTAGCATCACCTTTTAGCAATGACATAGCCCAAATAATTAAATTTGTCTCCTGATCGGAGATTTGGATTTGTCTCATCTCTCTTTCTGGTTCCTCCTTGGTTTCTACTTTGTAAACCCTTTAGGCCGGGGATCCAGTTTCTTGTCTGTGGATGTTTTATATACAAACAGGACTGTGAGCTCTTTCAGCATTGTACAAACAGTGATGAATATCATCTGCAATTAATTATGTTTAAGTTATTCTCTAATCAGTTTAGAGGTGGCTCACTTCCTCAGGCAATCTGAGTGGGCTTTCAGGAAGTGGGAAATATTATCTACTATTGATTGAAGAAAAGCAGCCACAACACAAATAAGTCAAAATAATAGCTAATTGCTAAATAATTTCAAGTTTTTTATGTATGTGATTTTTTTCCCTCACCAATTTATCTTCTCAGTTGTTTGGCTTATTATTTAAATCAGTTTTTATTGTAAACATGGTAATGACTGAAAGGTAAGAAAAGGATAGACGTAGTTCAGAATAAACTGAGTGGCAGAAAGAAGCCAAAGGCTATGTGTAATCTACGGAATGAGTAATTTATAAGGAAGTAATCAAGAATTCACTGTGTATAGAAGTAAGCAAGTTCACTCACATAGTCACATACTGTATTACATGATTTATTATCTTTGAGATGGGCAGGTGTGGTGTTCTTCTATTACCGCTTTCCTAGGGTGTTGAGAGTTCTAGTCCTTCTATTTTCTTTTCTGGAATTACCACTTTTCCTATGGCTGAAGGGAGAAAATATTATTTATTTTGGGATCTGGAATTGTCTTCTCAATGTTGATTTTTGTATTTTATATAACTGACTTAGTTTGGATGAGGCTTCCTTTCTGTGAATTAAATTTATATGTGACTTGATCAGAGTTGTATTTGCTGATGAGGAGCTGAGACTTGAAGCCTTTTCACCTATTGTTAGGTAAAATGATTACCACTTAGAACTAGGTTGAGACCTTTTGAGATGTGGGTCTTTCTTTAGCTCTCCTCAGTCTATGGCAGTGTGTGGACTGTAATATTTAGCCCTCACACTTAGAAATTCAGTGTTAAGGGCATATATATAAGTTCCCAGTATGTGATGGCAGCTTGTGATAAGGTGGGTATGTGGAAGTTTCATAGACTGATTATGTAAGAAAACTGACTTGATGTTAGTAGCACAACTGGTGTTGGAACGGAGATTTCTTAGATTGGTTTATGCTATTTATATTTAAATGTATTTAAATTGATAATATTTATCCTGGTATAAGATTGCCTTATTCTTAGTTGACAATGTTAATTTAAGATATGTAATTCTCAGCTGCTTTTCTCTTACATTTTTACGCTTGAATAATCCAAGTGTTTACAAATTCCTACCTAATTTTTTAAAAGAGGTGCAGATTATAGTGAGATGGTCTGCTTTGCCATATAGCTGAGGGTAGTGGCAGAAGAGGCCACATACTGGATGCTAAGTTAAATAGAGAAAAAATTTATTTACACTTCAGATGTCTTTTGCTTAATGAATGTATCAGAAAAGCCAACACTTTCTGAAGTGAGTTTCTGTTCTACCGTATTGAATGTTTGTAATACCGATGTTTTGTGTGTTTTTCAGGATTGGCACAGCTGCACTGGCCGTTCAGGTTGTGGGCAGTAACTGGCCCAAGCCCCACTACACTCTGTTGATTACAGGCCTATGCCGTTTCCAGATTGTACAGGTCTTAAAAGAGAAGCCATATCCCATTGCTGAAGTGGAGCAGTTGGACCGACTTGAGGAGTTTCCCAACACCTGTAAAATGAGGGAGGAGCTAGGAGAACTATCAGAGCAGTTTTACAAATATGCAGTACAAGTAAGTTGCTTTTATTTTTTCTTAAAACCCATTTTTCTTTGGTTCTTTTGCTTTCCTAAGATATGGTGAATCTGTTGGATAGTGAAGTTTTAGGACAGTATACATTTAAATGAGTTAGTAACATTATATATTAATTCTGATTTACTCTTATCTGGGGTTGTACCTAAATCATTCCAGGACATATTGGCCTACCCTTTCTAAAGTTTTCCAAATGTTATTTCTACAGCTTTCCTTCTAACTTCTACTGTCTCTAAACTAGATAATTATTAAACCTAAATATTTAAAGCTAAAAAACGAAATACTGCACAGAAGCTGTCTGTCACTAAAATATCTAGGCACCATTTATATAAATTACAATATATTACTTCAAAAGTCAAGATCACATTGTCTAGCAGTAACTATGGTAGATCAAGCCTGTGGTGGGCTGATTTCAAGTATGGTTAAAACCTTGATTAACTAGAATGCTGGGAAGGAAGCACATTTTAGATATGCATTAAATATTTGACTCTTTAATTCTAGTTCTTTTTGGTTAACTCTAGATAGAACAGAAAGCTCCTATTCCCACCCCATTTTGTTTCAAACCTTAATGAAACATAAAATTATAAAGTATAGTCTTCTACTTTTCTATTAGTTTAATCCAGTGACTATAACTAGATCTATGAGGATCAGATAATGTTTAAAAGTCACAATTATAAATACTACTGATCATTGAAATATGTGTGGGGCAAGTGTTCATAGCCAGTGGTATTTGTATCTGATGTGGCATTTGAAGAGCCATACTTACAGTGTAATGAACAATAACAGAAAAATAGTAAATTTGAGGGCCAGGTGCGCTGGTGCACACCTGTAATCCCAGCACTTTGGGAGGCTGAGGTGGGTGGATTGCTTGAGCCCAGTAGTTCGAGATCAGCCTAGGCAGCATGGTGAGATCCCGTCTCTACAAAATGTACAAAAATTAGCCGAGTGTGATGGTGCGTGCCTGTAGTCCCAGCTACTGGGGAGGCTGAGGTGGGAGGATTACTTGAACCTAGTAGGTGGAAGTTGCAGTGAGCCAAGATTGCATCACTGCATTCCAGCCTGGGCAACAGAGCGAGACCCTGACTCAAAAAAAAAAAAAGAAAAATAGAAAATTTGAATCTGTAATTTCTATATGGGCTGAAAGAAAGCACTTTGAGGAAAGAAATTTCAGTTTGAAAACTGGAATAAGTGAATATACTGCTTAGGAATAAAGGAGATTGAGAGAAATAGAATTTCTTTTTCTTTTCAGCAGTGATGTTCCCTGGGTCTTTGTGCCTCTATTGGACATAGATAGCTTCATAGCCTCTTTTGCTTTGCTTTTACTTCTTTGTACTTTGAATCTAGAGGAACTTTTTAAACTTGTAAAGATTTTGCAGTGACATTAAAGGAATTTTTAGAAATAAATAGATCACCACACATCTTACTGTCATCATGCATCAAATTTAATTTTTGTTCGTCTTCTGGGCTCAGTTCATATTCAATTATATGTTTTGTTTTTGTATCCATGTCTGATGTTCATATTAAGTACTTTTGTTAATTTCATTGAGTTAATGTATACTAATTTTATAATTTCTCTTTTTAGACATTAAAGTTATTTCCAATTATTCTCTTTCATCCCCTTCTGCATCTACTTCTACTTCTGCATCTCTTCAATGAACTTCTTCAATAGCATCCTGTCTCCTAGTTCTTCTGTCTTGAACCTTTTCTCTTCACTGAGCCTTTCTAAAAGAAGTCTGGGGCATCCCATTCCCTTGAGTAAAAGACTTTAATGGCTATAGGATGGACACCAAATTTCTTAGTATAACATTAAGACCGTTTGCAACTTGTCTTGGGCCTATCTGTCTTGCGTCAACTCTAGTTATCACCTCACTGACACCCTAGTTCTAGCTCTACTGAATGTAAAACAGCTTCACATTGAGTTATTTTATGTCTCTATGATTCTGCCTTCAGTTCTCTGCTGGGAGTGCTCTTCCATCTCTGATTTTTTTTTTTTTTTTTGAAATGGAGTCTTGCCCTGTTGCCCAGGCTGGAGTGCAGTGGTGCAATTTCGGCTCACTGCAGCCTCCGCCTCCCGGGTTCAAGCGATTCTCCTGCTTCAGCCTCCCAAGTAGCTGGCATTACAGGCATGCGCCACCACGCCCGGCTAACTTTTTGTGTCTTTAGTAGAGATGAGGTTTCACCATGTTGGCCAGGCTGGTCTCGAACTCCTGACCTCATGATCCAACCGCCACCACGCCCGGCCTCCATCTCTGAATTTTAAAATTGAATCTATGCTTTCCCAACAGCTGTAGGCTGTTAGCGCTCATCTCTGTGTGCCTTCACAGTCTGTCATACATGTCATTTAACATAATGCTTATCACATTGTATTGAAATGTATCTTATAGGTATTTTTTCTCTACCAAACTTGAATTCACTTTTCTCCTTTAGCCATCCTGTACTGAGCAGTGTTTTGGGTCTGGCAAATAGTTTGTACTCAGTAAATGTTTGGAAAATGAGTTTTAACTGTTTTATTTTCGTGGGGTGAATTCCTAGTAGCAAGGGTATTCAAATTTTATTATCTACTTCTTCCACCTGAACAGCTTCATCGTAATTATACTTTAATTCCCTTCATTCTAGGCAGGTAATGGATAAGTTCCAAAATTACGATGTTGTTGGAGAGGTTTGAATATTACTAGCACATGAAATCTGATTTGAACTGACTAAATGAAGGTTTAGTACATCATTATGAATTAGTGTGAACTAAGTTTTGCTATGTTAACTTCTCTGAAATCTCAGTCGCATAATGTGAGTGTCTTTCTGGCTCATGCTTCATGCCTGAGACTAGTGGGGGTTGTGTCTGCCTATTAAAGTCACTCGGACCCAGGTGGATTGGAGATTCATCTAAAGACATGCTTCCCTTATCTCTAAGGCAGGAAAAGGAAATGGGGCGCATCTCTCATTGGCTTGTAATGCTTCTGCCCAGAAGGAGCTGTCACTTCCACTACGTTTCATGGATCAATTTAAGACTCATAGACACACCTATTAGTATATTCGAAGGAAGTTAGAAAGAGCAGTGCCCAGAAGAAAAGGGGAGTTTGTCAGTAGCCCTAATGACTATCACAGTTACTGAAAGTGTGCCTTGGGCATAATCTATCTTAACTCCCAGATATACGCTGACAGTTGTTTTTCTAAAAGTCATTCACAGTGCTCAGATTCTAGTTAGTCCAAATTGATATGGTTTGGCTGTGTCCCCACCCAAATATCACCTTGAGTTGTAATAATTCCCATGTGTCAGGGGGCGGTGCCAGGTGTAGATAATTGAATTATGGGGGCGGTTCCCCCATACTGTTCTCTTGGTGGTGAATAAGTCTCACAAGATCAGATGGTTATATAAATGATAGTTCCCCTGCACACGCTGTCTTGCCTGCTACCATGTAAGACAGGCCTTTGCTTCTCCTTTGCCTTCCTCCATGATTGTGAGGCCTCCCCAGCCATGTGGAACTGTGAGTCCATTAAACCTCTGTCTTTTATAAATTACCCAGTCTCTGGTATGTCTTTATTAGCAGTGTGAGAACAGACTAATACAAAATGTTATACTAAATATTAATATTTCATCCTCTGATTGGCCGTGATAATAGCATCAACTATGCTAAATTTCTAATAATACACATATTTCTAATAATATGCATCTAATAGGGTTTATATTGTGATTATGTAAGAGAATATTCTTGTTCTTAAGAACAAGGGTCCTTAATCTGTCACAGGATTAGAGATTTAAAGAATAAGGATCTCGATTCTGCAGCTTATCCTCAAATGTTCATTAATTATGTGTGAGTGTGGAGAGAGAGAAAGCAAACATGGCAAAATGCCACTTTTCAGTTGGTGAATTCAATTGGTGAATCTGGAAGAAGGATGTACAGGAGTTATTGTATGATTCTTGCAACTTTTTTGTACATTTGAATTTTTTTCAATAGAAAGTTAAAAATAATCATGGCACAGGTTTACAAAACCCTTGTAAACATTAGTGTTAACTACTTTTAAGCCATTATTGCTTTTCATTCTGATTGATGTTTTGAAAGTACTTTTCTTTTCCTCTGAGGCCTGTAAAATACGTGGACTATATTAATCAGTGATCTTTCAAAAACAAAGACTGAGGCCCAAACATTAAACCTAGATGGAAATCTGATTTTTAAAAATTCACAAATAATGCCAGATTTCATTTAAAAGACTTTTTTTCCCCCTTCTAGTTGGTTGAAATGTTGGATATGTCTGTCCCTGCAGTTGCTAAATTGAGACGTCTTTTAGATAGTCTTCCAAGGGAAGCTTTACCAGACATCTTGACATCAATTATCCGAACAAGCAACAAAGAGAAACTCCAGGTACAGTGTTCCCTTTTGAACGCCAGGTTGCTTTGTCACTTTTTATTGAGATCTAGATAGTGAGTAGTTAAGTTTTGACCTTCAAGAAAAAGATATTGGAGACCCAAAGTAATTGAAATGCTTTTACATTTAAACTGACTTTCAAATGTGATTGTTTTATATTTTTGTTGACACAAGCAGCTCTTTTATTTTATATTTTTGTTGACACAAGCAGCTCTTTTATTTGCATAATCAGTAATGGTAGTCAATTTACAGAAAAAGTTAAAGCAAAGAATCATAAAAAGGTAAATATTTGACTGGGTGCTCACGCCTGTAGTCCCAGCACTTTGGGAGGCTGAGATGGGTGGATCGCTTGAGATCAGGAGTTCGAGACCAGCCTGGCCAACATGGTAAAACCCCATCTCTACTAAAAATACAAAATTAGCTGGGCGTGGTGGTGCGCGCCTATAATCCCAGCTACTCGAGAGGCTGAGGCAGGAGAATCGCTTGAACCTGGGAGGCAGAGGCTGCAGTGAGCCAAGATTGCACCACTGCACTCCAGCCTGGGCAACAGAGACTCTGCCTCTAAATAAATAAATAAATAAATATTTAATTTAACTTAAATATGTAGACATTCTTTGATTCACTATTTTTAAACGTGGAGCCATGGCCCTTCCCTTATGTGTGGACCTGCTTTCTTAGAATCTTCATCATGTTTCTTATATAAATCACACCTATGATGCATTACTTATAATTTTAAATTTATATTTATTTAAAGTGAAATGAATTTTAAAGACACTTGAAAAGTAATCCAAGTATAGAATCCTACATTTACATGACTTAATCCCCAAACTGTAATACTTTAAGTTTTCTTGCACACTTATTTTTAAGATATTTTTAAAGCAGTATTTTTAATGAATCATCCTAGAATATTTGTTTGTTTTCAGTGAAACAGCTCTTTCATATGTTATCAGTTTATTTAATACTTAAATCCAACTGTTATAATAGCAAATACAACTAACACAAACAGGTTGGTTATACACAGGAATTCAATTAATCCAGTGGGAGTAGAAGAGTTACAGGACTGCCAGAGAGCCCCCTGGCTGTGGGCGGCAGCAGTGTGTTTTACTGCGGGAACAGAGAGCGGCCTGTGCTCCGACAAATCACTAGTGAGAGTTGGTTGAGTGCTTCTGTTCTCTTGTGTATGTAAACATTTAATATTTTGAACCTATAATTTGTTTAGATCTAATATGAAAACACATTCTGGGCTTCAAGAGAGTAATTCCCAGAAAGAGTTGACGTCAACTGTGTGTCTGGTTTTTTCATCTTAAAAACACACAGCTTCGGCCGGGCGCAGTGGCCCACGCCTGTAATCCCAACACTTTGGGAGGCCGAGGTGGGAAGATCACGAGGTCAGGAGATCGAGACCATCCTGGCTAACAGAGTGAAACCCTGTCTCTACTAAAAATACAAAAAATTAGCCGGGCATGGTGTCGGGTGCCTGTAGTCCCAGTTACTCTGGAGGCTGAGGCAGGAGAATGACGTGAACCCAGGAGGGGGAGCTTGCACTGAGCCAAGATCTCGCCACTGCACTCCAACCTGGGGACAGAGCAAGATTCCGTCTCAAAAAAAAAAAGAAAAAAAAAAACCACACAGCTTCATTTTAAAGTGAAAAACCAAGATCCTGTTTTTTCTTTCTTTTTTAAGGATTCTGATATTCATCTCAAACAACCTTGCTGATTAATATAGTTCATTTGGTTGTCTTAGCCATAGTGTAGCTTTGAATACTGTTAATAATTTTTTTTTAACTTGGCAATTTAAACCATGGCTCTGACTGTCTGTTTTTGGATTGTGTGTTTCTGAGAGAGATCCTATTGATTGACTCACATTTCCTTAGATTTTAGATGCTGTGAGCCTAGAGGAGCGGTTCAAGATGACTATACCACTGCTTGTCAGACAAATTGAAGGCCTGAAATTGCTTCAAAAAACCAGAAAACCCAAGCAAGATGATGATAAGAGGGTAAATATTTATTTTAACCCATTTCAGTTTTGAAAAAAAAATAAGGAGAATAAAGAGAGGAACAAAGAAGAAAAGTTTATTGTCTCCTACCACTCGCACTACTGATAAAATTTAGGTGTTTCCCTCTCATCCTTTTCTTTGCCTGGATTTTTTTTTAAAGCATGTAAGCATTTTTCTCACTTTGTTTTGGTTATCATCCAAAAGGATAATTTACTGAGCCATTTCCCCTTTTGTGTTGTTTCCAATGTTTTGTGTATTGTAAACACTAACAAATAACTATGATGGGTGTCTTTGAGTATAACATTTTTTTACTGCATGTAATACTAAGAAACTAATACAAAACTCTTTCTTAAAAGGACTATATGTTGTGTCAAAATTTGGCTGTTTTCAACTTATAATAAGTTTCCATTTTTATTTAGTCAAACTCTTGATCTTTTTTTGTTTTCTAAGCTTAAGTCCTCTAACCTTCAGTGGCTTGATAAATATTCACTTTCCTTTCAGTTTAATTTTAGTTGATTTTTTAAAAAGTATTTAATTCTTTAACCCATATATTATTTTGAAGACAGCAGTTGTATTTTTCCCTCAAATAGCTTTTTGTTTGACTCAACACCACTAATTAAATAATCCTTCCCATCCCCATTATCATCTATTACATTTATATGTATGATGGGATCTGTTTGAAGTCTACCTTGATCTGCTGATTTTACTATTTTTATGTCTGGACAGAGTTTATATTAGGAAGATATATTTGATGTGGACAGGATGTGAAAATGGCATTTCTCTGAAGGTGTTGAGATGCAGCGCTCTGACTTAAGTTGAGGCGTTGAGAATTATGTTAGCAATTTGACGTTCATCAGCGCAGAAGTCTTGTCATCAAAGAGAATACATTGTAGAGAAAGCGGAGCAGAAGGGAAGAACTCCTCCCCGGTGGGACTAGAGAAGGGGCAGTCAAGTAGGCTGAGGAGAGAGATAGGAACAGTGATGATCATGCTGGCGATTAGTACTCCAGGACACCATGCTGTTTAAAACATGCAGAAAGCTGGATTATTTCTGGCTTGAGATCAGGTCAGGGACTCAATTACTCATTTTGTATAGAGAGACAAATCCACTGGGAGTTGCAGAAAACTGCAACTTACTCTCAGTAAAGTTTGCCATCACTTAAAATGAAAGTTTTTCAAAAGTGCTCCAGAAAATAAGCAAGAGACAGTTATTTAAAAAGTAGGAATTAGGATAATATTTGGAGTTAACCTAAAACTCTCTCCTTTTTGTTCCCCTAAGAGTTGAAAAGCACTGTTTTAGCAGTCAGGAAGGAAAAATGCATTAAAAAGTGCTTTTGTCTTAACAATGAAATCACTGATATGCTTATAAAAATCTCACTTTTAAAAAATATATAATATGTTCAGTTTTTTATTTATAATATTTTATCTGCTGATGACTTATGTAAGAATAAAAGCATATATTTAGTACTTGTGTTTTTATAAAATTAAATTTTTATTTACTGCTTTATGTTTTAAACATTTTTATATTTGAATGTATTAAATAGATAAATTTTCCAGGTTAAAAAATAAGTTCTGGGCTGAATGCAGTGGCTCATGCCTGTAATCCCAGCACTTTGGGAGGCCAAGGAAGGAGAATTGCTTGAGGCCAGGAGTTCAAGACCAGGCTGGGCAACATAGTGAGACCTCATCTTTACAAAAAAAATTTAAAAAATTAGCCAGCATGCTGGTGTGTGTCTGTAGTCCCAGCTATTTAGGAAGCTGAGGTGGAAGGATTACTTGAGCCAGGGAGGTTGAGGCTGCAGTAAGCAGTGTTCATGCCATTGCACTTCAGCCTGGATTACAAAGCTTGACCTTGTCTCAAAAAATAAAATGTTCTGGGGGCTTTTAAATTAAATGCTAGTATATAATTTTGCTCCAGTAGTGGTTGTTTATTCATGAATTTCAAGGAGCATATAAGGTAGTTTTAACATATGATAGAGAGATCATAGAGAATACAAAGGCCATTTGACTTTGCACAGAATATGTTTTTTAGATTTGAAAGAACAATTTTGGCAGGATGGGAACAGATGCCGAAGGCTCACTGAAGTAATTGATGAGGTAGGGGATCTGGTGGTTATAGCCACTTGCTGGAGAAGCAGAACTTCACAAGAAAGGAAGTAAATAGTGCGATAGTTAACTAGAAGAAACTAGAGGTAAGAAAAAAATATTTTGAAAGCAGGAAAGCTTTGAAGACAAAATAGAGCCAGTGGTGGAAAGGTTGAAGATGCTAGGAAGAAATTTTGTAATGTAGGAGATAAAATGGAATTTTTTTCAGTCACCAAATGGTAAGAAGTAATGTATTTCAAGAAAATAGTGGCTGCAATAGTAGCTCAAAGAAAGGTAATTCCTAGATGGTTTAATTATTTCTAGTATCCAGTTCCTTGAAATTTGTTTTCTCATGCAAGTATTATTGTAAGCATATACCAAAGAATCATGTCTACCTTACGTTGGTCTACTTCTGCAATTCTGCTGCCTCTCTGTATACAACTGCCTTTTGATTATCATTCTGAACTTCACTTCCTAAAGATAGAGACTGTAGTCATAAAAATATTTATTCAGCACCAGTCATAATCTTATGTGTACCTGGGTACTTCGTTTCCAATTTATTTTGACATACGGTTTTACTTTTCTGCTTTCTATGTTAGGTTATAGCAATACGCCCTATTAGGAGAATTACACATATCTCAGGTACTTTAGAAGATGAAGATGAAGATGAAGATAATGATGACATTGTCATGCTAGAGAAAAAAATACGAACATCTAGTATGCCAGAGCAGGCCCATAAAGTCTGTGTCAAAGAGATAAAGAGGTAAATTATAAAAGGCATTTGTTCATTATTGTTTTCATTCTTGGTACTCCTGATTAACACCACTTTCACTACTCTTTTCTCCAATACTGAGGATACATAATACAAATCTTCCACCTGCAGTGTGCTGTCAGGCAATATAACTCTTGCAGCTGCCTTTTTGTTGTCTGAAAGAACAGACCATGCTTCTTTGTTTATACGTAATGTTTGTTCAGTTAGCATCATATTCTTCACATGTGACTTTTCTTCTCTAGATTATAAACTCTCAAGGGCAAGGACTGTCCATTTCTCTTTGTACAAGACAAAGTACAGGGAAACCTTGATAACAGAATAGGATATATGGGTTGATTACATTTTCTGGATATCCCCAGTGTTAAACTGAAAGCCATTTTTCCTTTGCATACTTTTAACTTTATAACTCTTATTACATTTTCTTTTATTAGTGAATTGTAGTGAGCCTGCTTGAATGCTTAGTGACTTAATATTTGACTTTCTGAGGCTTACAGTTAAGAACATTAGTAATTGTAGTTGATGGGTATTTTATATTGCCTCTGACATTAGTTAATATATGTAGAACATTTATTATGTGCAGAACACTTTGCTAAGCATTGCATATATTATGGAAGTAGCATTTGTTATTAAATATATGATATTAGCTTGCTTTTATGAGCAGACCTCACTCATCTCTGATACAAAAAAAAATGTATTGTATTATGCATAGTTAGGCACTTACATCTTATTGTGATAAGTAAACCAATGGATATATGTCACTTGACTATCCCTGTGAGCTTAAAAGGGACACACACTAGTAAGGCCATATTTCCAGGTTAGAATTAGATATAATGTTTTCTCCTGCAGTTTGCAGGTATCTGCCTTATTTTGTTTTGTAAGTACCTTAAGTACTTAGAAAATATGAGAATACTTTGTAGAGAAAGCAGAGCAGAAGGGAAGAACCCCTCCCTGGTGGGACTCCAGAAGGGGCAGTTAAGTAGGCTGGGGAGAGAGATAGGAGTGGTGATCATTACATTACAAAACAAAATAAACGTTTTATTATCTGGATACTTTAAAACTTTTTCAGATTTGTTTAAACATGCATGATATATCTAACCAAGAAAGAGAGCTGTGTTTGATTTTTCTGTTATGGAATTTTTCTGTGTTCTTGAACATGTTTGCTGTGTATTCTTTCTCCACAGACTCAAAAAAATGCCTCAGTCAATGCCAGAATATGCTCTGACTAGAAATTATTTGGAACTTATGGTAGAACTTCCTTGGAACAAAAGTACAACTGGTAAGCCAAAAAATAACACCTGTTTTGCAGTCTAATTGTCACTCAGAAAGCTCATGCAATTTTTCATTTCAAATTTACTCCACTGATTGTCGTACTGTTAAATTATTTTTGTTTTCAATTTTTTTGAAACCATTTTATTGAAGTGTGATTGTCGTACAAAAAGCTGTATATAATTAATGAATACATCTCAGTGAGTTTCAGAATAAGTATACACCCATGAAACCATCACAATCTTCATAGCCATAAACATATCCGTCACCTCCAAAGTTTCCTCCTACCTCTTTTGTGATTATTATTATCATCATTATTATTGGCTTTTTTCTTTTGGTGCTGGTGGTAAGAACATTGAACATAAGGTCTAATGTTAAATTAACAATATTGTTAGCGATAGGCACTTTTCTTTATAGTAGATCTCTAGAACTTATTTATCTTGCATAAGTGAAACTTTGTTCCCTTTAACCATCACCTCCCATTTCCTTCTCCTCTCATCCTGTGGCAACTACTAGTCTACTCTCCATTTCTATGAGTTTCACTATTTTAGATTCCACATGCATTAAATAGGTGAAATCATACAGTACTTGTCTTTCTGTGTCTGGCTTATTTCACTTAGCATGATGCCCTCTAACCTAGAGGTCCATCCATGTTGTCACAGATGGCAAGATTTCCTTCTTTTTTAAGGTGCATAATATTCCATTGTGTGTCTATACCACATTTTCTTTATTCACTTATGTGTCAGTAGACATTTCAGTTATTTCCGTATCTTGGCTATTGTAAGTAATACTGCAGTGAATACGGAAGTGCAGATAACTCTTTGAGATCCTGATTTCAGTTCCTTTGGCTGTTTACCCAGAGGTGGCATTGCTGGATCATATGTAAGTTGTATTTGAACTTTTTTAGTAACTTCCATACTGTTTTCATAATGGCTGTTATCGGGGGACCTGCCCCAATAATCATGTAGGTTCTTTTCTATTTTCCTAAGCATTGGCTGGCTTGAGAAATAAAGAGACAGAGTACAAAAGAGAGAAATTTTAAAGCTGGGTGTCTGGGGGAGACATCACACGTTGGTAGGATCCGTGATGCCCCACAAGCCACAAAAACCAGCAAGTTTTTATTAGGGATTTTCAAAAGGGGAGGGAGTGTGCGAATAGGTGTGGGTGACAGACATCAAGTACTTAACAGGGTAATAGAATATCACAAGGCAAATGGAGGCAGGGCGAGATCACAGGACCACAGCTCCGAGGCGAAATTAAAATTGCTAATGAAGTTTCGGGCACCATTGTCACTGATAACATCTTATCAGGAGACGGGGTTTTGAGATAACGGATCTGACCAAAATTTATTAGATGGGAATTTCCTCTTCCTAATAAGCCTGGGAGCGCTATGGGAGACTGGAGTCTATCTCACCTCTGCAATCTCGACCATAAGAGACAGGTACGCCCCGGGGGGGCCAGTTCAGAGACCTACCCCTAGGTGCGCATTCTGTTTCTCAGGGACATTCCATGCTGAGAAAAAAGAATTCAGCGATATTTCTTCCATTTGCTTTTGAAAGAAGAGAAATATGGCTCTGTTCTGCCCGGCTCACCAGCGGTCAGAGTTTAAGGTTATCTCTCTTATTCCCTGAACAATTGCTGTTATCCTGTTCTTTTTCCACGGTGCTCAGATTTCATATTGCACAAACACACATGCTGTACAATTTGTGCAGTTAACGCAATTATCACATAGTCCTGAGGCCACATACATCCTCCTTGGCTGACAGGATTAAGAGATTAAAGTAAAGACAGGCATAGGAAATCACAAGAGTATTGATTGAGGAAGTGATAAGTGTCCATGAAATCTTTACGATTTATGTTTAGAGATTGCAGTAAAGACAGGCATAAGAAATTACAAAAGTATTAATTTGGGGAACTAATAAATGTCCATAAAATCTTCACAATCCACGTTCTTCTGCCATGGCTTCAGCCGGTCCCTCCGTTTGGGGTCCCTGACTTCCCGCAACACGCTGTACCAATTTACATTCCGAACAACAGTGTACAAGGGTGCCCTTTTCTCCATATCCTCACCTTCACTGATGATGGTTTTTTTGTTTGTTTGTTTGTTTTTTTAAATAATGGCCATCCTAACAGGCATAAAGTGCTTTCTCATTGTGGTTTTGATTTGCATTTCCCTGATGATTAGTCATGATAAGCACCTATTTGATTTTTTGCCGTTAAGTTTCATGAGTTCCTTGTGTATTTTGGATATTAACCCCTTATCAGAAATATGGTTTGCACATATTTTCTGCTGTTACATAGGTTGCCTTCTCATTTTGCTGAACTTTTTTTATTCTGTACAGAAGCTTTTCAGTTTGATATAATTTCACTTGTTCATTTTTGCTTTTGTTGCCTTGACTTTGGTGTCAATATCCAAAAATACCATGCCCAGACCAATGTCAAGGAGCTTTTAAAATATATTTTGTTCTAGGAGTTTTACAGTTTCAGGCCTTACATTTAAGTCTTTAATCCATTTTGAATTAATGTTTGTACATGGTGTCATATAAGGGTTCAAGTGCATTCTTCTGCCTGTGGGTATCTGGTTTTCCCACAACATTTTCTTGAAGAGACTGCCCTTTCCCTATTGTATATTCTTGGTGCCCTTGTTGAAAATTGGTTGACCTTCTAGGTAACTTTATAGGTTTATTTCTGGGCCCTCTATTCTATTCCATTGGTCCGTGTGTCTGTTTTTGTGCCAGAATCATACTCTCTGATTACTGTAGCTTCGTAATATAACTTGAAGTCAGAAAGTCTGGTGCCTCCACGTTTGTTCTTGCTCAAGATTGGTTTGGCTATTCAGGGTCTTTTGTAATTTCTTATTAATTTTAGGATTTTTAAATCTATTTTTGTGAAAAATGTCATTGGAATTTTAATAGGGATTACATTGAACTTGTAAATTGCTTTGAGTGGTATAGACATTTTAACAACATTCTTCTAGTCTACGAACATGTAATATCTTTCCATTTATTTGTGTCTGACTTATTTCATCAGTGTTTTATAATTTTTAGTGTACAGACATTTTACCTCCTTGGTTAAGTTTGTACTTAAGTATTTCATTCTTTCTGAAACTATTGTAAATGAGATTGTTTCCTTAATTTCTATTTATTTATTTATTTTTTTGACAGGAGTTTCACTCTTGTCGCCCAGGCTGGAGTGCAGTGGCATGATCTTGGCTCACTGCAACCTCTGCCTCCCAAGTTCAAGCGATTCTCCTGCCTCAGCCTCACGAGTAGCCTTAAATACAGGCACCTGCCATGACACCCGGCTAATTTTTTGTATTTTTAGCAGAGACGGGGTTTCACCATGTTGGACAGGCTAGTCTCGAACTCTTGACCTCAAGTGATCCACCTGCCTCGGCCTCCCAAAGTGCTGGGATTACAAACGTGAGCCACTGCGTCTGGCCCTTAATTTCTCTTTGGAGAAAGGTTTTTTTTTTTTTTGAGCTTTATTGAAGTGTAATTGACGTACAGTAAACTTCACAAATGTAGTATGTACATTTTGATGAGTTTTGACTTACATATACATCTGTAATACCATCACCATAATTAAGATAATGAGCATAACCCTCACCTCCAAAAGTTTCTTCATGCTCTTTGATAATCCCTTCCTTCTTCCCCGCCCCTTTCCTCCTTGCCTCCTAATCCCCAAGCAACCACTAAAGATTAATCTGTATTTTCTAAAATTTCATATAAATGGAATCATAGAGTATGAGCCCTTTTTTCTGGCTTCTTTAATTCAGCATGATTATTTTGAGGTTCATCCATGTTGCTGTATATAACAGTAATTTGTTTCTTTTTATTGCTGGAGTTGTATTCTGTTGTATGGATATACCATCATTTGTTTATCAATTCATCTGTTGATAGACATTTGGGTTGTTTTCAGTTTTTTGGCTATTAAAAATAAAGCTGTCTGGGCACAGTGGCTCATACCTGTAATCCTAGCACTTTGAGAGACCAAAGTGGACAGATCATTTGAGCCCAGGAGTTTGAGACCAGCATGAGTAACACAGGAAGACCCCAACTCTATTTAAAAAAATAAAATAATAAATGAAATAAAAATATTTAATAAAATATCAAAAAATAAAGCTACTGTGAACTGTGGTAGTAAATTTATTTTTAAATTTATGTAATGTTTGCATGTCGTGACAAAATACTGCCTTTTAGTTGAAAGGAAACATTTCTTGGTACTCTGAGATGCCATGTGTGTCAGCACTAGAGATGTGTAGCAGCCATGTATCCATCATGAAAATAATTCCATTGTTTAGCATTGCACATAGCACAAAGAACTGAAGATGAATAAATTATGGTATAAAAGGAGTCATGTTAAGCTCCTAAACCATTACTACACAGGATTATGTCTAGATAATTGTGAGTGTGGTTATAAAACCATGAAAATGCCATTCATATATATATTTTTGAGATGGAGTCTCGCTCTGTCACCCAGTCTGGAGTGCAGTGGTGTGATCTTGACTCACTGCAGCCTCCGCCTCCTGGGTTCAAGCAATTCTCCTGCCTCAGCCTCTCAAGTAGCTGGGATTACAGGCGCTTGCAACCACACCCAACTCATTTTTGTATTTTTAGTAGAGACAGGGTTTCACTACATTGGCCAGGCTGGTCTCGAACTTCTGGCCTCAAGTGATCTGCCTGCTTTGTCCTCCAAAAGTGCTGGGATTACAGACCTGAGCCACTGTGTCCAGCCTAAATATCTTTGTTTGTTTGTTTGTTCGTTTTTTGAGATGGTGTCTTGCCCTGTCGGCCAGGCTGTAGTGCAGTGGTGTGATCTCAGCTCACTGCAACCCCTGCCTCCTGTGTTCAAGTGACTCTCCTGCCCTAGTCTACTGAGTAGCAGGGATTACAGGCGCCTGCCACCATGCCCAGCTAATTTTTGTGTTTTTAGTAGAGATGGGGTTTCACCATGTTGGCCAGGCTGGTCTCGAACTCCTGACCTCAAGTGATCCTCCCACCTCGGCCTCCCAAAGTGTTGGGATTACAGGTGTGAGCCACCGAGCCTGGCCCCCCATTCATAATTTCTGAAAGAGAAGTTTACCTACCAAGTAGAGATCTCAGATAGTAACCGAAAACAAAAAGGAAAGCAGAGAGGAAAGAGTTGTAGGAAATATGTTTGCAGATTTTCCCAGCTTAGAGGAGTCAGTAGATACCATTTCAATCTTCTAATTATAAATAAGGAAATTTATATTGAAATTTGAAAAATTTTTTACATGTAATCACATGTTATTCAAAACAGGAAGCATGCTTTCTGAATCATTAAAGAGAATAATTAGAAAAATATATCCTGTATAGAAAAGATAGAAAATAATTTATACAGCATGGAAATCACCTTTACTTAAAAGATTGAAAGAACTTTTAAAATTGTCTTTACTTGGCATATTTCTTGCAAGAAATTTCTTCACAGTGTTTTCAGTCTTTTCTAAATTATCTTGACTTTTATTCTTACCTTACTGAATGTGTTAATCATGAATGGATAACGCATTATAACAAGTACCTTTTTAGGTACAAGATGATATTTTGATGGAAACTTACTCTTCTTGAACATGATGACATTGATGACCTAACACTGAACCATGTTTGCATAACTAAAATAAATCCCACTGGGACTTAGTATATTATTCTTTATAGATTTGATTTACTAGCATTTTAATATTTACAGCTATATAAAAAGATTTGTCTGAGGTTTTCTTTTATGTTTACTGTGGTAGGTTTTAGTGTCAGGGCTAGCACTGTGAAACAATTGAGAAACTCTCTATCTTTCACTTCTTCATATATTCATTGGTTGGGTTCTGGAGCCAGGAAAGGGGGAAGAAATTTTAGTTGTTCTTCTCCTACTTCACTCACCTAGGACTCTGACTAAAATCAATAGTACTATAATTAAATTATATAGTTTACTGCTTAGCTAGGTTTTTTGGGGGACTAGCTTGGGAACCAAATTACCATCTCAGGCCATTTTTTTCCTTTATGAAATATCCTTAGCAAATTCTAAATAATTAATTAAAAGATATGTATTAATTAATTAAAAGATTTCTGTGTATTTCTCTCTCCCATCTTCTTCTTTCACTGCCAGCATGATCAGGTGGCTGTGTATTATACCCTGGCAGCCACCCAGCTAGTGAATTCATTTTGGCTTCTGTTACCTGGTGTTTAATCTGAGTATTTTAAATGCTAAATCTTATTAGTAAACCTGTTGAAAGCTTGGCTCTAGAAACAAAGCCTAACTCATACACTTCTGGTGAGACTTTGATACAACTTTCTGTGTGGCAATTAGGCAATTCTTTACATCATCTGTTTTTTTTTTTTTTTTTGACCCAGCACTTCTGTTCATAGAAGATAAGCTGAAAGAAATCATTGCAGATATATGGGAAGATTTAGTTCCAGTGATGCACAGTTGAAGCATCTTTTATAAATGTAAAGATGTGTAAACAACTTGAATGCTCAGCAGTAGGGAATTAGTTAAATGAATATAGATAATTTAGTAATGGAACATTAAGTAACCATAGAATGTTACTGATAAATATATGTGTGACAGTGAAAGTTGTCTGTCATATATTAAGTGAAAAAAACATTTTACAAAACTTAAAGGCCCCATAAAATCCCATTTTGAAAAATAGGTTTGTAAATGCACGCACACAGCCTGGAATTACACATACTGAAGTAAAGGTAGTGGTGATCTCTTGGGGGCATGAGATTATGGGTAACTGTTTTCTTCTTTTCTGTTAGTGTTATCAGGTTTTCTGGAATGAACATATGTTACTACTGAAATAAGGAAAAAAATCACCCTTTTTTTTAAAAAACAAATGCCAGCACACATACAATATGTAGAAATTAAGAAGTAATGCATAACTAGAAAATCATTCCAAATAAAATGATATGAACATTGAGTTTTTAATTGTGTAGTGCCTACTATCTCTGGGGACACTAAGTCTTAAGCAGAGAAACCAAACCAAATGCAGATCTCCTAGAATCCTCATCTAGAAAGATCCAAGTCTGTTCTTATCACATCTATTTTCAAAAAAAATATTTTGCCCTCGTCATGCTTGAAAGGAGTTCTTTAACTTAAAAATTTTATGTGTTCTAATTATTTCTGTTGGGTTATTTGACAGACCGCCTGGACATTAGGGCAGCCCGGATTCTTCTGGATAATGACCATTACGCCATGGAAAAATTGAAGAAAAGAGTACTGGAATACTTGGCTGTCAGACAGCTCAAAAATAACCTGAAGGGCCCAATCCTATGCTTTGTTGGCCCTCCTGGAGTTGGTAAAACAAGTGTGGGAAGATCAGTGGCCAAGACTCTAGGTCGAGAGTTCCACAGGATTGCACTTGGAGGAGTATGTGATCAGTCTGACATTCGAGGACACAGGTAGAACACTTCTCTCAGTTTAATCTCTGATTCCTCTTTCTTTTTAATTGACTAGAGCTCCCTAAAAGCTTAGGCATAGCATACATCTATTTTCCTTAAAGGGCTATGTGTGGTACCTTGAATGAAAAGGACATTTACAAGAAGTATCAGCTAGCCTAGAGCCTCTAAGCGTAATGATAAACCCAAACTAACCTTGATTTGTATGACAGTGGATACTACTCTGTGCCTCAACTTTCCTGGAATCTCATTTGAATGTAATTATAAGTTATTTATGATTGGATATTATTATGTCTTTACACTCTTTTCAACCCAGTAGCATGCCATAAATAATGATCCCTAACTCTCAGAGTTAAAAAAAGTAACTGCAATAGGGAGGGCCAATAGGAGGAGGTGAGAAGTCTTTGATAACAAACTTGTTCTGATTGCAGTCTAAACTTCCTCTTATGAAGGTTGGTTTGTATTATGAATATGAGTAATAAGGATAAATGTTAGCATAATTATTAAGGCTTATTCTTGCATTTTGGACTCACTTTCTATAAAAAAACAATAAACTGTAAGAACTGTCCCTCTAGGCTGGGCACAGTGGCTCATGCCTGTAATCCTAACACTTTGGGAGGCTGAGGTGGGTGGATTGTTTGAGCCTAACAGTTTGAGACCAGCCGGGGCAACATAGGGAAACACTTTTGTCTCTACAAAATTTATATTTAAATTTTTTAATTTTAAATTTTAATTTTTGTCTCCACAAAAATTAAAAAATTATGCAGGCACAGTGGCATGCACCTGTGGTCCCAGCTACTCAGGAGGCTGAGATGGGAGAATCATTTAGGCCTGGGAAGGTCCAGGCTGCAGTAAGCCATGATTGTCCCACTGCACGCCAGCCTGGAGACAGAGACATTATCTCAAACAAACAAACAAACAAACAACAACAAAACTGTTTCTGATTAATCTGACATTATTAGAATCAGATTTGCATGTTGCATTCATTGTTCTCACTGGTCTCTTTGTTGATCTGATGGAAATTGCCTTGGGAAAGCATGAATTTACATTTCGTGGTTTAAGGGATTCATAGCAATTGTAAGTTGTGAGAAAACATACCTATAGTGTATGTGTTAAAGAACATGTTTAAATGTAGGAACCATGAACTGCTTATAAAAGAATATGATGCTTTTTTAATATCTTGTTTTCTATGTGCCTTATTCAAAGGGATCCCTATCCATAGACAGGGATGGGAAACTGTTTCAGAAACTTTTCTATAAGAAATGGTTATTTTTATTCTCTTTTATTTGCTCACTTAAAATTCTTACGCATTTAAAAAGTATCATTACTGGCCTTGTGTAGTAGCTCATGCCTGTAATCCCAGCACTTTGGGAGGCCAAGGCAGGCAGTTGCTTGAGCTCAGGAGTTCAAGAACAGCCTGGGCAACTTGGTGACACCCCATCTCTAAAAAAATAATAATAATAAATTTTAAAAAAGACTCATCACAAGATTTTAGTAAATAAACAATGAGGCGTGCAGATCAGAGTAGAGAATTGATTTGGGTGATTTCTTCTGGCAATTTCAAAAGATATTTTTGTTGCCTAGACTTCTTATTCTTGCATGTACCACTAGAGGCTATAGTTTGCTTTCGTAAAGGAATTGGCATTTCTCTTGGACCAAACTCAAAGAAGCTGCGTCTAGGGCCTAAATCTTCTAATTTTAGCTACAGAGTAAGTATTTGATGGCATTTAGAGAGTGAGTTCGTGGAATTAATGCTATGTGAAATTGACATCATAAGCACGTGACATGTAGGTAATTTGTTCTTATTTCTTTTCACATTGGTATTGATTATTTGATAAGGCTTGGAAAGCACTTATTCAATACCTGACACACAGTGAGCATTCACTAAAAATTAGCTTTAACCATTATTTAAATTCTATTAATAAATTCTCAGGAGGACAAATTTAGATTTACAAGCTTCAGTATGAGTTTTTATAAATTTCAATCTGATTTTTTAATTGCCTTCTAAAATATTTATCCTATTCTCAGCATTATTACTTAATTTATACGGCAGAATTATGGGAAAATGCATTTTTCTGTTGCCTACTAATGGACAGTGTATAGTGTCATGGTTCTCACCACTTACAAACATCACTGGATTAAAATAAATCTCTATTTTAAATCCTTACTGACATATAAAATTTGTTCTTTTTTTCAAGTGAATATGCTTTTGTGTATGTGACTGTATTAAGAAAATTGAGTCTGAAGAAAATAAGAATTGACTTTATGGGTCTTTTGTAAAAGGAGGTTGTGTTACAATCACCATTGCCTAAAATATTTGTAAATATAACCTTTTTAGAAACGTATATATGGAGGCTGTGATTGTTGCCGAGTAAAAAGTATAAGGATTTGTTTTGTGAATCATTCTATTCAGCCTGATTTTAGATACACCTTGCTGGTAAGTGTTACTTAGCCATCAGTGTACCAGATGTTTGATTAACTACTATAGCAACCTGCCCTTGTGCTGTTGGGGACATATTACCCATCTACCCCGTGAATTATTAAAGCCTGGTGAAAAATTTTATTTCAAACCCTGTTTGGAAGCACGTGGAGAGTAGTGGGGTTCAGTTGTTGAGGAAAGGGTGAGGGCAGAGCATGCACTTAGGTCAGTTATGAATTGAAGGTGAATAGGAGGAGGAGAGAAAGAACAACCGACAATTCCAGCACAACCATGGGTGTGCCTGGGGGAACATGTGGTTCCATGTGACAGTTGAGGCATTTGGGAGACAACCCAGGTCTTGACGTTTGAGTACCGGTCACATGCTCACAGTTAGAGTTCATGAAAAGTTTTGTTTTTCCTCAGCCTTTGAGTAGGCACCACTGTTCCGCAGCCTTAGAATAGCCAAGGAAAAAGAAAGCCAGGGAAAAAGAAAGCTGCTTTGTTATTGTCCTTGCTTATCCTCTCGATTTTGCCACTCACTCTCCCTGTTTTCCCATGTGTGGAACACTTTCCTTTTGCTAAAAGTACCTGCGTATGAGAAGAAGGATGCCGATAAGTTGGGGATTGATTTTAAAAACAAGCAAAGATATGTTTTTTATGGTTAAATGATAATGAGGTGGGAGATGGGGAAGCAAAAGAGAGGCTTGCCTTAATATTTAATCTTAAACTTGGAAAATAATAGTGATCTGACTAAACATTGCCTCATTTTTGTCTGTATTGTTTTGAGTAGCTTAAAGGAAGAATAATGTTTATGCTACGTATTAACTCATTCAGTTTTTCAGTCTTTTCGATATTTCTCATTTGGATTTATCTCCATTGTGATTTTTCTGTCCACTTTGTAAGCCACAAAATACTCATTCCCTTCTATCAGTTTTAACAACTTAAATTTTTATATTTAAGTATTACATTTAAATAATTTAAGTCAATTCACACAAATATAAGGTAACTAACTTCTTTTAAGATGAAGTTTTATGAAATAATGTTTGCATAATTGTTTTTCATTTGTTCTTTGGTAAAAAGAAATAATATATTATTGTTATGATATATCTTAAATCACTGTGGATATTAACTCCTAGAAATACTTTACCAGCTGTTTACTTAGATAATAAAATTATATTATTGCAAGAAATCCTTGTCTCAACTTTCAAACAAGATGAGAAGAAAAATGAACTTGTGATTTCCACATTGATACATTTTCATATGCAACCTGAAATGGTAAAGTTATAAATAAACTATTTCATTATTAGTTTCTACAAGGGAAAAATAACTGAAGCAGCAAGCTTCTAATGTATTTTTTTAGCATAGTGTACCAGATATATTATGGTTTGCCCACTATCCTTTCAACTTACATTTGCATGTAGCTCTTCTTTGCCTCTCCAAAACTTAGGTTTATTTTAAGGCCTCAACCCAAGGCTTCCTCCATTAATGTAAGTGCAGTCAGTTATGATTTCACTCTTCTCTAAACTGACCACCTATTGTGCTCCTTTATCGAATACGGGCCTCTGGCATTTCTACCATACAACTGTGGAGATGAAACATAAATACGTTTATAAAAAGTACAAGCTTTCTCAGGCAGGGGATTTATCGTCTATCTCCTTTATGTACCCCATGATGCTTATTTAACATGGTGCTAAATGTGGTGAGCGCTCTCTGGGTGTTTTGTGAATTCATGTAAGATTAAAACATAATATTTTGGAAGTTATGCAACCCTTTAGACGAGTACACCCATACAAATTAGTCTATAAAAAGATTTAGGAATGACTACCAGAAGAATAATTGCATTTGTTTAGACATGCTATTATACATTAAAATCCCAGTTTCTTAAAGACTGTTTTTCTTTTTGAGATCATTAGGATCTTTTTTAAACTGATTCCTTTTTCCAGTTTGAGATACACACACACACCCACACACCCACCCACACCCACACCCACACATCCACACACCCTTGGTAGAAAATGTGAAAAATAAGGGGAAAAAATCCTCATGTTTTTCTACCGTACAAAGATAATCACTGTTAACATTTGTTTTGTTCTGCCAGACTTATCATTGGATTTTAAGTAACAGAATTGTAATCCTGTCATTTTCACTTAACATTGTAACACTTAAACTCTTTTCTATTCCAAATTCTTTGTAAATTTTATTTTAACAGTTTGCATTATAGCCTGCGGGAGCCGAGCCCTTTAATTGAATAGGTAGGAAGAGTGGATGGTGAAATGCCTATATTTTTCTCTCTTGTCTGCTATAAAAGACATTTGCAAAAGTTGCTTCCATGAGGCAGAAATTGAAATGGGACTCAAATTCAGGTGTACTGAATTCTGCTCTTGTGCTTTTTCCAGGAAACCAGAAGTAAACTTTAAGTAGCTGTTGCTAATAATGATGAGCATCACTGGAAAGCTCACTGTGTGCCAGGGACCGTGCTGTGTGCTTTGCCTGTGTTCTCTCATGATCCTTATATTAATATAACCCACCAGGTTGACACTATTTTCCCCATCTTATAGGTGAGGAAACTGAGGCTTAGGTCAAGTAATTTGCCCAAAATAGTATTCAGAGGCTTGTACTGTGTTACCTTTAGAGTGCTGATGGAAAGATGCTTTGAGTGCTGGCACGGTGGATCTGGTGGGGAACAATCTTACAGCTCTATATCTAGCCTCTACTCTGTGGTAAGACCCCGTCTCTGTCATAAAAGTGCTCACTGGCTCTATAGAGGAGGTTATTATACCCATGAATAAAAACTAGGTTGTAAGTAACCATCAGATGAGTTATGGGGCCAGTAAGTGCTGTAGACATTGCATTATTAGAGCGATCCCTTTGTGAGAGGTAGTCAGAAAAAGTTTCTTAGAATTGTTGGGATTTACGTAGCAGGAAGAGGAGTATTAAGGGCAGGAAGGCACCATATTTTTAAGAAAGGTAAAAATTTTTAAGGGGCGTAATAGTATCTTGATTGTGGTTGAAGCAAGAAAGTAATGGCAGCAAGTTGGGAAGATGAATGGGAGCTGGATTGTGAAAAGCCTCGAACTCCAGACAAAGGAATTTGAACCTTATTCTGTAGGCTCTGGGAAGCAATGGAAAGTGTAAGAGGAATTGCTTATATACAGTGTGAGTAGAATCTAGGATTCCAATTTTTTTAGAAAGGGTGCCTACCTAGAATATTATTTTCTCTCTGTGACTTCAGGTGTAGAATTGTCAGTACTTGTTTTTGAAGTTTACTCATCAAAAAAGGAAAGGCAAATAAATAACTGCAGCAAAAAATGACCCATTAGAGCCTTTGAGATTCTTTAAAAAAATTCCCTTCCCTACCACTCTTAAAAATCAGAGTAATGGCAAATCTGTAAGTTCTCTAGAAAAATAATTGGAAAGAATTTATAAATTCTGAGTCTCGTCTTTCCTGTATCTGATTCTGAAATCTTGAATGTGCTAATTCCTTATATTAACAGGACAATGTTTATTGCCTTTGCTTCCCTGTGCCTTAGTCACCTTTCCCGGATGAAAGGCATTCCCATGATATTTTTAAGGCTTGCTTGCCTTTTCAAAGTTCACTCTGTTTATTCTGTCCTACTTTATACCAGTCATGTGGCAGAAATCAGGCCTGCTCTGTGAATCGGCTTTGTGCAGATCATGAGGTAACTGTGGCTGTTCCACTTGTCATTGATCATTTTCTTCTCGGCAGTCAGGCTTTTATGCCTTTTCAGAGACAGCATTTGCTTTGCACAACATAGACAGCAGGGTTATAATTAAAATTAGTAAATTGCTGCTTTAAGTTTTGCTGGCTTTGTAAAAAAGACACCTTTTTTGGTTTGATAAACTTATGTGTTTTTATTTCATGCCACACTCTACATCTGTCATAATTATGTGGGTGATTCTTGTCCAAATACAATAAAGCAGGCTCTCACATTTTAACGTTCAACAAAATACCTGGCTGGCTGAACGTGGTTATTGCCAATTAGTGCATATGGGATGAATACAGTTTTGTTCAAAAGGACAGAATAATGGAATTCTGATATAAATACTGTTGACCCCAGATCCTTATACTATAATTAATAGATTATTTCCTCTGAAAATAAAAGAGATTGGAGTTTTTCTTTTTTGTTGTTGTTTTTGGTCTGCATTCTGAGTGGCTGTTTGAACTGATTTTAATTTCCTTCATGAAGATGATGATGTTTTAGCTGGCCCAGGGGCAGCCATTTCAGTGTGCATAAAGGTGGTTGCGTTGGGTAGGGGGATGCTCAGAAAAATCATGGAAAGCATGGGAATTCATAGGGTACTTTGGACATTTTGGAATCTTGAAGAGTAAGAACCGTAACTGGTGACTTAAGTGTCGTGTTTCTTCATTTCACCAAATGGCAAAATGTGATACAGTTCTTCCAATATCATGGGCAACTTGTAGCCAGAATTAAGTAGAAGATAAGATTAGAATTGAATATAATAACTTTTGATTTATCATAGTGCCTTTTAAATACATAGTACCTCTTTGCTATATTATAGTGATAGCTAAATGATCTTTTCACATTCCTAAGTTTTGATTTCTGAATGGCGTCGCTCCTGCCTCCTGACATCTCACACTGTGAATGTGCTACTTGCTTTCTCTAGGCGCACCTATGTTGGCAGCATGCCTGGTCGCATCATCAACGGCTTGAAGACTGTGGGAGTGAACAACCCAGTGTTCCTATTAGATGAGGTTGACAAACTGGGAAAAAGTCTACAGGGTGATCCAGCAGCAGCTCTGCTTGAGGTAAGATTTGGAAAATTCCCTGTCTGTCTTCATACTGGAAGAGTATGGAGGAGGGTTGATAATCATATTCAAGTGATATACACAGTGGTGTAGCTTTAGTTATGGGAAAAACAGTTTGATACCGGCTGAGGTCTGAGCAATTTGGCACTTAAATTAAAATGTTTTTGAGATTTCTTTCACTAAGTCCCCTTTTTTTTTATTTTCCTTTTGTATTTTAATCAGATAGTTTAACAAAGTTTTGTGCACACTTATTATCTAGAGGCCAACAATTCTACACAGTTATGGCAAAAAAAACAGCAAGCAAGTCTCCTTCTCCCTGGGGTCCCCCATGCCTTCTTCTGCACTTTGACCTCTTCAGCTTTTAGTTGATTAACCCTATTTTCAAAATAGCATGGCTATCTTGCACTTCCTGATTTTTTTTTTTTTTAGTTTTTGTCATTTTCTATAGATGCCCCCCAACAGGAGGTGAAGATTTTACCTTTTTTCTTCCGTTGTCCCCACTGTATCATTTTTATACCTTAGATCTCGCAATAAGAATTTTTTTCTTGTTTTTTTGTTGTTTTTTTCTTGTGAATACTAATACATCCATATTAGTATTTACATTATTATGATTATGTAAATGCTTTTCACAGCAGGAGCCACATGGTAAACTGTGATCACTTTTCCTGTTCCTATTTTTGTTTTTCTCTACTTTTTAAGAATATTTTCAGAGTTAGCTGTCTTGTTTCTTTTGTTTACTTTTTCACCAATCGTCTAATTCTGTCAAGACCTTCAGACACTTTAGGTGTTCTATCCATTTTATCTTCTTAAGCGTCCGGTCTGAACTGGTTGTTTTTGACATCCGGTTTTATGGCTTCCTTCCTAGGTTCTCCCTTCACCTCTCACCATGTTGGATTTCCTGTCTCCTGTATTCCATTTCTTGCTCTTTCTTGGTCCATTCCCTCATTTTTGTGGTGTTAACTCCCTGATAGTTTCCTGAGAAAGCTTGCATGAGTGGTAAATGTTTTAGACTTTGCATATCTGAAAATGTCTTTATGTTTCCCTCATACTTGATTAGTAATTTGAGTAAAGAATTCTGGTTGGAAATAATTTTTCTATAGAATTGTACTTTGCCTCCATTTTACTTCACTTTCCCATTTCCAGTGTTGCTGTTGGTAAAACTGATTCCATTCAGTTCCTATCCTTGCAGACCTGCTTTACCCTGAAAACTTTCAGGTTCTTCCCTTTATCCTGGGATTCTGAAATTTCCTAATAATCTGCCTTGGCATGGGTTTCTTTTCATGCATTTTTGCTCATTCTTTCTTTGAATTCTTCCTGTTCTTTGGTTCTAAAATTTTTCTTAAATTCTTTTATTGATGACTTTTCCCCTTTATTTTTTGGAACTCCCATGACTTGGATATTATGTTTCAGACTTATCTTTTCTCTCCTATTAGTCTCCACTTTTATGTTTTGCTCTACTTTCTGTGCAGACTTTCTCAGATTTATCTTTTAAAAACCCTCTGAATTTATTATTTCAAAAACTTTCTCTGCATGTTCTTTTATAGTATCCTGTTCTTGTTACATAGTTGTAATATATCTTATCTCCATGAGAAAGATACTTATAGATATATTTTAAAATTTTACTTCTCTGACCACTTGGTATATTAAAAAGAAAAAGAAAAAAATTACTTCTCTTTAAGCTGCTTTTATCTGTTTATTATATATTTCTTTTAGTCTCTTTTATATTAGAGTCTTTCATTAGATATCTGGACATTTTTGTTTGTGTGTTTATATTTAATAGTAAGGGACAAAAAGGCTGATTGGAGGCTATGAGCATAGGAGTGGGGCTTATCAACAGTGAGTTCCACAATAGAGTCAGCTGGCTGTGCTGTTTGGTTGAGGAATCTTCTACTCAATAGCTTTAAGTCTTCCTTCTTAGGATGGTCAGATTCCTCAGAGAAGACTTCCTGTCTCTTGCCTTGAGAATGAAGGCCTGGCTGCCATCATTCTGGGAACCAAGCAGGGGAAGAATGATTGGGGTCGGGGGTATCACTGCATTCAGCATCCGTGTATATGCATTCACCTGAGCTCTTGTTTTCAGCATAGTATATGTTCTTATCAGCTGTGCCCAGGGTCCCCTGTGCAGAGAACCACTGTTTTATGTTCTTAAGAAAATAAACTTCCAGTGTTTTGCTGGGGTGGGGGAGGGGATCTGGGATCTGACTGCTTCCTAAATTTATTTCAGCCAGTCCTCCTTATTTTAGCACATCAGCCCCTCCTCCCTTTTACCCTTGCTTAAAATATTATTAATGCAAATTGATTTGTAAAATTGAGGAAAACTTACTTTGTGAAAGTTTTTATTTTTTTCTTGTTTATTTCTGTGCTTTGAGCTGCCTCGTGCTTCCTGTTTTTTTTCTGTTTTTGTGATCTTAGAACAGGATGGCCTGGGACATGTGTCTTATTAAGCAGGAGACCATACATTCTGGTTTGCTTGGCACATTCCCAGTTTATGCCTAATATTAATTGCACTCTTTTTTAGTCTCAGAAGTGGGTTTTGTTTGGACGATAAAAAAGTACAGTTACCTTACTTAAAAGCCCTGGTATTTGGAGGTAAGGGTTTGATTTGGTTCAGTTTTGCTACTTTTTATTGTAAGATCATTACCTTCTGGCTCCATAACTGGTTCTTTTTACTATGAAGAGTAAAATAGTGAACATTATTTAAGATTTTAGTAGTTTCTTATATAATATCTTTAGACTTTCAGTTTAATTTATATTGGGACATTTTTTCAGGTTATCTGACAGATTCTCCCATTAGACACTTACAGTTATCCTGTTGAAAATAATTTTAGAGTATTCCCCTGACACTTAAATTTTTTCAACAACTGTTTTGAAGCAAGTTCACCAAAGACAGCTTTACAAGTAGTAGTAGATGATTAAGTCCCCTGTTTATTTGTTCAGTTGATAAACAATATGTTTTAGGTCTTCACCTATATATACTTTGTAATGATTCAATAATATTTGTTAAATTGATCTTTGATAACAAGCAGCTAGCATAATGATATTTTCTTGTCTGATGTAGACCTTGGTACTCACTTTTTTGGCAGTCGATTTATTAGCATTCAAAAAAAAGGTATGAAAACCTCAAATGATATCTCAGAGTAAATGCCCCCTGGGCCCACGTACTAATCACTGTAGTTTAGTTATGAATAGCATTGGTTCCTTACAGACTGTAAATGCTATAAAATGAAGCAAGACATACATATGGAGGAACTGAGTATCTTGGTAGCTGACAGCCTCTTCCTCCCTGCTTGCCCAAGTCCTGGGTAAAAACCTCAGACCTCACAGATTGTTGAAACAATTAAATAACAGTACATATTAAAGCACTCTATAAATGGTAAAGTACTGTACAGATGTTAATTTAATATCCACTGATATTTCTTCTGTGTCCATTTTGAAAGCCACTTGCTGCTTCCATTGCCAGTAGGTTCACTTAAATTTAAAAAAAGAACAAACTCAATTACACAACACGTTACATTTAAAGTGAATATTCCTGAGAGTTTGGAGACCCAAGTATAGTTTTATTATCTTTCTACATAGAAAACCTGCTTTTAAAAAATGATATCTAGATATTATTTGTAAAATGTATAAGATTATTTTATGTTTAAGCTAATTATATTATTAAGGTAATATAGCCCAGATGTGAAGAATGTAATAGTAGATGTAAATATACACTAGAGTGCTTACTCTGAATAAAGAATAAACTTTTTCTGCTGTGTATTCTTCTTTTTATTTATGTAGGATATGCCCGTTTCCTTGACCTACCATGTAATTGTTGCTTATGTAAAACAGAATGTATTTCAAGTTATTACTTAATATTGTCCAAAAAAGGAGAATTCAAAATTTAGATGATCTCTTTTGAAAATTTATTGGAAGACTATAAAAATAGGTCCAACTACTTAATTAATAAATGGTGGTAGGCAGTAGAATTTGGGCAAGTCTATAACTGAGTAGCACTAAAATATTAGATATAAGGAAAGTAAGGGCTTGTATGTAATTAATAGACTTGAAAGAAAATTACAGAATTATTTTCTTACCAGATATATGTTATATTTATAACTGGCACATGTCCAGACTTTATTGTTAAATATGAATGCATATCTCAAATACATTTTTGTGTGAGTGGGCAAATAAAATGCATGGATACAATAATTAATTGTCTTTATAGGCAATAATATTTACAGTTCGAAAAACATATATTCCCCAAAATAGAGAAGTCACTAGTCTAGATATAGTAAACTTCCTTTAAAACTGAAGTTCTTACTTAATTCGAATTAGATCCAGTTAGTAATTAGACCAATAGTATATTTACTACTTAGATACAGTAGACATGATCTTTTGATTTGAGCTATACAATTATTGTCAAAGAATGTCAGAAGAGAGGGACTTAGACATCATCTAATCCAGCTTCATGCTCTTAAGGATAAAAAGCTTAAGGCCTAAGATATTATTTTAATTTCTTATTTCACTACATGCTATATTAATGATATAATTTCCAAATATCGAATGGAGTTAAAAAATGCCTTAAATAAGGCATACCTTGTTTTATTGTGTTGTGCTTCATTGTACTTCACAGACTGTGTTTTTTTAACAAATTAAATGTTTATGGCAGGCCAGGCACAGTGGCTCACGCCTGTAATCCTAGCACTTTGGGAGGCCGAGGCGGGTGGATTGCCTGAGCTCAGGAGTTCAAGACCAGCCTGGCTAACGTGGCGAAACCCTGTCTCTACTAAAAACCCACAAAAATTAGCTGGGCATGGTCGTGCATGCCTGTAATCCCAGCCACTCAGGAGGCTGAGGCATGAGAATAGCTTGAACCCGGGAGGCAGAGGTTGCGGTGAGCTGAGATCGCACCATTGCACTCCAGCCTGGGTGACAGAGCAAGACTCTGTCTCAAAAAAAAAAAAAAAAAAAGAAAGAAAGTGTTTATGGCAACCCCGTGTCAAGCAAGTCTGTTGACACCATTTTTCCAACATCTTACTTCATGTCTGTATGTCACATTTTGGTAGTTATTGCAATATTTTTAACTTTTTCATTATTATATCTATTATGATGATCTGTTATCAGTGATCTTTGGTATTGCTATTGTGATTGTTTTGGGGCACCACAAACTGCACCCATATAAGACAGCAAACTTAATCAATAAATGTTGAGTATGTACTAACTGCTCAACTGGCCAGGCATTCCCCTTTCTCTCTCCCTCTCCTCTGGCTCCTATTCCCTGAGACACAGCAATATTGAAATTAGGCCAAGTAATAACCCTGCAGTGGCTTCTAAGTGTTGAAGTGAAAGGAAGAGTCACACATCTCATTGTAAATCGAAAGCTAAAAATAATTAAGCTTAGTGAGGAAGGCATGTTGAAAGCTAGGCCTCTTGTGCCAGATAGCCAAGTTGTGAGTTCAGAGGAAAAATTCTCAAAGGAAATTAGAAATGCTATTCCAGTGAACACACCAATGATAAGAAAGTGAAATGGCCTTATTGCTGATATGAAGAAAGTTTTAGTGGTCTGGATAAAAGATTAAGCCAACTACAACATTCCCTTAAGCCGAAACCTAGTCCAGAGCAAGGCCCTAAGGCTCTTCAGTTCTATGAAAGCTGAGAGAGGTGAGAAAGCTGCAGAAGAAAAATTTGAAGCTAACAGAAGTTGGTTCATGAGATTTAAGGCAAGAAGCCATTTCTACAACATAAAGTGCAAAGGGAAGCAGCAAGTACTGATGTATTGTAGAAGCTGCATCATGTTATCTATCCAGAACATCTAGCTAACATCATTGATAAAGGTGGCTACACTAAAAAACAGATTTTCTATGTAGATGAAACAGCCTTATTTTGTATTGGAAGAAGTGTCATTTAGGACTTTCATGGCTAGAGAAGTCAGTACCTGGCTTCAAAGCTTCAAAGGGCAGGCTAACTCTTGTTAGGGGCTAATGCAGCTGGTGACTTTAAGATGAAGCCAGTGCTCATTGACCATTCTGAAAACCCTAAGGCCCTTAAGAATGATGCAAAATCTACTCTGCCTTTGTTCTGTAAATGGAACAACAAAGCCTAGGTGACAATGCATCTGTTTATAGCATGGTTTTACTAAGTACTTTAAGCCCACTGTTGAAACTTACCGTTCAAAAAAAATAGATTCTTTTGAAAATATTACTGCTCGTTGTCAATGCTTCTGGTCACCCAAGAGCTGTGATGGAGATGTACAAGGAGATTAATACTGTTTTCATTCCTTATAAAACAACATCCATTCTGCAGCCCATGGATCAAGGAGTTATTTTAACTTTCAAGTCTTATTATTTAAGAAACACATTTTTTAAGGCTATTGCTCCCATAGATTATGATTCGTCCCATGCATCAGGGCGAAGTACATTGAAAACCCCTAGAAAAGATTCACCATTCTAGATGCCATTAAGAACATTCATGATTCACGGGAGGAGGTCAAAATATCAACATGAACAGGAGTTCAGGAAGAGTTGATTCCAGCCCTCATGGATGACTTTGAGGGGTTCAGACTTCAGTGGAGGAAGTTACCGCAGTTGTGGTAGAAATAGCAAGAGAACTAGAATTAGAACCCAAAGATGTGACTGAAATACTGCAATCTCATGGTAAAACTTGAACAGATGAGGAGTTGCTTCTTACAGATGAGCAAAGAAAGCGGGTTTCTTGAAATGGAATCTAGTCCTGGTGAGGATGCTATGAACCTTGTTGAAATGACAACCTTGATGTTGTGAACCTTGTTGAAATTCTAAACAAGATTTAGAATATTACATAAACATAGTTGATAAAGGCAGCAACAGGGTTTGAAAGGATTGACTTCAATTTTGAAAGAAATTCTACGGTGGGCAAAATGCTATCGAATAGCAATGCAGGCTATAAGAAATTGTTTCATGAAAGGAAGAGTCAATAGATGAAGCAAATTTTACTGTTGCCTTATTTTAAGAAATCGCCACAGCCACCCTAACTTTCAGCAGCCACCACCTGATCAGTCATCAACCATTAATATTGAGACAAGACACTCCACCAGCAAAATGACAACAACTAACACTGAAGACTCAGGTGATTAGCATTTTATAGCAAGAAAGTATTTGTTAATTAAGGCATGTACATTGTTTTTTAGACATAATGCTATTGCACACTTAATAGACTATAGTATATTGTGTAAACATAACTTTTATATGCACTGGGAAACAAAAAAAAACATACATGTGACTCACTCTGTTGCAAAATTTGCTTTATTGCAGTGGTCTGGAACTGAACCCACAGTGTCTCTGAGGTATACCTGTATTGAGGAGGGGTTGCAAATTTTAGCACATAGGCAAATTTGCAAATATGGAATAATAAGGATCAACTGTAATTACTGCTTTATGCCATTATCTTTTAAATCAGATAAGAAAAAGTTACGTCAACAATATATTTACACTGCCTTTTATGTTTGCAATGTAATCACTTCTGCCAGTGCGCTCTATTTCTTTGTGTGGATACTGTCTAGTGTCCTTAAACTTCAGTCTTTCATATTTCTTGTCTCATCTCCTGGTGACATATTCTCAGTTTTTGTTTTTCTGGGAATGTCTTAATTTCTCCTTCATTTTTGAAGTAATTTTGTTGGTATAGAATTTGGGTTGACAATTGTTTGCTTTCAGCCCTTTCGCATGTCCTCTCACCACTTTCTGGTCTCTGTGGTTTCTGCTGTGAAGCCAGCTGTTAAGCTTGTGGCGGATCTCTTATGCCTAATGAGGGCAGCATTTTTCTCTCATAGTTTTCAGTATTCTCTCTTTGTCTTTCATTTCTGACAGATTGACTGTGTTTATGTGTGATCCTCTGAGTTTACTTAGTTCTTTTTGAGCTTCTTGGATGTGTAGGTAAATGTTTTTCATCAAATTTGAGAAGTATGTGGCCAGTATTTCTTCAAATATTCTTTATGCCCCTTTCTTTTTCCTCTCCTTCTGAAACTCGTATTATGGTGTGTTGGTAATCTTTGTGGAGTCCCGTAGGTCTCTAAAGTGCTGTTCACTTTTTTTAAAGCCTTTTTTCTTTCTATTCTTCAGACAGGATCATCTCAGTTGACCTGTCTTCAAGTTCATTGATTCTTTCTTCTGCCAGCTGAAATTGTCATTCAGCCCCTCTAGTGAATTTTTCATTCAAATTACTGTAGTTTTCAACTCCAAAATTTCTATTTTAAAATTTTTATTATTTATCTTTGTTTATATTCTCTATTTGTCAAGACATCATTCTCATACTTTCCTGTAATTCTTTAGACATGATTTCCTTTAGTTTTTTTAAATGTTAGTAAATATAACAGAAAAAGTCCCATTTTTACCACTTTTATGTGTACAGTTCAGTAATGTTAAGCACATTCGCATTGTTGTGCAGCCAATCTCCAGAACTTTTTCATCTTGTTAAAGTGAAGGTGTATACTCATTACACAGCAATTCCCTGTTTCTTTCTCCCTCCCTCAGTCCCTGGCAGCTACCATTCTCTTTTCTGTTTCTATGAGTGACTACTCTATATACCTCATATAAGTGCATCATACGGTACTTATCTTTTTATAATTGACTGACTTCACTTAGTTTCCTCAAAGTTCATCAATGTTGGGGCATTAGTTTTTTAAGCATATTTATAGTAGCTGATTTGTAATCTTTTTTTTTTTTTTTTTGAGACGGAGTCTCACCATGTTGCCCAGGCTGGAGTGCAGTGGCGGGATCTTGGCTCACTGCAAGCTCCGCCTCCCAGGTTCACACCATTCTCCCGCCTCAGCCTCCCAAGTAGCTGGGACTACAGGTGCCTGCCACCAGGTCTGGCTAATTTTTTGTATTTTTAGTAGAGATGGGGTTTCACCATGTTAGCCAGGATGGTCTCGATCTCCTGACCTTGTGATCTGCCCGCCTTGGCCTCCCAAAGTGCTGAGATTACAGTCGTGAGCCACCGTGCCTGGCCGCTGATTTGTAATCTTTATCTAATAAATCCAACATGTCTTCCTTAGGGATGGTTTCCATTGACTTCTCTTTTTCTTTTTTGAGACAGGGTCTCGCTCTGTCACCCAGACTGGAGTGCAGTGGCGCACTCATGGCTCATGGCAGCCTTGACCTTACCCAGGCTCAAGTGACCCACCCACCTCAGCCTCCCGAGTAGCTGGGACTACAGGCACACACCAGCATGCCTGGCCAATTTTTTGTAGAGACAGGGTTTCGCCATGTTGCCCAGGCTGGTCTCGAACTCCTGAGCTCAAGCAATTTGCTCACCTTGGCCTCCCAGAGTACTGGGATTACAGGCATGAGCCACTGAACCCAGCTGACTTCTCTTTTTTTTTTTTACTCTTTAGGGCCGTACTTTTGTATTTCTTTGTGTGTGTCTCATAATTTTTTTTGTTGAAACTGAATATTTAGAGTGTTATATTTATATTAAATACAGTCAGATATATAATTGAATAATATAACCTTAAGGGTTTTTTGTTTGTGCTGTTGTTGTTGCTGTTTGTTTAGTGACTTTCTGGTTTCATTCTGTAAAGTCTGTTTTATTCATTAATGTGTGACCACTGAAGTTGCTCAGTTTGTTTAGTGGTCAGCTAGTGACCGGACAGAGATTTCCTTAAGTACCTGGACAGTAGCTCTCCCACTCCTTGCCCAAGGGGCTCTTATGTGTGTATTGAAGTGGGCCTTTCACACTTTGGCAGATGGTTTACAACTCTGCCTTAGCCTTCACTTCCTGCTTTTGCAGAGCCTCAGTGTCTGCCAAAGATGAGCTTATAGGGCCTTCTCAGGTCTTTCCTGGATATACTTAGAGCCTGCACATTCACATGAAATTTTGGATTCTCAGGCATATGTCAAGGCTTTTCAAAGTCCCCATGAATATCTCATTTCCCAGTTTTTCCATTTAAGTTTTTTGGTCAGCCTCTTGTTAGTCCCAACTAGTTTCATTGCCTCAGGCAGCTGCAGTGCTAAAACAGTTGCCACTGGTTGTTTTTGGCAAATGTCCTAAGGATAAAACTGTTCTCACAGAGTGTTCTCTGAGTTAAGTCAAATAAGGATATGGAGCTCTTCTAAGGAACTGCCAGAGTCAAACAGGGACAGTTCTCTGGGGATGGGGCTTTTGAAGGATTGTAATCCTTTTCTACCCCCTAACAGGATTGCTAGGCTACTGGTTTTCACAGCTACTGGGGTTATGAGGCTGTTGATTTTGCTACCATGAACTTGAGAGAAAGGGATGAGTGTAAAGCAAGTTAAAATATCACAAAGCTCGTTCTGTTTATTGAGATTCAGCTGTTTTTCTTGAATAAGCACTCCTCAAATTGTTGCAAGTTAGTATGTAGCATTCTGAAAAAGTTGATTTTGACAATTTTTGCTAGTGCTCTCATTGCTTTTCTGGAGGAGCAGATTTTCAGAGTTTCTTACTCTACCATTATATAATAGAAGTGCTTCCTCCCCCATTTCATTTTGATTCTGTGCTTGAATGATTTCACTGCATGCTTCTGATACTTGTATTTTGGTTTATCACTTGTTCAGATGAAATATATCTTCAGGTTACTTCATTCAAAGATTTGTGTGTGAGTTGTATTTTGAATCTCTTCTATATTTGAGAAGGCTTCTTTGTTGTCTGCACCAGTAGTAATATATATGTAAATAAAATAAGAATGTATTAGTCTTCTTCTTTTTTTTTTTTTTTTTTTTTGAGACGGAGTCTTGCCCTGTCACCCAGGCTGGAGTGCAATAGTGCAATCTTGGCTCACTGCAACCTCTGCCTCCCAGGTTCAAGCGATTCTCCTGCCTCAGTCTCCTGAGTAGCTGAGATTACAGGCACGTGCCACCACGCCTGACTAATTTTTTGTATCTTTAGTAGAGATGGGCTTTCACCATGTTGGTTAGGCTGGTCTCGAACTCCTGACCTCGTGATCCATCCGCCTCGGCCTCCCAAAGTGCTGGTATTACAGGCATGAGCCACCGCGCCCAGTCAGAATGTATTAGAATGTATTTCTTAAGACTGCCATAACAAAATACCACAGACTGGGTAGCTTTGAAGACCAAACAGAAATTTATTTCCTTATGGTTTTGGAGGCTAGAATTCCAAGACCAAGGTGTTTATAGGTTTGATTTCTCCTAAGGCCTCTCTCCTTGGCTTACAGACAACCGACTTGTGGCTGTGTCCTCGGGAGACCTGTGTGCATGCATCCCTGGGGTCTCCTCTTTCCTCTTATAAGGGTACCAATTGTATTAGACTAGGGGCCCACTCTTACCTTCATTTAACCTTAATTACCTTCTTAAACACCCTGTCTCCAAATACAGTCTTCACCCTGACTGCCCTTGAGACAGAGCGGAGGGGGTTAGGGATTCTGTCAATTTTGAGGGGGCACAATTCAGTCCATAACAAAGGACATATATAATAGATACATAATATATATGTACCAGTGTGCCCATATCATGTACTTTATGTAAAACGAAATCAGTTTTAAAAGGTAATTATATTTTCAATGAAAGCACTGTGTTCTAATTAGATAATTGTTTTTACTTCATAATATGTCTATCCTAGCTTATTATATAAATAAAAGTGTCAACTCTGTTATTTTCTTGTGGTTCATACCTTTGCCTATACCCTTTTTAATGATACTTTGCAGGAATCTTTTTAAACCACTCAACCCATTTGTAATATTAGGCTCTGTGAACCCGGAAAATTTGAGACAGGTCTCAGTTAATTTAGGAAGTATATTTGGCCAAGGTTGAGGACGCGCGCCCATGACACAGCCTCAGGAGGTCCTGACGACACGTGCCCAAGGTGGTCAGAGCACAGCTTGATTTTATACATTTTAGGGAAGCATGAGACGTCAATCAGCATATGTAAGGTGAACATTGGTTTGGTCTGGAAAGGCAGGACAGCTCTCTGGAGAGGGCTTCCAGGTCACAGGTAGATAAGAGACAAACCCTTGTGTTCTTTTGAGTTTCTGATTAGCCTTTCCAAAGGGGGCAATCAGGTTTACCTCAGTGAGCAGAGGGGTGACTTTGAATAGAATGGGAGGCAGGTTTGCCCTAAGCGTTCCCAGCTTGATTTTTCCCTCTAGTCTGGTGATTTTGGGGGCCAAATATATTTTCTTTTCACAGCACACATGGACAGCAATGTGCTGTAATTATAGTTAAGGCAGATAAGTGAGGACACCACAGGCAGCCTTCGACCTTATGGAACTTCTTCTAAGTGAAGACATCAATTCCATTTTGGATATTAAATATTTACAAGCTATTTTTTTCTGGTATTTATAAATAAAAAAGATAAATACAAATACTAATATTTTCTACTTGCACTTTGGTGGGTCATTTTCCACTTTTGTGACCACTGGTCTAAATAGATAAACAAATGTCTTCACAAATGGGTAGTAGGTTCACAGGTGTTCATTTTGTTATTATGCATCATATCTTATATATATTACATATATTTGATGTATTCAAGATTGTAAAATATTTTAAACTAGTGATAATTTTGCTTGAAAATTCTGTAGGTGTTATTCTAATGACATTCTCATTTTTATTGCACAGGAGGAGGAATCTAAATCTTTTCAATCTATAGTGTCAAGGTCTTCTAGAATATTTTCGTTTCTTTAATCCCTATTTTAATTTACTGAGACCTCTTCTTTAGTTATATTAACCAGTTATGAATTGTATCTCTTAATTTTTCCCGTATTTATCCCCTACATGTCTCTAAAGCCCTTTTTCTTCTATGTCCTGAACACTTTTCTCAAGTTTGTCTTTATCACAGATTTAATTTCCATAGTTGAGGATATAGAGGAAAAGTAAACTCAGTTTCTCCTACTGCACTCTCACAACACAGAACACCTCTGACCAAATGCACGGGTTTTTTCTCCATATGCCAAGCAAGCAGTTCTTCAGCAACCGACCACAGCTGGGTGTCCTCTAATTCAATTCTGACAAAGTGTATCAGATCCTACGGGTTGAGCACTGAGTCCCACAAGACTGCCTCCCCCTTCAGATGCCAGTCGTGAGTTGACTTCCAGAACGTGTGACCAACCAGTTATAAATTGGAGTACCCACAAGCCCCCCTCCTCAGGTTTGCTTAATTTGCTAGAGTAGCTCACAGAACTCAGGGAAACAATTTACTTGCATTTACTGGTTTATTAAAAGAATATTTTAAAGAATACAAACAAACAGCACAGGAGCTTCCATCCCAGTGAAGTCAGGGTCCACCAGTCTTCTTGCACCTGGGTGTGCTCAAATTCACCTTCCTGGAAGCTTCCTGACCTCAGTCCTTTCGGGTTTTTAATGGAGGCCTTGTCACATAGGCCTGATTGATTAAATCACTGGCCATTGGTGATCAACTCAACTCTTAGCTCTTCTCCCCTCCCAAGAGATTGGGCTGGGGAACTGACAAGTCCTCAGCCCTCTAATCATGCCTTGGTCTTTCCTGTGACCAGCCCACATCCTGAAGCTGTGGAGGGACTGCCAGCCACCAGTCAATCACTAACATACAAAATGATACTTATCACTTTGGTGATTCCAAGGATTTTAGGAGTTGCATGTCAGGAAACAAAGAGATGAAGGCCAAATATATATTTTACAGTATCATAATAGTATTAATTGTGTGTGGCTTTCAGAGCTGATTTTAGTTATGTTATTTTATCTTTATTTTCTGTTGTGGAAAATTTCAACCATAGCAAAAGCAGAGAAGATAGTATAATGAATTCTGTGGACTCATCACCCAGCTTTAATATCTTGTTTCATCTATTGCTTCCCATTCTCCCCTACCCAACCTCTGATTATTTTGAAGCAGATTCCAGACATCATCTTTTCATAAATGTTTCAGTAGCTATCGACAAAAGATATACACTTTTAAAAAGCATAATCATACTATATCACACCTAAAGATGACAGTTACCTAGTCTTGTGTAATGAACTCTATGTAATCTATTCCTGGATTGCCTACAGACATCTATAGTTCTTCTCTTGTCAGAAATTATTATTGAAGAATAATTCTCAGTGTACATTCCTCCCACGGTTCATCCCATTGTGACTTCACATTCCTAGGAATAATGCGTCATATCACAGCTATTTCCATTCCCAGTCATACTTTGTAGGTAGGAATTATAGTCCTAGGATTGATACAGAAAATCTTTTAGTTGGGGAGAATAAAGGAGAAACAGCCCTAATTATTTTTGAAAGTGGCCCTGGATGTGGGCAGTAGAATCCCTGCTCTGAAGTTAGGGTAAGAAGATGAGGTTTGATAGCTACAAAGCTCTTAATTGTAATTTTCGTCCTTCCATGGACTCACCAGTTTGCCTCGGAGCTTCATCTGAGTAGTGATTACCAGAAATTATTTTCTGCCAGAATATTGATCAGTATTTCTGATGCTGTTTAAATTCTATATGTCTTTTTATGCTTTTGAAAACCAGAAAGTATCTGAGACAGGTCTCAACCAGTTTAGAAGTTTATTTTGGCAACGTTCTCCAGAGATGATTGTGAGGGCTTCAGTATTTAAAGGGGAATGGGCAGATATTGGGGAAAGAGGAAGAAATTTTAAAAGGTATGAGTAGACAAGAGACAAACGGTTGCATTCTTTTGAGTCTTTGATCAGCCATTCACCTGTGAGAGGGGAGCAGAGGAATAGTCACTGACGCATTCATCTAGCTTAGTGAATCTGCATTTCTACATAAGATAAAATAAATATAGCGTACAGGAAGCCATCAGATATGCATTTGTCTCAGGTGAGCAGAGGGATGACTTTGAGTTCTGTCCTTTGTCCTGTATGTGTAAAGAATAAGCTATCAATTTACATGGTTGGGGTGAAATTCAACAGAACTGTTACAGGTTAAAGATCTTGGGGCCCACAAGGAATTTCTCAGTGGGGGGATTGTGAGGGAGATATGTAGCTTTTTTTGTCTTTGTAGCTATCTTATTTGGAAACAAAATGGGAGGCAGGTTTGTGTGACGCAGTTCCCAGCTTGTCTCTTCCCTTTTGCTTAGTGATTTGGGGGTCCTGAGATTTACTTTCCTTTCACACTCTTCCTGAGTAAAAGAGGAAGGCAGGCAAATTGGGCACAAATTTAGCCTAAGTCTGCCTCCTTACATATTAATATTTTAAGTTTGGCCTAAAGGTTTCCCCTTACAAAGTAAACTGCAGCCTAACTAGCTGTGTAAACACACTATTCTTAACACCAATCACAGATTTTCAGCAAGTCACAGGAAGTCAGCTGTTAACAAACTTTAAATAAAGCAAACACCAAGCTGTAAGCAATCCCGCTGTTTCTGTACACTCTTTGTTTTCTGCATGTCGCTTTCCTTTTTCTGTCCATAAATATTATCAAACCATATGCCAGAGTTTCTCTGAACCTATTCTGTTTCTGGGAGCTGCCCAATTTGAGACTTGTTCTTTGCTCAATTAAACTGTTAATTTATCTAGAGTTTTTCTTTTAACAAGCATCACTAATTTTTTCTCCTTATAATCTAGGTATTCTGTCACACTGTTTTAAAAACCTCCTTCATAATTCAGAAACATTGCTTTATTAATTTTCCTACTTTTTAAAAACGCTAGTGTCTTAAAATTTTAAGAGAAAAAAATTACTTGTTCAAGTCTGACAGCCATTTCTAAAACATATCCAGCATATATGAATTACATATGCTTAGAGCCATTAAAGAATAGAATTTTTTCCGGCCAGGCATGGTGGCTCATGCCTGTAATCCCAGCACTTTGGGAGGCCGAGGTGGGCAGATCACGAGGTCAGGAGATCGAGACCATCCTGGCTAACATGGTGAAACCCCATCTCTACTAAAAATACAAAAAAGTAGCCGTGCATGGTGGCGGGCGCCTGTAGTCCCAGCTACTCGGGAGGCTGAGGCAGGAGAATGGCGTGAGCCCGGGAGGCGGAGCTTGCAGTGAGCCGAGATCGCGCCACTGCACTCTAGCCTGGGCGAAAGAACGAGACTGTCTCAAAAAAAAAAAAGAATAGATTTTTTTCCTTAGCTAGTGTTAAAAAATTACTCATGACGCTTATTAAAGGTGGTAAGGATTACTTTATTCAAGGTGGGAGACTACGTATAAGAAACACTGCAATGGGGTTTTGCAGTGACAGGAGGAGAGTGAATGGGGAATCAGTAGAGGGAAACATTCTAAGAGGAAGAATTGGGGTTACGGGGGATTCTCACTAGAAGGACACAACAGAACTCTTGCTGAAGGGAGGCCAGGGTGAAAAGATACTGGGTTAGAAGTGAGAACAGATACGTATGGGTATGGGTCATTTTTGCTAACCTGACTTAGCAGGATTCTTGCTCAAATTGGATTTTACAAAGACAGAGGGAAGGCTGACATTGGCCTAGTTGAGCAGAGGACTCAGAGGAGCCTGACTCAAGTTTGCGTCAAAAGAAGAGCGTTTTTGTCACTAGATGATAGTTTTAACTATTTTCCATACATAAACATTTTCCGTACCTAAACAGTTTGTTTGTTCATTTGTTTGTTAGTTTGTGTTGGATTTTCACTCTGTCGCCCACGCTGGAGTGCAGTGGCGTGATCTCAGCCCACGGCAACTTCTGCCTCCAAAGTTCAAGCAATTCTCATGCCTCAGCCTCCCGAGTAGCTGGAGCTACAGGCATGTGCCACCATACCAGGCTAATTTTTGTATTTTTTTTTAGTAGAGACAGAGTTTCACCATGTTGGCTAGGCTGGTCTCAAACACCTGACCTCAACTGATCTGCCTGCTTCGGCCTCCCAAAGTACTTGGATTACAGGTGTGAGCCACCGTGCCCGGCCTGTGAACAGTTTTTAGATGATTAGTAGATAGTAAGACCACTCTTAACCAATTCAATACTGAACATAATTAGTTTTCCTTGATTACTTGAAAGTACTTGTTTTTTAATGATATTAAACATTATTAAGTCTTGTGAAAATGTGAAATTAGAGCTTTCTGGGAATTCTAGATAGAGTTTCCAGTAATAATTAATGTTTAACAAAATTCAGAATTATGTATGAGGCCTAGAATTAAGACTAGCTTGGGGCTGGGCGTGGTAGCGCACGTCTGTAATCCCTGCACTTTGGGAGGCCAAGGCAGGTGGATTGCTTGAGGCCAGGAGTTTGAGACCAATCTGGCCAACATGGTGAAACCCCATCTCTACTAAAATTGCAAAAATTAGCCAGGTGGGGTGGTACGCACCTGTAATCCCAGCTACTCAGGAGGCAAAGATTGTAGTGAGCTGAGACCATGCCACTGCACCTCAACCTTGGTGACAAAATGAGACTCTGTCTCAAACAAAACAAAACAAAACAAAACAAAAAACTAACTTTGGATAGTTTTGAAAATAAGTAAAACTTCAGAAAGAATCAGAAGGTAGGAAAAACTGCTTATATAGTTAAATTGTGGTTGGTGAGTATATTAGTCATTTTATTGCCTTTTTGAATATGTATGGCAACCCTATTTATAGTAATTGGGCGTAAGTGAGAGTGTTAATATGTTTAAGGTTTGGAACATGTAGAAGCTGTTGGTGCCTTATGAAAGTTCTGCACCAGCCCCTTAGCAACAAGTGCCTGTGACTTGAAGCTCTTTAATGTACAGTTGCACATTTTAAGAATCCAAGTTGACTGATAAATTATCTAATGTATCTAATTCAAATATTTTTAAGAGCTATTGTAATCCCAGTACTTTGGGAGACTGAGGCAGGCGGATCACTTGAGGTCAAGAATTTGAGACCAGCCTGGCCAACATGGTGAAACCCCATCTCTACTAAAAATACAAAAGTTAGCCAGGCATGGTGGCGCACACCTGTAGTCCCAGCTACTCAGGAGGCTGAGGCAGGAGAATCGCTGGAACCCGGGAGGCGGAGGTTGCAGTGAGCTGAGATTGTGCCACTGCACTCCAACCTGGGCAACAGAGTAAGACTCTGTCTCAAGAAAAAAAGAGTTATTGATGTTTTGCTTATTATAAGCAGCAATGTTTTGTAGTAAGCCATTTTTAAATAGTGAATTTTTTGCTGTATCAGAATATAGTAGCATAGTAATTTTTACTCTTATTTAACTCATAGCAAAGGTTACTCTTATTTGGAATTCTCCTTTCAGTTAAATAATTTATACCAGACTTTCTGAAAATGTTTGAGGAGGATTATATGGGTTCTTATTTACTGGTTCTTTGAGAATTTCAAAATACTTTACACATTTGCTTTATATTCCCATAGCAGTTTAGATAGGGTGTGTTACCAAGATGGAAACTGGTTCTGCAGGACTGGTAACTTATGATGGCCAAACAATGAGTCATTAATAAATAGATTTTTGAACAAAGCTTGAAACTGTAATTTCTGCTGCTTTGTGCTATTACATTTTCAGAAATTTTGACACTGAACGTATTTTATTTTTTAAAAAGTATGTAGAATGTAGAGAATGCAAATAATAATGCTCAGATGTTAGTTTTGTCTGTTTCTTAAATTCTTCTGAGCAGAAATACCAACCTTGCCAGTACATCATGTGTGTTTTCACTTATATACAGCCTTCTGTTGGCACTACTAAAGTTTTTAAAATGTTTTTTGTTCTCCCCTAGGTGTTGGATCCTGAACAAAACCATAACTTCACAGATCATTATCTAAATGTGGCCTTTGACCTTTCTCAAGTTCTTTTTATAGCTACTGCCAACACCACTGCTACCATTCCAGCTGCCTTGTTGGACAGAATGGAGATCATTCAGGTTCCAGGTACCTGACTCTTAAATCATTATGATACATCTTGCCTTTCTGACCATAACTTTAAAATTAGTTATGCTATGGAGTTTTGACTAAAAGAAGTTCATTTGCCAACATACAATCTTCAGAAGTTCTGAGGAATGTATATAAATCAGTTTCTATGTAGCTTCAAAGTCTGGAAGAGCAAAACAGCAAACGTTGACAACAACAATTTCAGATTTAATTAGCATGAAAGAATGATAATTTTATGACAAATAAGACATTCTTCTTTAGTATAATTTCTAAAATGGCAGGCTGTGTGTGGTGGCTCACACCTGTCATCCCAGCACTTTGGGAGGCTGAGGCAGGTGGATCACTTGAGGTCAGGAATTCGAGACCAGCCTGGCCAACGTGGTGAAACACCATCTCAATAAAAATACAAAAATTAGCCTGGCATGGTGGCGGGCGCCTGTAGTCCCACCTACTCGGGAGGCTGAGGCGGGAGAATCCCTTGAACCTGGGAAGGGGAGGTTGCAGTGAGCCTCACGCCACTGCACTCCAGCCTGGGTGACAGAGTGAAACTCCATTTCAAAAAAAAAAAAAAAAAAAGAGTAACTGAACTTTCTCATAAAATCTGGCCTCACTTTTATATTAAAGTGCATGCCGCTTTTAAATTCCTCTTGAATCTGTCAAATAGTTAAATTTTTTAAATGTCTTCCCTGTCACTGGAGCGTGCAAAATGTATTCCTTCAGTTACTAACACTAGATAAGTTATAGCATTTTCACCTTATTTTAATTGCTCAGAATTGTTTTTCCCTGGAAGAGATCAAATATCACTGAGTTTTTTTTTAATGTAGAGTAGAATCTAAATGTCTTTATTTATTTAATTATTTAGAGACAGAGTCTAGCTTGTTGCCCAGGCTGGAGTGCAGTGGCACGATCTCGGCTCACTGCAGCCTCCGCCTCCGAAGTTCAAGTGAGTCTCGTGTGTCAGCCTCCCAAGTAGCTGAGATTACAGGCACTCGTGACCACGCCCAGGTAATTTTTGTATTTTTAGTAGAGACCATGTTGGCCAGTCTGGCCTCGAACTCCTGGCCTCAAGTGATCTGCCTGCCTTGGCCTCCAAAAGTATAAGGATTACAGACGTGAGCCACCATGTCCAGCCTAAATGTCTTTTACTTATTTTTTCTTTTTTTGAGATGGAGTCTCACTCTGTCACCCAGGCTGGAATGCAGTGGCACAATCTTGGCTCACTGCAACCTCTGCCTCCTGGTTCAAGCGATTCTTGTGCCTCAGCCTCCTGAGTAGCTGGGACTACAGGTGTGCACCATCACACCTGGCTAATTTTTGCATTGTTAGTAGGGACAGGGTTTCGCCATATTGGCCAGGCTGGTCTTGAACTCCTGACCTTAGGTGATTCACCCGCCTCAGCCTCCAAAGTGCTGGGATTACAGGCGTGAACCGCCACACTCGGCCCTAAATGTCTTTAGATTCTAAATGTAATCTAAATGTATTTTTCATATTAATCTGAAATATATTTTTACTACTAAGTGAATTATAATTGGATTTCTGTTTGTTTTTTTTTTGAGATGGAGTCTCACTCTGTCACCAGGCTGGAGTGCAGTGGCACGATCTCAGCTCACTGCAACCTCTATGTCCCAGGTTCAAACAATTCTCTTGCCTCAGCCTCACAAGTAGCTGGGACTACAGGCGTGCACCACCACGCCCAGCTAATTTTTGTATTTTTAGTAGAGATGGGATTTCACCATGTTGGCCAGGAAGGTCTCAATGTCTTGACCTCATGATCCACCCACCTTGGCCTCCCAATATAACTGGATTTCTTAATTATCTGTGAGCATTGCAGGTTCCTGTATTTAGTTTTAAAATATGGTAGAGTAAAAAGTTAATTGTGTGTATTTAAAGTCTAAAGTAAATAAGTAATGAATTCCCTGGAAACTCCAAGTTATGGCAGAAAATTCATTAGATACACTAAAGTAAAGTGAAAGAATCAGGACAGCTGCTGCAGAGGGGAGCATATGATGCCACCTTCTTCCTTTGGCAGATTTAGCTGTCCGATCTTCTAGCTTTCCTGGTGTTTACTAACCTCTTTCCATTCAAAAGGTGCCTTATCAATTCATATTTTTAATTTTTGCTTGTTAAATGGAAAGGGACATTAGTTGGAATTTTGTCTTACGGGATTTAGAGACAAAGGAAATCTATATTTATTCAGGCTATTAAATAAGAACATTATGTGTTCTAAATATACTATATATAGAAAAAATACATATATACATACATAAATACATATGCACACATATATAAATACATACACACACACACACACATATATATATATACCATCATGTGGAGGAAAAAACCTTTTATATGGACATCTTAGGTTTTCTTTTGCTGCTACAATTTATTTTATAGTCATAGTTCTGGAAACAGTATCTTTAGAGCCCTTCCCTTGGAACCCACTGCTTATTTAATTGAGGTGTGTGTGTGTGTGTGTGTGTGTGTGTGTGTGTGTGTGTGTGTTTCAAGTATAGATCAAATTAGGCTAAAAAGATGCATTTATTCTTCTATTTGAAATTTCAGAGGATTTGAGGATAAAGAGATAATTGTCTCTAAGATTTGAGGTGTTTTCCTCTTTGGGAAATATATCATTTAATCAGAAAACTTTCAAGCACTGTGCTTAGTAAATGCTTGTTTTGTTTGTGAAAACGTTGGAAATTTTAACAATTATTGACTTAGATCAAATTTCTTTTTCTTTTTTTTTTTGGAGGCAGTCTCTGTTGCCCAGGCTGGAGTGCAGTGGTGCAATCTCAACTCATTGCAACCTCCACCTCCCCAGCTGAAGCAATTCTCGTGCCTCAGCCTCCAGAGTAACCAGGACTACAGACATGCGCAACCATGCTCAGCTAATTTTTTGTGTTTTTAGTAGAGACAGGGTTTCGCCATGTTGCCCAGGCTGGTCTCAAACTCTTAAGTTCAAGTGATCCGCCCGCCTCAGCCTCCCAAAGTGCTAGGATTACAGGTGTGAGCTAACGTGCCTGGCCAGAATAAATTTCTTCATTGTAATTATAGTCTCATTTGAAATAATACTTAAATTTGTTCTAAATCTAAGATCCATTTAATCTACATTTGATTCATTAAAAAAGCATGGCACTGGCTGGGAGCAGTGACTCATGCCTATAATCTCAGCACTTTGGGAGGCTGAGGCTGGTGGATCACTTGAGGCCAGGAGTTTGAGACCAGCCTGGCCAACTTGGCAAAGCCCTGTCTACTGAAAATACAAAAATCAGCCAGCGTGGTTGTGCATGCCTGTAATCCCAGCTGCTCGGGAGGGTGAGGCAGGAGAATCACTTGAACCTGAGAGGTGGAGGTTGTAGTGAGCCGAGATCACGCCACTGCACTGCAGCCTGGGCGACAGAGCAAGACTCTGTCTCTAAAAAAAAAAACAAAAAACAAAGCATGGCATTATGGGAGCCATGTAAATAATTACAAAACAAGATCTCTTCTTTTCCAGGTTATACACAGGAGGAGAAGATAGAGATTGCCCATAGGCACTTGATCCCCAAGCAGCTGGAACAACATGGGCTGACTCCACAGCAGATTCAGATACCCCAGGTCACCACTCTTGACATCATCACCAGGTTAGTTAGCCATCCTGAGGCTTCATTAACTCCAGGCAACTTTTGAGTATTTACTGAGTTACCAAACAGGACATAGAGTATCAATATTTGAGTTTTTCATCTTTTGAGATAAGCCACAGTCTCCTGAAAAGGAGATTAGTTTATTGGCATCCCATAGCATCCATTTCTCTTTCTTCAACAACTTCCAGCAAGTGTTATCATAACTATTGATTTACACCGTTCTCTACACTAGGCAGAAGTTTACAGAGAAACCATTTGGAATATTGTTATAGCTAAAGCTGAAATTTATGCTTTGCCACAATAGCAATATAAGGGGTTAATTTGATCATTTAAAAACCAAATACATGGCAAATATAGAGACACTTTTTATGCCCAGGATCTTGAAAGTTGTTGAATTCTCTTAAGAGGTGATATGCTACTTTCAGATAATCTGATTTAAGTTACTCACTTTTCTTTTCTTCTCTTTGGCTGAGAGATTTTTAAAATCCTTAGAATTTTGATCTTCAGAATTAACACTGGAACAATAGAGAAGGTGCCTTCCCAAGTTTACTACCAAATGCTTAAGCCTGTAGCAAGCAGTGTGTAAATTATCTGAATAGAGTATTGCTTAGTCTAATTTACAGATTCCCTGTTTGAATGGAAAATATACTCTGTTGAGAATTTATATCCACCACAGCCTCTTACAGTTTTCCTAGCTCAGTATTACAGATCCATTGCATCATCCAGCAAGTCATGTCAGGCTGCCAAGCTCTCCTCTTGCGGCCCTTTTCTAGTAACTACTGTTTTTAAGAGATTTGAAGTATCTCTCTATTTTGAACTTTGACTTAGAGTTTGGCCAGACTGTCTTTTGATCTATGCCTTCTTATGGATCTATTTAGATTTATATACAAAGCAGTAAGACTAAGTCTTACCTGGGGGTTCCTTTTCTTAATTTGTCTTGTGATTTATGGTGTAGATAATGCCAGGAGAAATAAATTAAGTGACTTATATGTCTGAGTCTTCCAACAATATCATTATTCCAGATAACACCCATGATGCCTTTGGGTAACTTTCAATAAGTCATTTAACATTTTTGATAGCTTCCCCATCTGTAAAATATGAGGGATGGAGAAAAATCCAGAGTTTATCTGAATAATAATGATTCTGAAGAGTGATCATTATTTATATTTCCCAGTTGTTACCTAGAGAACTGTTTCTTTTTTTATGTATACTTGTTAACTCAAAATATCAGATCTTAAAAGCTGTGGACATAAGGAAATATCTGGAGCAGTTTTGTTAGTTTTGATATTGTTTTTAAAAACAGCACAAGTATGTACTATTCCAGGCACGTTTTTGGATATTTAGTGAGTTACCAAACTTAGGACATAGAGTATCAATATTTGAGTTTTTCATCTTTTGTGATAAGTCACAGTCATAGACCCTAATGTTCTAGTCTTTCTTATCTCCAAGTATAACTCACCTGCTTGAATACTTCCAGTCCCAGTATGCTTAATTCTAGCGAATAACTACCTTTTCATGGGTAATTCTAACTGTAACAAAGATATTCTTTTTATTTATTTATTTATTTTTTAAGACAGGTTTTCATGCTGTTACTCAGGCTGGAGTGCAGTGGCATGATCTTGGCTCACTGCAGCCTCTGCCTCCTAGGCTCAAGCCATCTTGCCATCTCAGCTCCCAAGTAGCTGGGACCACAGGTGCATGCCGGGCGTGGTGGTGTGTGCCTGTAATCCCAGCTACTCGGGAGGCTGAGGCAGGGGAATTGCTTGAACCAGGGAGGTGGAGGTTGCGGTGAGTTGAGATCGTGCCACTGCACTCCAGCCTGGGCAACAGAGTGAGACTCCGTCTCAAAAAAAAAAAAATAGAGATGGGGTTCTCACCATCTTGGCCAGGCTGGCCTGGAACTCCTGAGCTCAAGTGATAATTGTTACAAAGATACTCTTTCTATTCACTTTTCTATAATTTTCTTCTTCTGCCTTATAGGAGCACCTGGAATCTAAGTGTAATTCCTCCTTGTACAGCCCTTCTGACATTAAGATAAAATACTATCAGGTGCTGCACACTAAGTGTTCTCTTCTTCAAGCTAACCATTCCTCTCCTCTGTACCATTCCTCTTGATGTAGTTTCAAGACTTCTCACCCTCCTGATTAGTCTTCTTCTGAAAGAATCCTGTATATCAATGTGTCTTTTAAAATTAAACACCCAGAATTGAACACAGTGTTTCAGATAGAGTCTAAACAGTTCATGGTATAGGAAGCCCATGCTTTTCTTATTCTGACTATATTATTTTATGACTGTATCTCTAGATTCTTAGCTTTTTAAAGATTATTCTCTTCCCTTTTTCAGTGAATTTCGCTAAGCTTGGCATATCCCATTTTGTATTTATAAAGCTGAATTTTTTAAAGCCCAAATGTAGAAGTTGTTAAGATGCCTCCCTGTTTTCTCCCTTATTGAAATTATACGTAGTTGCATAATATAGGCTTTATATCCTTCTATACCTTTGACTGAAATGAGTATTAGAGTGTTTAGCTAAGAGCTTTTTATCTGTCTTTTCTCAGAACTTTTAAAATCTGCTTTCCTAAAGTCTACAGTGTATGTCTGACTTAATCAAATGTATGGCTTTGTCAAATCCAATTCTTCAGATAAAACTGCATTCTCCACCTGATCCTGTCCATTCAGGTCCATCCAAAGCTGAGTGGCCAAAAGTGGTTTCACTATATAATGGTCTGTGGAATGACTTAACGGAGTTTGATTCTAATGTACATGTGTTTAAAGCAGCTCTGCTTAAACCACACATAGCATCTTTTTCACAAAGTCCTCAAAGTCAGTGCTGTCATCACTTAGCATACCTTCTTCCTTTAGAAATCTTCACAATGAAAATACACTGAAGAAAGGTGGTTAGCAAAGTGCCTAGTGAAAACCAGATTTCTGTCTCAGATTTGTTTTTGTTTTAGTTCCACAAAGAGCACAATTTCTCTTATTCTTTCAGTAGTATTTCAAATACAATGAATTTATCTAGAATTTTCCTAAATTGACAAATTTTGTTTAAGAAAACTCTTCAACAAATTACCGAGGAGTAAATGGTTTTTTATATGCTGCCAAGTTTACTTTGGCAATGTAAATTGAACTAGAACTAGGGTTCATTTTTAAGTGTAGGATTATAATTCAAGATAATCTGTATAAAGGAAATTGTTGTAGCTGAAAATAGATCAAAGTATTGAAGAAATAACAATAATGAGGAGTTTTAAGTGTGGAAAAGTTAGTACTCAAGAAAGGGTAATGAACTTTTAAATGTACACTGTTTTACCAAAAATGTTAATCACATTACCTCTCTATTTTTTTAAGTGGTATATAGTCAAAAATAAAATATTTTTGTTTGATGACAGGTATACCAGAGAGGCAGGGGTTCGTTCTCTGGATAGAAAACTTGGGGCCATTTGCCGAGCTGTGGCCGTGAAGGTGGCAGAAGGACAGCATAAGGAAGCCAAGTTGGACCGTTCTGATGTGACTGAGAGAGAAGGTTGGTGACCTTGTTCTGGCATTCTCAGGCCTGGTGGCTAGGAGTGAGTGACAGAAGAAGGTTGGGTATGGAGGGGAAGGTGTTGGGTAGTCCTTGGAGCAGTGGCACACATGACTCCACTGTTAAATGCATCCAGTAAGTAATACCTTAATGTTTCAACATATTTCATCCAGAGGATTGTCTTTTACAAATAGCACAGTTTTAACTGGAATAATAATATGAATGCTTTGAGGATATAGGAACTGTATTAGGGTTCACTAGAGGGACAAGACTAATAGGATAGATGTGTATATGAAGAAGAGTTTAAGGAGTATTAACTCACACAATCACATGGTGAAGTCCCACAATAGGCCATCTGCAGGCCGAGGAGCAAGGAAGCCAGTCCAAGTTCCAAAATCTCAAAAGTAGGGAAGCCGACAGTACAGCCTTCAGTCTGTGGCCGAAGCCCCAAGAGCCCCCAGCAAACCACTGGCGTACGTTCAAGAGTCCAAAAGTTGAAGAACTTCGAGTCCAATATTCGAGGGCAAGAAGCATCCAGCACGGGAGAAAGCTGAAGGCCAGAAGATTCAGCAAGTCTGATCCTTCCAGCTTCTTTTCTCTGCTTTATTCTAGCCATGCTGGAAGCTGATTAGATGGTGCCCACTCAGATTGAGGGTGGGTCTGCCTCTCCTAGTCCGCTGACTCAAATGTTAATCTCCTTTGACTATATCCTCACAGACACACTGGAACAATACTTTGCATCCTTCAATCCAAAGTTGAAACTCACTATTAACCATCACAGTAACTTTCTCCAGATGTATAATGATGGTGTACGTTATGTATGGGTTCTGGTGTTATCTTATTTCTTTCTGACCCAGACAGTTAAGTCTTTAAATAATTTATAACATAAAAAGTTTTTACAACATAAGACAATCCATGCTGTTCAGGTACTGCAAGGACAGACCTTTGTACTCTGGAATAGCTCCATGTGTAATAATTTTTCACACATTTTCTTTTATGGATAAACAACTAAATGTAATTTAAATTATTCTTTAAAAAATTATTGTGAAGGTGTTCTATTACTGGAATTAATCAAATGTGGATGTTCCTTTGGTATCTACTTAAAATGTTTTAACTGGCCAGGCACAGTGGCTCATGCCTTTGATCCCAGCACTTTGGAAGGTTGAGGCAGGCAGATGACTTGAGGTCAGGAGTTTGAGACCAGCCTAGCCAACACGGTGAAACCCCGTCTCTACTAAAAATACAAAAATTAGCCAGGCGTGGTGTTGGGCGCCTGTAGTCCCCGCTACTCTGGAGGTTGAGGCAGGAGAATCGCTTGAGCCCAAAAGTCAGAGGTTGCAGTGAGCAAAGGTCATGCCCACTGCACTCCATCTGGGCAACGGAGCGAGACTCCATCTCAAAAAAATAAATAAGTAAATAAAATAAAATGTTTTAATTTCTTGCCCCAAAACTGTAAGGGGTCTCAGTTCATCATATCATGCTGTTATGCAGTTTGCCAAAACTTGCTTTAACAAACATGAGTTGTAGGGAATTGACAATTTCTTTCATAGTAAAGAGATTTATTAGATTTTTCTATCATTTCCATAGCTGTTTCCAGAAAGGAGTTGGATGACTGTGATTAAAGAACCATAATTTATGGTGGACCCAGTTGAACAGACACAGCCAAATGTCTTTCTTGTTTTTCCATCAGTCGCTGAACACAGTGCATTTTACAGCAGTAGCATCAGAGTCAGCTTTCACAGAATCCTTCTGTGGCCAGTACAGTGCTTCACCCCTGCCTCCCCACGCCTGGAACCTCACTGGTTCATTTTCTCCAGAGAGCGAAGCTCCTATCTTCTGTTGGATTGGAGGGAGGCAGTGCCTTCATTATGTGGAGTAGGAGTAGAGGTAGTGAGTTCTAATTGTATTTTATCCAGACTTTAAAACTTGTGCTTTATTTTTATTATTTTTATTTTATTTTACTTTTTGAGATGGAGTCTCGCTCTGTCGTCCAGGCTGGACTGCGGTGGCACAATCTTGGCTCACTGCAACCTCCGTCTCCGAGGTTCAAGTGATTCTCCTGCCTCAGCCTCCCCAGTAGCTGGTACTGTAGACGGATGCCACCACGCCCGGCTAATTTTTGTATTTTTAGTAGAGACAGGGTTTCACCATGTTGGCCAGGCTGGTCTTCAACTGCTAACCTCAGGTGATCTGCCCACCTTAGCCTGCCAAAGTGCTGGGATTACAGGTGTGAGCCACTGCGCCTGGCTTTATTTTTATTTTTTATTTTTACTCTGCCTTGGGAGAATCTAGAAAACTTTTGCCTTTTGTCCCACTCTTCATCCATGCTTTCAGGGCTACCTTGAATTCTTTAGCTTTTGTAGACTTTTAGGACCCACATCAACTTGTTGTTCTCTATCTCTAGCCCCACAAATGTTGAGGTTTCTGCTTTCTCTAGCCTGTTAAGTGTTGGTTACTTTTTGTCCATGTACTTTTTGTTTCCCAAAATTTTGTCAGCATCTCTTGTCAGCTGATGTCCTCTTTGTCATTATTTTTGTTCTTGTGGGTTTATATATTTTTTATTTCTTAATTGTCATTTTAATACTATTCAGACAGGAAGTAAAAACGCATGCTCAGACTACCATTTATAGAAATTTGAATTTAAAAAAAATGTCCTAGGTGAGGGAGTACCTATCAAGGGTGGAAATCACTTGTGTAGATGACAGTGACAGTGGAGAACTGAAGTCTATAAAAGTTAAGACCTAGATCTAGATGCTCCTGAATTTCCCCTTTTTATTCTTAACAACACTTCCTTTGTGCTGTGATCTCAAGCAACTGAGCCTAGGTCTTTTTATTCTTGTCTGATATAACAGAAGGTAGAGGATGAAATAAATGAGTTTATTAGGTAACACATTTTGAAAATTGTGTTTAAGATTTAGATGATATATTTTAGAACTTCTAATAAATTCAGAGGAATTCAATGTCAAAGGAAACTTTTGTATAGTTATACATTGCTTAATGTTTATACATACATCCATGTAGCATACTTCTAATAATATCTTTAATTATACTAGTTATTTTAAAATAACCCACAAATACTCAAGGAATTGTTCAGTTTGTGAACTGTGTGAGAACTACAGTTTTTCATGGTAACATTTATTTGTGTGGTTTTTAAAAGTGATCACAGGACATCTCCTAAAAGATAATATAGTTAAGCAGATTTGCTTAGTTAAGATATTACCAAGAGCATCTAGATGAATAATTAGAATAAATACTTGTCTCTTGGAGACGATTTTGGGTGTAGTCTTTACTAGAGGCATAGGTATGGACTCCAAGTTGGCTCTAATATTATGAGATACCCTTGAGTAAATAACAGCCATTCTCTAGACCTTAGTAGAATGATTATTAGGTGTCCTGAATTGTTTATGACCTCAACCAAACCAAAAGAATAATTTCTACAAAAGAGTCTATGTTAGGTTTTCATAGCACCAAGTTCAAATGGAGCTTAGTAATGAAAATTTTCTCATTAAGAAATGAATTAATTAAAATTAAGAGCATAAAATAAGACAGTTGTTTTAGAAACTTCAAGTAATACAGTGTGGGAGTTATTTTTAATGTTAAAAATAAAGCTTTCCTAATTCAAGCACGAGAGACAGAAAAAAAATAATAAGGCTGAACTTGGAGTTACTGCCAGGAAGAAAAGTAATTTTAGGCCACAAGCTTCAAAACAGGCAGAAACCTCCAGTGTATCAAACAAACTTTCTGGAATAGGCCCAGAAGCACTGATCTGTGAACAGTTGTCTTTGTATTTGTGGGGTCTTAACTGGCAGTTAAAGAGACTAAATAATAGCAGGGAGTTTAAAAAGCAGGTGAGATTTAGAATTGATCGATCTGTGTTAGCGGAGGAACATTTATGGTTTCAGTCACTTACCTATAAAGTATGAGAATTGTTTCTTTAAAAGAATGCTGCCTCTGTTTTTCTGCATGTTGTTAGTATTTTCTGAATTGCCGTTTTCCTTTCTAGGGTATTTGTTGGGTTGAGAGATTAGTTGGATTACATGACTACAGTTTTATTCTGCTTTTTGCCTGCCTTTTGCCAAGAAAGACACAAATGTCCCATGTATTTAATTTTGCACACTTCAGTGTTTCTAAACAGGGTAAATGTTCATTTGTTTAAGTACCCATGTATCATATATTCAATTTATATCTAGCAAGATTTTTCCTCAAAAATTATCCTAAGCAAAGAAGGATTTATATTATAATCAGTCCTTATAAAGTTTCTCATAATACACTGCATTCTCAATTACTTTATTTTTGAAGAACATAGTATTTGAGGAAGTTACATTAAACAGAAAGAACCTGGGTAGATACTAGTTTCTGATTATTTTCATAGAAGTCACCTGAAAAATTGGTTAGAAAAAAAAGACAAAATTAATACAAATTTAACAGTTATTTGTGAAATATGTAAATGTTGTGTTATTCCATTTTGCTGTGCTACAAAGGAATACTTGAGGCTGGGTAATTTATAAAGAAAAGAGATTTGTTTGGGTCAGAGTTCTGCAGGCTCTATAACAGGCACAGTGCTAGCTTATAAGGTGAGACCTTAGGTAGCTTATAATCATGATGGAGGACAATGGGAGAGCAGGCATGTCACATGGTGAGAGAGGGAGCAAGGAAAGAGCCAGGGACCTTTTAACAACCAGCTGTCATGTGAACTCATTACCATGGGGAAGGCACCAAGCCATTTATCAGGGATCTGCCCCTGTGACCCAAACATCTCCCAGTAGGTCCCTCCTCCAACATTGGGAAACAAAGCTATAGTAACCAAAACAGCATGGTACTGGTATAAAAATAGACACATAGATCAATGGAACAGAATGCAGAAACTAGAAATAAAGCCACAAATCTACAGCCAACTGATCTTTGGCAAAGTAGACAAAAACGTACACTGGGAAAGGACAACCTATTCAGTAAATGGTGCTGAGAAAATTGGATAGCCATCTGCAGAAAGAATGAAACTGAACCACTCTCTCTCTTATTTTATATAAAAATCAACTCGAGGTTAGGCTAGGTGGCTCACACCTGTAATCTCAGCACTTTGGGAGGCTGAGGTGGGTGGATCACTTGAGGTCAGGAGTCTGAGACCAACCTGGCCAAAATGGTGAAACCCCGTCTCTACTAAAAATACAAAAATTAGCTGGGCGTGCTGGTGCATGCCTATAGTCCCAGCTACTCGGGAGGCTGAGACAGGAGAATCACTTGAACCCAGGAGGCGGATGGTGCAGTGAGCCGAGATCGCGCCATTGCACTCCAGTGTAGGGGTATCGCAGCGAGACTCTGTCTCAAAAAAAAAAAAAAAAAAGTCAACTCAAGATAGATTAAAGACTTAAATGTAAAATCCAAAACTAAAACATACTAGAAGAAAATCTAGAAAAAATTCTTCTAGACGTTGCCATAAACAAAGAGTTCATGACTAAGACCTCAGAAGCAAAAGCAACAAAACCAAAAGTAGACAGATGAGACTTAATTAAACTAAAAAGCTTTTTATACAGCAAAAGAAACAACAGAGTAAACAGACAGCTTGCAGAATAAGCAAAAATATTTGCAAAATACATATGCAAAAGACCAATACCCAGAATCTACAAGGAACTCAAGCAACTCAACAACAACAAAAGAACCCCAAATAACCCCATTAAAAAGTAGGCAAAGGAGATGAAAGACATTTTTCAAAAGAAGACATACAAGTGGCCAGGAAGCATTTGAAAAAATGCTCAATATCACTAATCATCAGAGAAATGAAAAATCTATGAGATACCATCTTATACCAGTCAAAATGGCTATTTTTAGAAAGTCAAAAGTAACAGATGTTGGTGAGGATGTGGAGAAAAGGGAGTGCTTATATAGTGCTGGGAGAAATGTAAATTAGTACCACCTCTATGGAAAACATATGGAGAGTTCTCAAAGAACAAAAAATAGAACCGTCATTTGATCCAGCAATCCCACTACTGGGTATATACCCAGAGGAAAAGAATTCATTATGTCAAAAAGATACCTGCACACATATGTTCGTTTTATCTGATATAAAAAGTCTGTTTTATCTGGTATAAAAAGAATGGAATCATGCCTTTTGCAGCAATATGGATGAAACTGAAGGCTGTGACAATAACTCAGAAATTCAAATACTGAATATTCTCATTTATAAGTGGAAGCCAAATAATGTGGACATATGAACATAGAGTGTGGAATAATAGACACAAGCATGAGCTATCATGCCCAGCCTCAAAAAATTTAATTTCCCTCTTAATTTTGTCATTGACCCAAAGGTTGTCCAGGAGCATGTTGTTTAATTTACATGTGTTTGTATATTTTTGAGAGTTTCTCTTCAGATTGATTTTTAGTTTTATTCCATTGTGTGAAGATACTTGATATGATTTTGATTTTTTTTTAAATTTATTGAGACTTGTTTTGTGGCCTGACGTTTGGTCTGTCTTGGAGAATGTCCCATGTGCTAATGAGAAAAATGTATCTTTTGTGGTTGTTGGGTAGAATGTTCTGTAAATGTCTGTTAGGTCCATTTGGTTTTAAGTTCAGTGTTTCTTTGTTGACTTTGTCTGTCTCAGTGTTGAAGTCCCACATTTTGTATTGCTATCTGTCTCTTTTCTTAGGCCTAGTAGTATTTGTTTTATTAATCTGGTACTCCAGTTTTGGGAGTATATACTTAGGATTGTTATATCTTCTTGTTGAATTGATCCCTATGTCATTATATACTGGCCTTTAAAAAAAAAAAAACTATTGTTGATTTAAAGTCTGTTTTATCTAATATAAGTATAGTTACTCTTGCTTGCTTTTGGTTTCCTTTTGCATGGAACATTTTTCCACCCCTTTACCTTCAGTCTGTGTGTCTTTAACAGTAAGGCAAATTTCTTGTAAGCAGCATGTAGTTGTTGTTTTTTAATCCATTGCACCAATTTATATCTTTGAAGTGGTGCATTCAAGGTTAATACTGATGCATGAGGTTTTGTTCCAGTCATAATGTTAATTGCTATCTAGTTGCTTTGTAGATTTTTTTTTTTCTTTTAAGCAAGAGTCTTGAGTCTTGCTCTGTCACCCAGTCTGGAGTGCAATGGCGCGATCTTGGCTCACTACAACCTCCACCTCCCAAGTTCAAGCGATTCCCTTGCTTCAGCCTCCCAAGTAGCTGGAATTACAGGTGCATGCCACCATGCCTGGCTAATTTTTGTATTTTTAGTACAGACGGGATTTTGTCACGTTGGCCAGGCTGGTCTCGAACTCCTGACCTCAGGTGATCCTCCCGCCTTGGCCTCCCAAAGTGCTGGGATTACAGGCGTGAACCACCGCAACCAGCCAGCTTTGTAGATTCTTTGTTTGTTTTTTGTTCCCGCTTTGTGGTCTTCTGGAGTTCTGTCATGTTGCCCTTTTATTTCTTTCTTTTCCTTATTTGTATAATTGTTTCATAAAACTTGTGAGTTTCATGTGTTTTTATGATAGAGTATCACCTTTTGTTCCCATGTTTAGAACTTCTTTAAATATTTCTCATAGGACCAATCAAGTGGTGATGAATTCCCTCATTTGCTTATCTGGGAAACACTTTATTTCTCCTTCATTTGTGAAGCTTACACTAGCAGGATACAAAATTCGAGTTTGACCATTTTCTTTAAGCACTTTGAAAATAGAATCCCCGTCTCTTCTGGCTTCTGAAGTTTCTGCTGAGAAGTCCACTGTTAGTTTGATGAAGTTTCCTGTATAAGTGACTAGACACTTTTACTGTATTTAGGGATTTTCCCTTCACATTGACCTTAGACAGCCTGATGACTAGATGCCATGGTGAGATCCTTCTCGCAATGTATTTGGCTGGAGTTTGTTGAGCGTCTTGTATCTGGATGTCTAGATCCTTTGCTAGACTAGGGAAGGTTTTCTCAATTATTTTCTCAAATAGGTTTTCTGAAATTTTTGCTTTTTCTTCTCCTCTAGGAATACCTATGATTCATAGGTTCCAATGTCTTATGTAATCCCTTACTTTTCAGAGGCTCTACTCATTTTTTAAAATTCTTTTTTCTTTTTTTTTTTTGTCTGACTGGATTAATTGAAAAAACCTATCTTAAAGTTCTGAGGTTCTTTCTTCTGCTTGGTCTAGTCTGTTGTTGAAGCTTTCAAATGTATTTTATAATTCCTTCAATGAATTTTTTATTTCCAGGAGTTCTGTTTGGTTTTCTTTTTAAAATACCTATCTCTTTGGTAAATTTCTCATTCATTTCCTGAACTGATTTTCTGACTTCTTTGTATTAGTTTTCAGATTTCTCTTGTATCTTGTTGAGCTACTTTTTTTCTTTTAATTTAATTTTATTTTGAAACAGGGTCTCGCTCTGTTGCCTTGTCTGGAGTGCAGTGATGCAGTCATAGCTCATTGTAAGCCCAAGCAGTCCTCTGCCTCACTGTCCTAAGTAGCTACAAATTCAGGCACATACCACCACACCTAGCTTATTTTTTTATTTTTTGTAGAGATGGAGGGTTATACTGTGTTGCCCAGGCTAGTCTTGAACTCCTGGCCTTAAGTGATCCTCCTTCCTCTTGCCTTGGCTTCCTAAACTATTGGGATTGCAGGCATGAGTCACTGTGCCCTGCCCCTGACAGCTTCTTCTTTTTTTTTTTTTCTGAGACAGAGTTTTACCCTGTCACCCAGGCTAGAGTGCAGTGGCACGATCTCGGCTCACTGCAGCCTCCACCTCCTGGGTTCAAGTGATTCTTGTGCCTCAGCCTCCTGAGTAGCTGGGATTACAAGCGTGCGTTACCATGCCTGGCTAATTTTTGTATTTTTTTAGTAGAGATGCGGTTTCACCTTGTTGGCCAGGCAGGTCTTGAACTCCTGGCCTCAAGTGATCCATCCACCTTGGCTTCCTAAAGTGCTAGGATTACAGGTGTGAGCCACTGTATCCAGCCCCTGATAGCTTCTCTAAATCAGTGTTTTGAATTCTTTATCTGGCATTTTGAAGATTTGTTTTTTAGTTAGGATCCATTGCTAGAGAATTACTGTGTTTCTCTGGGGGTGTCATAGCACCTTTTTTTTTTCATATTTCCAATATTACTGTGCTGATTCATTTGTATCTGGGATAACAGTTGCTTCTTATTATTTTTTAGTTTACTTTTGTTGGGGCAGGACTTTCTTTCCCTTGAGGATGTATCTATTATGTATGTTGAGTAGGGTCATTTGGCTTTGCTTCAGGGTGCATTCAGTGACATAGACACTGTATGATAGCCTTGGTTATAAAGTAGTCTTAGTATGGTGGCTTTCTCAAATGCCAGTGACAGTAGTAATGTACGGGGTGGGTGATTGGGCTCAAGGCCTCCTGCCTAGCTGGGGTGGATGATGGTGGCAGCAGAGGTCGTGCAAAACTTGCTTTCTTCCAAGGCACTATGCAGTTGTATCAATAGATGTTGTAATGGGTGGTGCAGGTTGACTTCCCAGCTAGGAGGTGGTGCCTGCAGATGAGCGTCAGCTGCAATAGTGGCAGTAGGGTGATTAACCTTTGTAATTCAAGAATTATTCAGGTATCTCAGGTACCGAGCTGGGCCGTGAAACTCTCAGGGGTCCTGGTCTTGTGCTGTGCTTCCAGGGTAGATTGTGGGGTGAAGCCAGGCAGGCTGGACCAGCCAAGCTCATGTTTGAGCCCCCTGAATGGGTACTTAGGGCCTGGGATAAAATTTCCAGAGGCTGCCTCATACATTGTTTCAAGAATTACTTTATCTTAGATAATCTTGGTATCTGGTAGTGTAAGTCTTCCAGCTTTGTTCTTCTTCAGAATTGGGTTGGCTATTGTAGGTCCTTCAAATATCCATGTAAATTTTAAAGTCAGTTTGTCATTTTCTACCAACAAGTAAATAAATAAAAACTCCTGGGGCATTTTTATTATGATTCCGTTGAATCTGTAAATCTAGTTGGGGAGAATTGACAATTTGTATTATCAAGTCTTCTAATTCATGACCAGCTTCATTTATTTAAGTCTTCTTACATAAGTTTTTTTTCTTCAGCTTTTAAGTTCCAGGGTACATGTGCAGGATGTACAAGTTTATTATGTAGGTAAACATGTGCCATGGTGGTTTGCTGCACAGATAATCCATCACCCAGGTATTAAGCCCAGCATCCATTAGCTATTCTTCCTGATGCTCTCCCTCCCCTCACTCCCACCCACAACAGGCCCCAGTGTGTATTTTTCCCTGCCATGTGTCCATGTGTTGTCATTGTTCAGCTCCCACTTATAAGTGAGAACATGCAGTGTTTGGTTTTCTGATCCTGCATTAGTTTGTTGAGGATAATGGCTTCTAGTTTCATCCATGTCCCTGCAGAGGACATGCTCTCGTTCCTTTTTATGGCTGCATAGTATTTCATGGTGTACATGTACCACATTTTCTTTATCCAGTCTGTCATTGATGCGCATTTGGGTTGATTCCATGTCTTTGCTATTGTGAATAGTGCTGCAATGAATATATATAAATCATTCTGTTTCTTTGGCTATATACCCAGTAGTGGGATTGCTGGATCAAATGGTATTTCTGCTTCTAGATCTTTGAGGAATCACCACACTGTCTTCCACAATGGTTGAACTAATTAAACTCCCACCAACAGTGTAAAAGCATTCCTTATTCTTCACAACCTCGCCAGCATCTGTTGTTTCTTGACTTTTTAATAATTGTCATTCTGACTGGCGTGAGATGGTATCTCATTGTAGTTTTTATTTGCATTTCTCTAATGATCAGTGATGTTGAGCTCTTTGTCCTATGTTTGTTGGCAACATAATGTCTTCTTTTGAGAAGTGTCTGTTCATGTCCCTTGCCCACTTTTTAATGGGGTTGTTTTTTTTTTTCCTTGTAAATTTGTGTTCCTGGTAGACTCTAGATACTAGACTTTTGTCGGGTGGATAGATTGAAAAATTCTTTTCCCATTCTGTAGGTTGTCTGTTCACTCTGATGATACTTTCTTTTGCTGTGCAGAAGCTCTTTAGTTTAATTAGATCCCATTTGTCAATTTTTGCTTTTGTTGCTATTGCTTTTGTCATTTTCTTCATGAAATCTTTGCCCGTGCCTATGTCCTGAATGGTATTGCCTAGATTTTTTTCTAAGGTTTTTATAGTTTTGGGTTTTACATTTAAGTCTTTAATTCATCTTGAGTTATTAAATAATTTTTGTATAAGGTGTAAGGAAGGGGTCCAGTTTCTGTTTTCTGCATATGGCTAGCCAGTTTTCCCAGCACCATTTATTAAATAGAGAATCCTTTCTTCATTGGTTACTAGTACAAAAACAGACACATAGACCAATAGAATAGAATGGAGAACTCAGAAATAAGACCACACATCTACAACCATCTGATCTTCTTAAATAAGTTTTTTAAGAGTTTTGATCATTTTCTGTGGCACACTTTTACATAATTTTTCTTTAGATATCTTCCTAGGTATTTGATCTTTATGTGTATATTATTGTAAATAACGTTCTTAAAATTTTGTTTTCTAATTTTTTGTTGGTAGTGTATGACAATGCAATATTGGCCTCCTGTTCAACAAACTTGCCACATTCACTTATTAATCATAATTGTTTGTGGAATCTTTTGGATTTTCTGCATCTACCATCCTGTAATCACAAATGCAGATGTCAGTTTTTACTTCTTCCTTTCCAACGTTATACCTTTTATTTAATTTCTTCCCTAATATGTTGTCTAGGACCTCCTGGGAAATGCTGAATAGAAATAATGATAATAGACAAAGTAAGCAGGATAAAAGCCTATGAAGAAATTACCAACTGACATAGGCTTTGCTTTGTAGCTTTAGGTCACCCCTCATCACCTAATATTATAAAATGACAATTCGGTAGGATTCTCAGAAACTGTCCAGTTTGACCCTGATTTAATTCTCAACATTCTCCAGTAAACACTATGCCTTGCCTGTTTGACTTTGTTAACAGACATGTCAGACAATCATGTGGTGAAGTGTGATTTTACTTGTTTATTCAACCTGAGATTTGCTGACAGTTCGTTCTGTGTTGCTGTAACAGAATACCACAGACTGGGTAATTTTAAATGAGCAGAAATGTATTGGTTCACAGTTCTGGAGGCTGAAGAGTCCAATGTCAAGGTGCCAGCTTCTGACAGGAACCTTCTTGCTGCATCTTCACATGGCAGAAGGGCAAAGAAAGAGAAGGGGGCCTGAACTCACTCTTTTATAAGGATATCAGTCTCACCCATAAGGGCAGAATCTTCAGGAACCTAAGAGCAACTTGTTACTTCATGGCCTACTGACCTCTTAAAAGTCTCACTACTTAATATTGTTACAATGGCAGTTAAATTTCAACATGAATTTTGAAGGGGACAAACATTTAAACCATAGCACTGACTTTCTTGAATTTGTATACTCTTTTATTGGTTTTGGAAAGATTTTGGCCATTATCTTTTCAAATATTCTTCCCATTTTTTTACTCTTCCTTCTGGGATTCTGAGAAGAGAGCCCTTCACTGTCTCTTATCCTCCTTTCTATTTTTTTTTTGTTTGTTAATTTTTCTCTCTCATTCAGTTTAGATATTTTCTGTTGCCCTGTATTCCAGTTTGTTATTGCTTTCTTCTATTTTTTTGTGGTCTGCTATTAAGCCTATGAAGTTCTTAATTACCATATTGTAATTTTTTTTTTTTTTTTTTTTTACTTTTAGAATGGCCACTGGATATTTTTTTTTTCTTTCTTTAAGACAGAGTCTCACTCTGTCACCCAGGCTAAAGTGCAGTGGCACGATTTTGGCTTACTGCAACCTTTGCCTCCTGGATTCAAGCGATTCTGATGTCTCAGCCTCCTGAGTAGCTGGGATTACAGGCGTGTACCACCATACCCAGCTAATTTTGTATTTTTAGTAGAGACGGGGTTTCACCGTGTTGGCCAGGCTGGTCTCGAACTCCTTACCTTAGGTGATCTGCCCTCCTCTGCCTGCCAAAGTGCAAAGTGCTGGGATTACAGGCATGAGCCACCGCGCCCAGCCCATTGGATTCTTTTTTTTTTTTTTTTTTTTTGAGACGGAGTCTCGCCCTGTTGCTCAGGCTGGCATGCAGTGGCGTGACCTTGGCTAACTGCAACCTTCACCTCCCAGGTTCAAGTGATTCTCTTGCTTCAGCCTCCCGAGTAGCTGGGATTACAGGCGCCCGCCACCACACCCGACCAATTTTTGTATTTTTAGTAGAGACGGGGTTTCACCATGTTGGCCAGGCTGGTCTTGAACTCCTGACCTCAAGTGATCCACCCACCTTGGCCTCCCAAAGTGCTGGGATTACAGGCATGGGCCACCACACCCGGCCAGGATTCTTTGTATATATATGGACTCCAATAGATTCTCCATTGATATTTTCTATCTTTTTATCTATTTAATCCCTCCTTTTCCCTATTTTCTTGGACATGCTAGTCATTATTTTGAAAATCTCTACCTTAACACTCCATTATCTGATTCAGTTATGTTTGGTGTTTGTTTTGTTTGTATTACCTTTTTTTCCCCCTTGATTTCTAGTTTTTTGTTCTGTTTTTTAGCATTTCTTGTATTTTTTTACTGGATGCCAGACATTGGATGAAAAATACAAGGGCTGTAACTATTATCCTCTGAAAAGTGTTACATTTTCTTCTGATTGGTAACTACAGTACCAACCTGTCACTCTGTCCTGTCAAGGCTGAGTTTTAGGCTTTGTCAGGACTCGTCAATTTCAGTTTGGGTCTTATTACTGGGATACAGTCTTTATTTTTATTATGTGGTACTCCCAGGATGTAGTTCTTATTCCTTCGTGGGTGACCCTTACTTCTAGAGCATGATCTTTCTGAGTTCTCACATGAAAATCCAATCAGGTCTTTAGCATCCTGGCTTCTCCTTTCTCCTGGGTTTCTAAAAGACTCACCCTGAATACATTCAACTTAGGAGTTAGTCAACAGCTTGAGGGGGATTTAAGTGCAGATTTTTGAGATCCTTCTTTTTGGTTTCTTCCTTTATTGGGATTTTGCCAATGAAGTCCCAGTTGCTTTGACAACCTCTAATTTTCAGAATTACTTTTGACTAAATGTTTTATGATTCTAAACATACCATCTACTCTGTCAATTCTGAATTATGGTGATACTCAATTCTACCTCAAATCCCAAAGAAAAGAGGGGGAAAAAACAACAAAACTAAGAAGAAACATTGCTTTTGTTTTGTAGCTTTAGGCTTCTACCTATATAATTGACTATTATAAAATCTCATTTGAGTAGGATCTTTAGTAGCCACCTACTTTGACTGTGATTTGATTTATAAATCCCTTCACAACATTCCTCAGTAAACACCATGCTTTGCCTGTTTGACTTGGTTAACAGACATGTCTTTATAAACTTGGCTATCCATTTTCCAGTCTGTAGGAAAAGAGAAGCTGTAAGTTGGAGAAAAGGCTAGTGGTTGGGTGGTGAGTCATAAGCAATAAGATTTGATGTCAGTGATGACAGGCCTGTCCTCTTATGATAGATTCCTTGAGCCCCCTGCTGACCACAAAGCTTTGGCTGGCTAGACCACAAGTCTGTCTCCCTCAATGACAATTTTTGTAGCTCAATATGGATCCTATTTTGTGTGAGTTGCATTTGGAGATTTGTTGTTTATCTGCTGTATTTGCCTTAGGTGGGACAGTGAAATCAACCTAATGTAGTGGAAGGAAGTAGGTATTACATCCTTAATTCCTTGATATACATCCTTTTATTATGTGGTACTCCCGGGATGTGGTTTTTCAGATTTGGAGAAGAATAGTTAAAAAAAAAAAATGCAGAAAGGATCAAAAGCACTTGATTCTCTCGCAGGGACAGCTTCCTGTTTTGGTTGAGGAAGGAGCTGCACTTAAAATAACTAGCATAAAGCATGCTTAGGGCTTGCTTTCCAGACAACCTCAATTTAAAATGCATCAAAAGCCAGGTGTGGTGGCTAACATCTGTAATCCCAGCACTTTGGGAGGCTGAAGAGGGCAGATCACTTGAGGTCAGGAGTTTGAGACCAGCCTGGCCAACATGGTGAAACCCCATCTCTTCTAAAAATACAAAAATTAGCTGGGCGTGGTGGCACACACCTGTAGTCCCAGCTACTTGGGAGGCTGAGATGGGAGGATCATTTGAACCTGGGAGGCGGGGATTGCAGTGAGCCGAGATCACACCACAGCACTCTAGCCTGGGCAACAGAGCAAGACTCTGCCTCAAAAAAAGAAAGAAAATAAAATTCATCAAAATAAAATATTTGAATTTTACAGCACTAGTTCTTTTCATTCATTGACTTTCATTCTCCCACTTTACCACACCTTTAACTATTGGCAAGAATGTGGTGAGTGGGAGAAAGGTATCCTGCCACGTAAGCAAGTATACCTAGAGCCAAGGGGTCAGAGTGTCACAGAGGAGAGCCACATGCTGATGGGCTTGTGTTCGTTCCCACTCACTGACTATGCAAGCGCCTCTTCTCTTAGCCTTTCTCAGGATGCAGTTCTCCAGGAGGAATCAGCCTTCTGTTGGGCTGCTTTCAGAGCTCTTTGTTGTGGCTTCCTGCCATTGACTTTGCAAGCCCTAAGCATGCTTTATGCTAGTTATTTTAAGTGCAGCTCCTTCCTCAACCAAAACAGGAAGCTGGCTCTGCAAGAGAATCAAGTGCTTTTGATCCTTTCAGCTTTTTTTTTTTTTGACTATTCTTCTCCAAATCTGAAACATATCCATTCTCGTCTACGGCCATGAGTGCATTTATGTTAACAGAAAATGCTAAATTTAATGTTTAGAAAGTAACCTCTGTGGCCAGACATGGTGACTAATGCCTGTAATCCTGGCACTTTGGGAGGCCGAGGCAGGCAGATCACTTGAGGCCAGGAGTTCGAGACCAGCCTGGCCAACACAGTGAAACCCTGTCTCTACTAAAAATAGAAAAAATTAGTTGGGCATGGTGGTGGGTGCCTGTAATCTCAGCTACTTGGGAGGGTGAGGCAGGAGAATCACTTGAGCCCAAGAGGTGGAGGTCGCAGTGAGCCAAAAATCAAGCCACTGCACTCTAGCCTGGATGACAGAGCAAGACTCTCTCAAAAAAAATAAAAAGTAACCTCTGTGCTTTGTGTAACTTTTTGCTAAATTCCTGTCTTTGTCTTCTTGGAACAGTCTTCTACTTGTTACAGGATCTTCCTATCTTTTGGATTTTATATTAGTTTTAATATAAAATTAATATAGTTTTATATTATATAGCCCACTGACATGGCTGTTAGCTGACCTCAGTTCCTTGCTGACTTGGCCAGAGCCTTCAGTTTCTTATCTCTGGTAAGAGGTAATGTGTCTCTCCCTAGGGCAAGGCTGTGACAGCTGGCTTCTCCCAGAGGGAATGATGTGTGAGAGAAGCAGGGAGAGTAAGAATCAAGACAAAACTGCAGTCTTTTATACCCATCACTATTGCCATATTCTCTTGGTCACACAGCCCAACCCTGGTATGATATGGGAGGCACTAACTCCATGGGGATGGGATATCTGGGCACCATCTTGAAGGCTAGCTGACACAGATTATTTTTTGTGCGTGTGCCTGTAAGAATTTTTTGGCCAGGCGTGGTGGCTCACGCCTTTAATCCCAGCACTTTGGGAGGGCGAGGTGGGTGGGTCACGAGGTCAGGAGTTCAAGACCAGCCTGGCCAAGATGGTGAAACCCCATCTCTACTGAAATACAAAAATTAGCCAGGCATGGTGGCAGGGGCCTGTAATCTCAACTACTCGGGAGGCTGAGGCAGGAGAATCGCTTGAACTTGGGGGGCGGAGGTTGCAGTGAGCCGAGATCACGCCACTGCACTCTAGCCTGGGCAGCAGAGTAAGACTCTGTCTCAAAAAAAAAAAAAAAAAAAAGAATTTTTCTAAGCCCGCATTGAAGTTTATACTGTAGAATATCCATCAAACTTGAGCTGATTTCTTATCAAAGACCCAGGTTGCACAGATAGGGGTTAGAAGTTTGGATTCGGTTTTGCATTTTCAGTATTTAAAGTCTTGTTTCATCTTGTTCATTCTTACCTTTCCTTTGATTGTATTAGTAGCTCAGGACAAATAAGAATTTATAATTTTCCAAGGAACTAAGGTTGCTGTTGAGGAATATGGGTTTCAGAGACAAGAGTTTAGGCACTGGCTCATTGGTACTAAGCTTCAGGGGTTTGTAGTGTTGTTAGAGCTAATTGGATTTTACAAATAAGCCAAGATTATTAAAAAAAAAAAATAGATCTAGAGAGTAACACTTTCTGTGCTAAATCCATTGCATTTGATGGGATACTAGGCAGTATGCTATGTCCAAACTTCTAAAATCAGGCGGTGGTCTAACGTTGAGGTGAAAATATCATGTTGGTATATACTGCCAATATCATGAAGATATACTAAATATTATTTTCTGAGTCTGACATTTACACTGATTTACTGATTTATCCCTCATCAATATTGGCCTGGTTTAAGAGAGACTTGTTTGCCTGTACAGACCGGGAGGAAGCTTCAATGAAGGCAAAAATCTAACTATAATAGGAGCCAAACATTTGTTATTTGAATTCCAATTGGGGACAGGAAAATAAAATATTATCAAATAATTATAAAGTCATCATTCTGTTAAATGAATCATATAGGAAAATGCATTGACCTTAAAACAGAGTCTGGCTCTGTTACCCGGACTGGAGTGGAGTGGCCTGGTTTCAACTTGCTGCAACCTCCACCTCACGGGCTTAAGCTGTCCTCCCACCTCAGTCCCTAGAGTAGCTGGGACCACAGGTTTTGCCATGTTGCTCAGGCTGTTCTCAAACTCCTGAGCTCAAGAAATCCACCTGTCTCAGCCTCCTGAAGTGCTGGGATTACAGGCGTGAGCCACCGCGCCCGGCCTGCAGTGACCTTTGGTTGTCATTGTTATACATTATCAAAACAAACTCAAGTTACAAGAGTATTAAAGCAATACTTAATGGTTTTAAAAAAAATATTACAAAAGGTCTCTGCATTTTAACTACTCATCTAAATAATTGTCTAGGAATATTTTCTGAATCTCTAATACAGGAAATGAGATTTATTAATACATAAAACCCACTGAAAACAGGGGTGCAAACTTTCTTGTCTGGTACTAAAGATGGATTCCTATGTTTTGGGCCCTTGTTTATACCAGTTTATTCAATCAGTGAGTCAGCTAGCATTTACTGAATAGTCATATGCGTTGCTTAATGATGGGGATAATGTTCTGAGAAGTGCATCCCTGGGAAATTTTGTCATTGTGGAAACATCATAGAGTGTACTTACACAAACCTAGATGGTATAGCTTTCTACACACCTAGGCTATATGGTATAGCCTGTTAATCCTAGGCTATAAACTTCTACAGCATGTGACTATACTGAATACTGTAGGCAATTATAACAGAGTGGTATTTGTATATCTAAACAACAGATGAACAATAAAGAAAAAATAAACAACAAATAAAAGCTGGTACTTCTGTATAAAGGCACTTACCATGAATGGAGTTGCAGGACTGGAAGTAGCTCTGCGTGAGTCAGCAAGTGAGTGGGAGTGAATGTGAAAGCCTAGGACATTACTGTGTATATACTACTATAGACTTATTAACACTGTACACTTAGCCTGTATTTTTTAATTTTTTTCTTTTTTTTTTTTTACTTCTTTTTCTTTTTTTGAGACAGGCTGTGTTGCTCAGGCTGGTCTTGAACTCTTGGGCTCAAGTGATCCTTCTACCTCATCCTCCTAAGTAGCTGGGATTACAGGTGTGTGCCACCACACCCAGCTTTTTAAAACTTTTCAAATCTTTTATAATAACACTCAGCTTAAAACACAAATACACTGTATAGCTATACAAAAAATATTTTTACCCCATTTATGCCTAGTGCTCCATTATTGGAACACTAAGCTTGTGGGAGTTATTTATATCCTACTGCTCAAGGTCATTGCCAAGGTCTGATTTTTCACAAAAAAAAATTCACAACTTCTGGCATAAATGGGTTAATATCCTTACTGTATATAAGCTTTTTTAAAAATTGTTTTACTTTTTAAACTTCTTTGTTAAAAGCAAAGACACAGACACACATTAGCCCAGTCCTGAACTAGGTCAGGATCTTCAGTTTCACTGTCTTCCACTTCCACATCTTGGCCCACTGGAAGGTCTTCAGAGGCAGTAACATGCATGGATAACAGTGCCTTCTACCTTCTGAAGGACCTGCCTGAGGCTGTTTTACAGTTAACTTCTTTTTTACAGAAGGGAGTACACTCTAAAATAATGATGAAAAGCATAGTATAGTCCAGGCACGATAGTGTGTGCCTGTAGTCCCAGCTACTCAGGAGGCTGAGGCAGGAAGATTGCTTGAACCCATGAGTTCAAGACCAGTCTGGGCAACATAGCGAGACTCCACCTCTAAAAATATATATAAGAATAAAAAATTTTTTTTAAATGAAGCATAGTAAGTACATAAACCAATAACATAGTCACTCACTATGACTATGAAGTATTATGTACTGTATGTAATTGTACGTGCTGTGCATTTATACAGCTGGCAGCACAATAGGTTTGTGTACACCAAGCATCACCACAAAGATTTGGGTAATGCATTCCATTGCCCTAACGGGGCTACAACATCACTAGGCAATAGGAATCTTTCAGGTCCGTTGTTGTCTTCTGGGACTTCTGTCATATATGTGGTCTGCCTTTGACCAAAATGTTGTTATGCAGTGCGTGACTATACCCACTATATGTTCAAGTTCTAAATTGGATTCTGGGAAGCTGATTAAAGAGAAAATAATGTGTAGTCTATTGGAAGAGGTAGATAAACAATTTTTAAGTGAAATAATTGCTAATTTTTAACCTCTGTGGAGGCACTGAACTGATCATTGAAAGCTCTATTTTACTTACTAAAGATATGGTAGCTTATAAAAATTACTTATAGTAAATGGACATGAAAAGGTCATTTGCTTACATCTCTAAATTCATTTTGATGGAAAAATAGTGGAAAAATGTTTGCAGATACCCTTTTGTTTGTTTGTTTTTTTCATAATAGATAATTGCCACTAAAATTGAAGAATGGCCAGGTCCGTTGGCTCATGCCTGTAATCCCAGCACTTTGGGAGGCCAAGGCGGGTGGATTACTTAAGCTCAGGAGTTCAAGATTAACCTGGCCAACATGGCAAAACCCCGTCTCTACTAAAAATACAAAAAATTAGCCAGGTGTGGTGGTGCACACGCCTGTTGTCCCAGCTACTTGGGTGACTGAGGCATGAGAATCACATGAGCCTGGGAGGCGGAGGTTGCAGTGAGCTGAGATTGTGCCACTGCACTCCAGCCTGGGCAACAGGTGAGACTCTGTCTCCAAAAAAAAAAAAAAACAACTAAAATTGAAAAATACCTCACAGTCATAACTTCCATCTGTATCTCAGTGGTTATTATGTAGAAATGTTCAGTAGGTAAACTTGAAAGAAAATGTATTTGGTAATCGTAAGGTTGTGTTGCCACCCCCAAAATAATGAAGAAAATACCAACAGAAAGAAAAAGGATTTATTGCTGGCCTGAAGGTTCTTCTGGGCATTTGATCTACAGATTTCTCCATTATAGCTAGTTCCTTTAAAAAAATAAAAAACATTGAAAATATGCAGACCCAAATGCCTTGGCAGCCCTGGTCAGTAACTTGAATCTCAGTTGCACTTAGCACAATTCCTCTGGCTGGGAAGATGTTGTTTTGGAAAAGATTAACCTGAAATGACAGCACGAATTATACAGTTGGAAATACTCAGGTTTTTCTGATTTTTTTCAAAAGATACTTTGCTTTTCCTTTTCTGCCTTACCATGGGAAGGTCCTTAGATGCATCATATCCTTGTCAGTTTAGCCTTGTGACACATATTTCTGCAATTTTGTGCAATAAGAAAGCCACTCGAAATCTCAGCATTTCATGTCACTTTTAAAGTAGGCTCAGTTAAAACAAAACCACTTGATTGTTTGTATAACCACAACCATATGTGTCTTTCTCTCCATGCTTAAACAAGGTCTGAAATCGTGTGTCAAACAGTTGAGATGTAAACATCTCCTCCTCACACATAACCCCTCTGCCATGTTGTTATTTATATCCCCAGTAACACACTTCTTGTCCCTGACACAAGTACAGCCGTCTCCACATTCCATTTTGCTCCTACTCCATCAGCTTGCAAGAAAAATTTTAATCATTCAAAAATAATTGTTACATAATTACTTTTCACTGATTAAAAATATTTGTTTACTTGACAAAATTAGCATTAAAAACAGTAATTCTTTGGCAGATTAATAAGTATTTTGATGATTTGTCATTTTTCACAGATGTTGATAAAATTTAAGAATTACATAGCCGAAATTTGGTCTAATTCAACAAACCACAATTGACTCTTTTGGTAAGGCCCTATGACGAATGGTATGGGAGAGTGGAGTTTATCCAATCTGACTTTCATTTTATTGATACGGAAACTGGGGCCCCATTTGTTCTTTTTTTTAATTGCTACATAATATACATATTTATGGGGTATAGTGTGATGTTTCAGTACATGTATACATTGTGTAAAAATCAAATCAGGCTGTTTAGCATATCTGTCACCTCATATATTTATCATTTCTTTGTGGTAAGTATATTTAAAATTCTCTATTCTAGCTATTTTGAAATATACAATACTGTTAACCATAGTCACTGTGCAATAGAACAGTGGTCCCCAACCTTTTTGGCACCAGGGACCAATTTCATGGGAGACAGTTTTTCCACGGACCTGTGGGGTGGTGGTTTCAGGATAAAACTCTTCCACCTCGGATCATCAGCATTAGATTCTCATAAGGAGCACCCACCCTACATCCCTCACATGCACAGTTCATAATTCACAATAGAGTTTGAGCTCCTATGAGAATCTAATGCCGCTGCTGATCTGACCGGAGGCGGTGCTCAGGCCGTAATGCTTGCCCACCCGCTGCTCACCTCCTCCTGACAGGCCATGGACTGGTACTGACCAGTCCACAGCCTAGGGTTTGGGGACCCCTGCAGTAGAACACCAGAACTTATTCCTCCTATTTATCTGCAATTTTGTACCCATTGACCAATCTCTCCCCATCCCCACTATCTCTCCCCTTGCCAGTCTCTTGTAACCACTGTTCTACTCTCTGTTTCTGTAAGATCAACTTCTTTAGATTCCACATATAAGTGAGATCATGCAGTATTTGTCTTTTGGTGCCTGGCTAATTTCACTTAATATAATGTCCTCCAGGTTCAACCATGTTGCCACATGTGACAGGATTTTATTCTTTTTGTGGCTGAATAATATTCCATTGTTTATATATGTCACATTTTCTTTATCCATTCATCCGTTGATGGATGCTTACGTTGATTCCATATATTAGCTATTGTGAATAGTGCTGCAACAAACATGGAAGTGCAGATACCCCTTTGACATATTCATTTCCTTTGGATAAATGCCCATTTGTGGGATTGCTGGATCATATGATAGTTCAACTTTTAGATTTTGAGAAACCTCCATACTGTTTTCCATAATGGCTGTACTAATTTACATTCCAGCCACCAGTGTGTAAGAGTTCTCCTTTCTCCACATCCACACCAACTACAGGTGGCTTTTCTAGACTGGACTTTAGGTTGGGACAAAAAGTGTCTTTGAGAGTCAGTAGTCCTAATACTGTCTGTGAATGCTGTGGACTTAGGCAGTTTGTTTAAGCTTGTTTAAACTGGGTCTCTCTTTCCTTAGATATAAATGGAGGGTTAGACTGGATCTTTAAGCTTCTGCCCAGCATTTAATGTTCTGTTTATTGTGGTTCTAGCCTGTGCTTCTTGAATTCCTGATTCTTCCTGAATTCTGCTAAGCATCAGAATGCAGTCTATACATTCTCAACAGCTTCCCAAAGACATGATATTAGTATAACAGAAACAGTAGTAGTCCTTTCTTGGAAAATTATCCCCATTTCTGGACCCTATTTTATTGCTGGCTGCAATTAACAGGTTCTTGTATGTCCCATCCTTCCCTCCTCCATCCCTAACCCACAGGCATTAAAAACCTGCTGTTTGTGAAAATGAACACTTCTTTGATAATCTGGAAGAAGGGGTTCCTGTTACCAGAAAATTTAGCTCTTGAACTCCTGGGACTGGGCTTGAAAGCATAGTACTATTATGCTTCAGATTAAGCAGGGTATAGAGAATAAGGAGTGATCACAAAAATTCTGTCTTGAATAAAGATGATGATAGATATCCCAGGGCCCTCTGTGGTTAGATAGTCTCCATTTCTACCACATTCTGAGGAATTGTGGGTGTTGCGCTTTTTATGTTTCTGGCCTCCCTGCTACTTGCCATTGGTTGGATCACTGGCCAAGAGCTACCGAGAACTACCATTTTGCTTCAAGATTTTTTCAAACAGCAAGGAACTTTTTTATTTTTTAACAGAGAGCTACTGAAGTTTCCTGAGTTATTACAACCCCCTTATCCTTCCTCCTTACTTCCCCTTTCAATAATTCCCTTTCCTCCCTCTTCCCACAGCAGTTCTTTGGCTATTGGGCCTGTTTTCATTGAAATCATCTTCCTGTGGCAGAGGGAAAATGAATAGAGAAGAACAGTTGACTGTGTCCAAGTGATAGCTGCTTGCTTAGGAAAAGCCTGGTCCTTCCCCAGAGGAGTCTGTCCCTATAGGACTTCCCTCCATAATAGCTGTGCTTCCATCAGCTCTAGAGGATGGCTTAGCCCCCTTCGGGGGTACACCGCATTTCACTCTCACTTGGCTCACAGCCATCACCACAGTCCATGCTGTGAGTGCATTGCTGGTTCTGCCCCCGTGCTGTGTGCATCTCTGCTGCTTTAATGCTGGGAAACTCCGTGGTTATGCCCCAACTATCTTGGCAATGTTCTGAATCAGACATAGATAATACCTATTAAAGGTATTAATAGGCCAATAATACCTAGTAAAGAAGAGCTGGGATATACCTCTGCATAGATTAAATCAACTAGAAAACACTAGCCCCCTCCCATTTTCAGACCGATTTTATTTCTTTTAAGTGGGAAAATAGTCGAAGTGGGATGAAGCAGAGCTAGCTTATTCTACTCATTTTATATTTCTGTGGCCTTTTCAACCTCTGTTTAACAGCACTTTATTACTTAGTTTTTTTGTTTTGTTTTGTTTTTTTGGGATGGAATCTCACGTTGTCGCCCAGGTTGGAGTGCAGTGGCATGATCTCGGCTCACTGCAACCTCCACTTCCCGGGTTCAAGCGATTCTCATGTGTTAGCCTCTCAAGTAGCTGGGATTACAGGCACCTGCCACCAGGTCCGGCTAATTTTTGTGTTTTCATTAGAGATGGGGTTTCACCATGTTGGCCAGGCTGGTCTCGAACTCCTCACCTCAGGTGATCTGCCCGCCTCAGCCTCCCAAAGTGCTGGGATTATAGGTGTGAACCACCACGCCCAGCCTCACTTTATTACTTTTAAGAATATGCTTCAAAATAGTTTGTAAAGAAGATTTTAATAGGGAGCACTTATATGAAATATAATAGTGATATATAGTATAGCATAGAGCAGAGTCTTCAGTCTTTGTATCTTTTTCTTTTTTTCTTATGCATATTTAATGTATGTGATTCCCAACCGTTGTGTGATTGTGGTCAGAGCCCTGTCTGTGGGATGCTGGGTAGAATGAGATTGTAGAGAGCACTTTGTTTTCTTGTAATTGAAGGGTTTGGGGTGAGAATATGTGAGTCATAGAAATCTGTATAGTAAATATTACTCTAAAAAGGGAGCCATCAGGATCTGGGAGAATTTGCTAAAGGAAAACTAAGAATGAAAAAAAGGCCAGGTACAGTGGCTCACTCCTGTAATCCCAACACTTTGAGAGGCCAAGGCAGGAGGACCTGAGGCCAGGAGTTCAAGACCAACCTGGCCAACATAGTGAAACCCCGTCTCTACTAAAAATACAAAAATTGGGCCGGGCGCGGTGGTTCACACCTGTAATCCCAGCACTTTGAGAGGCTGTGGCGGGTGAATCACGATATCAGGAGTTCGAGACTAGCCTGACCAACATGGTGAAACCCCGTCTCTACTAAAAATACAAAAATTGGGCCGGGCGCAGTGGCTCACACCTGTAATCCCAGCACTTTGAGAGGCCGTGGCGGGTGGATCACGATATCAGGAGTTCGAGACTAGCCTGACCAACATGGTGAAACCCCGTCTCTACTAAAAATACAAAAATTAGCCAGGCATGGTGACGTGTGCCTGTAATCTCAGCTTCTCAGGAGGCTGAGGCAGGAGAATCACTTGAACCCAGGAGGTGGAAGTTGCAGTGAGCCGAGATCACACCATTGCCCTCTAGCCTGGGTGACACGGGGACTCCGTCTCAAAAAAAAAAAAAAAAAAAATTGGCCAGGTGTGGTGGTACACACCTGTAATCCCAGCTACTTGGGAGGCTGAGGCATGAGAATCGCATGAACACAGACGGCAGAGGTTGCAGTGAGCTGAGATCACACCACTACGCTCCAGCCTCTGTCTCAAAAAAAAAAGGGGGGGAGGGGCGGTGGGGGGAGCGGGAGCCAGTATATAATTCAGTATCTCTCATCTATACATATTAAGGCTTTTGACCATTACCAAATTCTCCCAGCAGCTCTCTGAGAGTACTGTAATTCTGGTTTTGCTGATTAGAAAACCAGATACAAAGAGGTAAAGTCACCTTGTTCTAGGCCACTAGGTGGTAATCTGAGTCAGGACTGGAGACAATGATTTATTTTTAATATCTCATGTAATGTTAATCTCATAACTCAGGGCATAACTCTTTTACCATTTTGGACTATATCATTTCATTCATATGATAAAGACACTGTAGCTTCCCCCTCACCTGCAGCTTCACTTTCTGCAGTTTTAGTTACCTGTGGTCAACCATCGTCCAAAAATATTAACTGGAAAATTCTAGAAATAATCCACTCGTAAGTTTTAAATTGTGCACTATTCTGGGCAGTGTGATGAAATGTCGAGCCATCCTGCTCTGTGTGACCCTGGACAGGAAGCCTCTCTTTGTCCAGCATATCCATGCTGTATGACTCCCGCCCCTTTAGCCACTCAGCAGCCATCTCACTTACCAGATCAACTGTCTTGGTTTCAGGGTGTTTGTGTTCAAGTAACCCTTCCTTTACTTAATAATGGACCCAAAGCCAAGAGCAGTGATGCTGGCATTCTGGGTTTATTTTATTAGTATTGTTGTAAATCTCTTACTTTGCTTAATTTATAAATTAAACATGATCATAAGTACATATCTATAGGGAAAAAATGGTATATATAGGGTTCTGAACCATCCTGCATTTCAGGTATCCACCGTGGGTCTGGAAATGTATCGCCTGTGGAGAAGGGGTGACTACTGTGTATGTAAAAATCACCCTGTGTGAAATGTTATATCCTCCCCTTTCCTCAGTTTAACGTTGTTTTGAAAGAATTTTCTCACATTACTTGAAAACACTTAGGAAACCATTTTTAGTGACTGTAGTATTTTACCAGTTAGATATGCCATGGTTTACTTAACCATGTTCCTAATGTTGGGTACTTATATTGGATCTAAGTTTTGCTGTTATTTGTAGTGCTGCGATGGGTGACTGTGCACAAACCCTTGCCTGTACTTTTGTGTATTTCCCTAAGGATAGATTGCTGCAAAAAAGAACCACTGAGTGTGAGACTGTAAATATTTGGAAGGCTTTCAGTCTATTTCCATATTGCTTTCCTGAAAGATTGAACCAGTTTATACTTCTGTAAGCAACAGTGTTTGAGAAGATCTCTTTACTTTTTTTAACATTGACCTTTGTCATTTCTTAAACTTTACTAGTTATTTTGGTAACCGGCTTGTTTTTATAATTTGAATTTCTTTGCTTCTCAGTGAAATAATAGTTTCTTTTATAGGAGTATTAACCATTTGTTAAGAACCACTATTTTAGTCCAAAAGAAAGGTATATAAGAAGAAAACTGCACAATTCCAGTGGGAAGGACTTGGGGTCAGGGTCCCTGATATGTTGGAAGGTTGAACTTTTTGTTGTTGGTTTTTCCCCTTGCCTTAAAAAGTCCATATTGCTTGAATGTTGCAATCTTGGGCAAGGCCAGCAATTAATCCAAGGGATGATGCCACTGTCTTCTCCTGGTGCTGGTCCTTTCTGACAGAGAACATGGTACTAGGGCTGAGTGCTTGAATGCTTGCACATAGGACCCAGAAGGTGCACATATAACCGGGGGTTCGTTCCTTGAGTGATATCTTTGTGAGATGACATTTTGCTTGTTGGTTGTTTGTTTTATAATGAGGAATCAAAGTGGGTATTCTAGGAAGATCCAGTGTTTCCCTACTCACACTTTGCATTACACACAGTCCAGGGGGTGACTCAGAATCCAGTGCTGTCCTGCCTCTCCCAGTTGGCTGACACCATTTTCTTGACTGGAGCCTTAGTTTTCTAGGCATATATTCTAATGATGGAACATTTTGAAATGCAGATTATTTTTGAGGTTACTGAATTTTTTAATAACACAGCTGCTGTCCCTAAATTGCCATCTTTTATAAGGTCTAGTTGCATTAGAAATAGCTCTCCCAACCCCACTCCCCCAGTGCTCAGAACGCTGAACCCCGTACTACACTTGGAAAAGGATTGGATGTCCTAAAGCATTGGTTATGTAATTGTGGGTTGGCTTTCACCCACTGAGCTTTACTTCCTCCTGTGATCGTGAAATACAAGCTGGCAACAGTAATTAGATCTCAGAAAAGCTTGTCACAAAGCACCACAGACTAGAGAAACTTGTAAGCTCTTTTTGCACTGGCTGAAGTTTTTGAGTACCACTACCTTCCATCTATAGTGTAGTAACCTTAGACAGGTAGTGCTTTTCTTCTGTGCATTAATTTTAATTAAGCAATGACACCTACTTTCTTTTCCACTCTGAGATCTGCATGTAGCTAAACTTATCAGGTGAGTGCTTTCCCATCTTTGATCATTGATACTGCTTGGAATATACCGGAAAAAGAGCAGCAAGCAGAAAATCTCCCATTTCCACAAGCTGCTGACTAACTCAGAATTGCTAGATTTTGTGAAGCAAATGAATGCTATAAAAGAAGTCAGAAAGATCAGGGAAGCTGTCCCTAGGACTTGGTCAGGCCAAACCTTGAAATATCAAGTGATGTTACAGAGGTACAATTATGAGAATATATATAACTCAAGACTTACATATGTGATAAATAGTGCATTGCTCTTTGCCGTCTCCAAAGGATTTTCTTTTTTTTTTTTTTTTGAGACGGAGTCTCACTGTGTCGCCCAGGCTGGAGTGCAGTGGCGCGATCTCCGCTCACTGCAAGCTCTGCCTCCCGGGTTCACGCCATTCTCCTGCCTCAGCCTCCCGAGTAGCTGGGACTACAGGCACCCACCACCACGCCCAGCTAATTTTTTGTATTTTTAGTAGAGACGGGGTTTCACTGTGTTAGCCAGGATGGTCTCGATCTCCTGACCTCGTGATCCACGCGCCTCGGCCTCCCAAAGTGCTGGGATTACAGGCGTGAGCCACCACGCCTGGCCAGGATTTTATTTTTAATTCTCACAGCAATTCTGCAGAGAGAGGTAGTGAGAGGTTTAATGCTTTGTTCAACATAATTTGCTGTTAAATAGCCATTCATTGGCAGAAAATCTGAACTGTTGTGTTTTCCTTCCTGTGTCATTCATGGTTTCAGTCCTGAAGAGGAGCCCACTAGAGCCCAACAGGAGAGGAGAGTGGGAGAATCCCTCACCCAGAAGTTCACAGTGGTATCATTTAGTGACACTCAGGATGTCTCCAGTTATTGTTAGAATTTAAAGTTAGGTTCATCCCTGTGAGGTCCAAGAAAATATAAAAATAAAATAAGGGTCTACTAGTATTAAACATACTCTGTAATCACTTTTGAAAGGAAAGGAGTTAGTGGAAAAAATGGAAGAACCATAGCGAAACTAAAATAAATATATGTAGATATATTGCTGGACGTGGTGGCTCACACCTGTAATCCCAACACTATGGGAAGCTGAGGCAGCCAGATCACTTGAGGTCAGGAGTTCAAGACCAGCCTGGTCAACATGGTGAAACCCCGTCTCTACTAAAAATACAAACATTAGGCCAGGCTCAGTGGCTCACACCTGTAATCCCAGCAGTTTGGGAGGCTGAGGTGGGCGGATCACCTGAGGTCAGGAGTTCGAGACCAGCCTGGCCAACATGCTGAAACCCCATCTCTACTAAAAATGCAAAATTTAGCTGGGCATGGTGGCACATGCCTGTAGTCCCAGCTACAGGGAGGTTGAGCCAGGAGAATCGCTTGAACCCAGGAGGTGGAGGTTGCAGTGAGCCATGATTGTGGCACTACACGCCCGCCTGGGTGACACAGCGAGACTCCATCTCAAAAAAAAAAAAATTACATATATATACACATACACACACACACAAACATTAGCCGGGCATGGTGTTGTGCACCAGTAATCCCAGCTACTCTGGAGGCTGAGGCAGGAGAATCGCTTGAACCCAGGAGGCAGAGGTTGCAGTGAGCCGAGATTGCACCACTGCACTGCAGCTTGGGTGACAGAGCGAGACTCTGTCTCAAAAAATATAGATAGATAGACAATGTTAGATAACTGCATAATTATTATATGTGTGTATTAATATACGAAGCAATCACTTTCAGAAGGAATAGTGTGTTAAAAAAAGGTAATGAAAGATTTTAAAACAAAACACTTCATGAGACAAGAAGTTAGAACAATTACGGCAAACTAAAAGAAAAAGCTAGGAATGAGATCGAATACAGCCAAGTATTTCCTGCAGTTTTAAAACCTCTACTCCCCATTTTGGGTTTCTGGCCACAGATTACGTAATATTTTTCGTTACTTGAACTGGAATTACAAAGATTGATACAGAAGATGGTCCGATAAGTCAATTGGGTCCTGCTCCTTGTATGTCTAGGTCCAAACCAAAATGAGTCAATATTTGGACAAGATATCAGCCATCCAGGGCTTATAGGCAGGTAAAGGAGATGGCCCATTATTACAGGGATTTCAAACCAGGCTTTGTATTCTCTTACCCTGGCACTGCCAATTATATTTATTTATTGGAAAATGATAACCTTAGAGTTAAGCTATATGCTTATAAAAGAGGCACTGCTTATATGGGTTCTATCATGTCCAGGTTTACATTGCCCGTTAGAAAACAGGACACCTGGCTGGGTGCAGCAACTCATGCCTGTAATCCCAGCACTTTGGGAGGCCAAGCGAGTGAGGATCGCTTGAGCCCAGGAGGTCAAGGCAGCAGTGAGCTGTGTTCACACCAGTGCACTAGACACCATCTCAAAAAAAAAAAAAAGTGTTGGGGGGAGAGAGAGAAAGAGAGAGAGAGAGAGAAGAGGAGGGGAGGGGAGGGGATACCTGATCAGACTCCTCTGAAGAGGGAATTGAAAAGTTTGTCACAAGCCCTGAGTTATGCTGATATAACAGAGAATTGTTAGATCAGAGAATCCAAAGTAACCTACTGCGCTTAGCCCTTCAGTCTTTGTCCTAGCTATAGGCCATAAAGTTGAATAGTGCCGGGAATTGTTCTTGACTTAAGAATATAATGGTCAAAAAGGACAGGCAAAGTTGTTTCCCTTCTGGAACTTACACTTTAATGGGGGAGATAGACAATAAGCAAGTAAAAGTAATTGAACAAGGCAATTGCAAATACCACCCTCGGTGAGCTCTTGAAACACAAATTATTTCACCTGCATTCCACAGATACACAGGTGAATGTTTGCCTTGATAAATGCATAAAAGTGACTGAACTTTTGAGGTCCACTGGGCTTTTGTTTGATATTTACTGCTAGTGAATTTTCCAGCCTGCAAATCTCTTAGAACTTCTAAATACATTTTTTTTTCTTTTAGGTTGCAGAGAACACATCTTAGAAGATGAAAAACCTGAATCTATCAGTGACACTACTGACTTGGCTCTACCACCTGAAATGCCGATTTTGATTGATTTCCATGCTCTGAAAGACATCCTTGGGCCCCCGATGTATGAAATGGAGGTGATTCATTCTTTTTATTTCTTTTTGCTCCAGTCAATGAAAGGAACACTTTATTGAGGCCCCAGGGCCGTAGGGCCTGGGCAGGAGGCTGCCCTTTGGGGAAGGAATAGCCTTATTCGACCTTCTTTTTGGGACGCAGGTTGTTGGTGTGGCCGCACTTCTTGCAGCAGTTGACTGCATGGGGGCGCAGGCGAGCACAGCTCTTGTGGCACATCATCTTCTTGCAGTTGTATTTCTGGGCAAGGTGGCAGAGGGAAGGCTCCGTAATGCCACCTCACAGGCACAGCATCAGGCGCAGGGTGGACTCTTTCTGGATGTTGTAGTCTAAGAGTGTGTGGCCATCCTTCAGCTGTTTGCCCTCAAATATCAGACACTGCTGGTCAGGTAAGATGCCCTACCTGTCTTGAATTTTGGCTTTGACATTCTCAGTGGCATCACTGGGCTCGACCTCAAGGGTGATGGTCTGGCCTGTGAGGGTCTTCACAAAGATCCACATCTCAGCGTCTGCAGCTTGGCCAGTCTCACTCCATTCTCATTTTTTTGTTGGTACTCACTGGTGTACTCAGGTGGTTGCTTAACAGAGAAGTAAAATTGGATGTTTCCAGAGGCTGAATTTTGCCTTAAGATGGAAACTTTATTTCTATATGGTATTGTGTTTTAGTGCTTATTGTGATAATATGACTTGCCAGGAGCCAGAGATCCCAGCCATATCCTCTTTTAGAACCCCAGTCTCATTTTATTCTCTACCATTCAGTTCCATTTTAAGGACAATGCCTCTGACTCTTCTTCTTAGAAAAATTACATATTCTTATGTGTACTTTAAGGAGGGATTTCTTTGTGCTATCAAGGGCTTGGGGGAAGAGGCGGGGAATCAACCTGATACAGGTCTGAAAACATGAGCATAGCTTAGCTTCAGACTGTGCTAGTGCAGACCCAGATGACATCTTTCAGGAACCTATTGTTCCATTGTTAATAGTTCCTTTAGGGTTAAACCCACATGCAGGTCTAGCCCTATTTTCATCTTTCTCTCCTAACTGTACCTCACAGCAGAAGGCCTGGGTGCCAAGACCGAGTTGAAGCAGCTGATGGAAATAGATGTTAGACTATAACTGCTAAGGGCATTGTGAAATAATTTATAGGTGCTTAGATGAGCTTTCATAGGTTGGTTACTATAAAAATGTTTGTATTATACTACTGAATTTAGCTTTATCATCACCTCCTTATCAGTTTAAGGAAAAAATATTTTCAGAAAATAAATCTGATAAACTATGTAGAAGATAATCTCTCCATCTAACATTTGAAATCATTACCAGTAGATATGGTTTTCCTCAAGTTCTTACAACTGAGCAGATGAGAAATAGCCCCCAAGCCTGTCTTGTTTATCCATTTAAACTCTAAACTGGTCATTAAAGCTAATGAGCCTCTCTACAGAGCTCTCAGTTACAAGAATAGAACTTGTTTACTCTTGACAGTAAATCTGGACTTGAACAATAGAATCAGAAGCATTGTTTTGATTATTTGAATTCTTAAGATATCATGGATTTGAATTTTGAAGTGTTGAAAGAACTTGAGCAAAACATTGTTGATTGAGAAAGTGAACAAAACCTGCTTTCTCGTTCTGGGAGGATCCAGTGACATTGTGAGTGAAGACGCAAACAGGTTTTGACTCCTGCATGGCCGATGACCTTTTTCTGTAGGCTTACCAGAAAAGTACATTCCAACAGTTCTTTGAGGATTTAAACTAGAGCAGCAAATAAAGACAAAAGATTAATGCATGTCTCTGTTGCATATACCCCTCTCTCCCAGCCATTTCTGCTGATGTTAAGTTTGGAAGCATTGCTGACATTCCTGGAGCATTAGCAAAGAAAGAGCCAAGAGAACAGAAATGAGAAATTTTATAAACACTGCTTACCAGTTATCCTTGTTAGCATGGGAGAACCTTATTTTCCTTGTAGCATGTGAGCTTTAACATAGTAACACTTTTACCAACATGAGTCTGCAGAAAGACTCCAGTAGCCATTTTGTCTTTTATAGATAGCATCTTAGAATGGAAGATGTGGTGTGTCACATGCGTGCGTGCGGAGAGACCACCAAACAGGCTTTGTGTGAGCAACAAGGCTGTTATTTCACCTGGGTACAGGTGAGCTGAGTCCGAAAAGAGAGTCAGCAAAGGGAGATAGGGGTGGGGCCGTTTCATAGGATTTGGGTGGGTAGTGGAAAATTACAGTCAAAGGGGGTTGTTCTCTTGCTGGCAGGGGCGGGGGTCACAAGGTGCTCAGTTGGGGAGCTTCTGAGCCAGGAGAAGGAATTTCACTAGGTTAATCGCTCAGTTAAGGTGGGACAGAAACAAATCACAATGGTGGAATGTCATCAGTTAAGGCAGGAACCAACCATTTTCACTTCTTTTGTGATTCTTCACTTGCTTCAGGCCATCTGGATGTATACATGCAGGTCACAGGGGATATGATGGCTTAGCTTGGGCTCAGAGGCCTGACATCGTGTTTTGAGTGTTGGGAACATTGTGTTCATTTTTTTCATACTTGAAAGTGAGAACTCACCCTGTAGCCGGGTGTCTCTACCTGTAGTGGTCTGATGACCACCAGCCCCAAATTACTTAACCACACAGTCTACCTCTGCTTTTGCATCTATAAAATTAAGATTTATGGAACATTTCTTTCTTGTCCGTGAGGGCTGTCACTGTGCTAGGAGTGTAATTCCATTTTACATACAAGGGAAAAAGTTTGAAGAGATTAAATGAATTGTACAAATTCACGTAAGTGGCAGTTGGTAGAGTTAGGATTCAGACTCAGATCAGCTTATTCCAAGTCCATTATTCTTTCTACCTTTCTACAGTACCCTGTCAGGCCAAAATAATTCCTGCCCTTGTCTGCTAGAAGAGAGTGGCAGTGATGTATGAGAGTTTTTTAAAAAGGCATCTGCTCTACATCAGATTCTCATTCATATTCTTACCAACTCTGTTGCTCTGTTTTGGAATGGGAGAGGCTGGGCTCAACTTGTTGACCACTCCCATTTTTGTATCTCTTGGCTATCAGGCACTGTGTAAGGCCCTCCACAGTGATCATTTAATCCTCAGTCATGGTTGTCTTTCCAATAACAGTTGAGGAAACAGGCTTAGAGTATTTAAATAACTTGAGAGAAGACACAACTTATGCCAGAAATGAGATTTGGTTCTAGACCTGACCAACTCCAAACCTAGTGCTGTTTATTACTCTAGAAAAACATCACAGGCAACCTGAGCAGGGCCTCTGTTCATTGCAGAGAGCTCACAGGTGGACCTGAGCAGGGCGTCTGTTCTTTGCACCTCACAAGTGGCCAGTCTTATTTCTCTACTTCTTTGTGCTTTCCTAGGCAAAGAATCTGAAGAGAGAGGTTATACTAGGAATACTGGAATACATGTTGAGGTGTTCCCAAGATGTTATAAGATACCTTTCATTTGTTTGTTTTTACTTTTTGAGATGAGGTCTCACTCTGTCACCTAGGCTGGATTGCAGTGGCATGATCATAGCTCACTGCAACCTCCACCTCCTGGGCTCCCACTTCAGCCTCCTGAGTAGCTGGGACCACAGGCGTGTGCTACCATACCCAGCTAATTTTCTCTGTATTTTTTTGTAGAGATGGGGTTTCACCATGTTGTCCCAGACTGGTCTCAAACTCCTGAGCTCAAGCCATCCACCTGCCTCAGCCTCCCAAAGTGCTGGAATTATAGGCATGAGCCACCAAACCCAGCCGATACCTTTTTTTTGTCTAAATGCCTGTATTCTCCCTTAGGGTAAATTACAGTCTAGGGTCTGTGGTTTCTTCTAGAAAGAGTTTGATTCATTTAATAAATACCTATTAAGGACCTAACATGTGCTTCTGGCAACACAGTAGTAAACAAGCAAGGTATGATGTCTGCCTTCATGGATCCCACTTTAATGCAGGAAAACAATAGACAAGTAAACAAATAATCACAAATTGAAGTTGATGCTATAGAGAAAACAAACAGGGTGGTACTGAGATAGACAGTAACTACTCTAGCTATATCTGAGGTCTGTTTTAGAGGTAGAAGTAGACATGCTGATGGGAAACATTTGGGGAATGAAGGAAACAGTTATCAAAAGGGACTTACAGGTTTCTGGCCAGAGTGACAGGGCATGTGTAGTAGTGCTGTTTACTGAGATGGGGAAGACTTGGGGAGGGAGATGAGGAGAGAGTGTTGCAAAGAAAACTGAGAGCTCTTTTGAACACATTACAGTTGAAATATCCAGGCTGGGCGCGGTGGCTCATGCCTGTAATCCCAGCACTTTGGGAGGCTGAGGCAGGTGGATTGCTTGAGTCTGGGAGTTCAAGACCAGCCTGGGCGACACGGCAAAATCCCTTCTCTACAAAAAATACAAAAATTAGCTGGGTGTGGTGGCTTATGCCTGTAGTCACAACTACTTGGGAGGCTGAGGTGGGAGGATCACTTGAGCCTGGGAGACGGAGGTTGCAATGAGCCAAGATCACGCCACTGCATTCCAGCCTGGGTGACAGAACAAGACCCTGTCTCAAAAAAATAAAATAAAAGTTAGAAATATCTGTGAGGCATAGAAGTAGAGACATTTGGACATTCAGATCTATTGCTCAGAGGAAATACCCAAGATGGAGATTTTAGAATTATTAGAAAATAGAGGATATTTAGAGCCCCAGATATTGAGGCTTTCACATCACCTAAGAAAAAAGGATACATTTTTAAAAAGCAGGTAGTCTAGAAGCAAGCCCTGAAGAACAGCATTATTTAGGGATCATATAGAGAGAAGAGGAGCCAACAAAGAAGTCGGGAAAAACAGAAAGGGACTGGGAAGGAACAAGCCTTCAGGGAAGAGGAAAACCAGGATGTTGTGCTGCCATAGAGACAGAAGAGGAGAGTATTTCAAGAAAGAGGGGACATCAAAATGTGTTTACTGTTTGAGAGATCAAAAGAAGATCAAGGTCAGAACAAATGTGTATTGGATTTGATGGCATGAAGGTTGTTGGTGACCTTGAAAGAGATTTCACAAGGAAGGAGTGGTGGGGATGGTAGAAATTGGAGTATGTTGAAGAGAGAATGGGAGGCGAGGAAGTAGAATTAGTGTGTAGGCAGCTCTTTAGAAGTTTGGCTGTAAACAATTGCAGAGAAATGAGGCAGCTAGAAGAGAATATGGATGTCAAAGGGAGAATGTTTTCAAAATAGTAGCTGCTGCTGAGAGTAATCCAGTAGAGAGCACAGACTGATGTTGCAGGACAGAGCAGTGGTACGATAGAAACAAAGTCTCCAGGAAAGTGAGAGGGGGTGGGACCCAAAGCACCAGTGAGGAAATGGCTTTTGTTGGGAGAAGGGATACCTTTTGCAGGATATTATGTAGAAAGGGACAAGAATATTGAGTTATTTATAAGGAAAAGATTATAATGATGGGGCTAACGTGTGTGAGCTGCACAAGAGAGGAGTGAAGTTAGGGCAGAGCTGCTGTATGATGGGAATGTGCTGGAGTTCATGGCTTGAGTACAGGCGAGCTAGAAGGATAAGAAATGATGGTCAGGGGTTTCAGAGGTAGCATGGTTTCTGTTGGTGATAAGTACCTGGAAGAGGGTGGCTGAGTTCAGGAGGCATTTAAAGAACTGAGAAGCCAGGTTCTGGGAGAGCATCATGCCTTCACTGAAGACACCCAGGGTGATAGCAGGGGCTGGGGCAGAAAGGAAGGAGCAGAGTTTAGAATCTTCCTGAATGTCAGAGACAGTGAAGAGAGAGTCAGGATGGTAAAGCCAGCTGCCATAAGCAGGGGCTCAGAAGGGTAGAAGAATAAGGCCTGAAAGTTGCAAGGCAGCCTCTTACTGACTAAATTTTAAACTTAGTCTCTTTGAGCTTGATGTCTTCCTCTGATAAATGGTGGTAAGCATGTGCACGTTATCACAGAGTTCAAATTTGGTGAGTCAGTGTACCCACTGCATTGCCCAGTAATACTAAAAAAGAAAAAACAAATACTAATTTCTGCAACTACCATACTCCCTAAAAACAGAGACCTACCCCCAATCACCAAAAAATCCCCATTGTTTTTCTAATCCAAATTTTGTACATATTTAATAACCTTATACCACCACTTACTATTTTTTTACTTTCATCGAAGATGAATCTACAAAAATATATTAATGTCAAAAAATATTACTGACCTAGCAAACTGGCAGTTGGGAAGTAAGGTAAGAAGGCACACTTTTATTAATTAATAATATCTTTTGTATTCCCTAAACAGATTGAAAAATGATGGATTAGTTCATTCTTGCATTCCTATAAAGAAATACCTGAAACCAGGCACAGTGGCTCACGCCTGTAAATCCCAGCGCTTTGGGAGGCCAAGGTGGGCGGATCGCTTGAGTTCGAGACCAACCTGGGCAGCAAAGTGAGACCTGGTCTCTACAAAAAATACAAAATATTACCCGGAAGGCTGAGGTGGGATCCACCTGAGCCCAGAAGGTTGAGGCTGCAGTGAGCTGTGATCACACCATTGCACTCTAGCCTAAGTGACAGAGTGAAAACTCTGTCTCAAAAAAAACAAAGAACCACCTGAGACTGGGTAATTTATAAAGAAAAGAGGTTTAATTGGCTCACGGTTCTGAAGGTTCTAAAGGAAGCATAGCTCCAGCATTAGGCCAGGTGCATTGGCTCACACCTGTAATCCCAGCACTTTGGGAGGCCAAGGGCAGGCGGATCATGAGGTCAGGATTTCGAGACCAGCCTGGCCAATATGGTGAAACCCTGTCTCTACTAAAAATACAAAATTAGCTGGGCGTGGTGGCGCACACCTGTAGTCTCAGCTACTCGAGAGGCCGAGGCAGAAGAATCACTTGAACCCAGGAGGCGGAGGTTGCAATGAGCTGAGATCGTGCCACTGCACTCCAGCTTGGGACACAGAGTGAGACTCCATCTCAAAAATAAATAAATAAATAAATAAATAAATAGGTCCAGCATCAGCTTCTGGGGAGGCCTCAGGAAACTTACAGCCTTGGCAGAAAGTGAAGGGGGAGCCGGCATGTCATGTGGCCAGAGCAGGAGCAAGAGTGCAGGAGGGGAGGTGGCCACATGCTTTTAAACAACCACCTCCCACAAGAACTCACTCACTATTGCGAGGACGACAGTACCAAGGGGATGGGGCTAAACCATTCATGAGAAATTTCCCTCCGTGATCCAGTCACCTCCCACCAGGCCCCACCTCCAGCACTGAGGATTATAGTTCAACATGAGATTTGGTGGAGACACAGATCCAAACCATATCAAATGGGTTCTAGGAACTTAGCCTAGATTTCAGATTTAGGAACAGTATCATAGGTCACCTTTTCAAAATACATAAAGTTTCCTACAGAAACAATATCAATTAAGTGCATGTTTTAAAAATAAAAATAAAGGTTACTACAAAAAAAGTGGGGAGGAGCAGGAGTGGGTGCAGGTGTCCCCAGGAAGCCTAGGCATAGCTCACACTGCATGTGCTATCACGGCAAGACTCAGAACTGCCCCGAATCCGAGGAGGGGCCATGCGAGTAGGTGGGCCTAGGCACCTCCTCAGTCACTGGCTGTGCCCTTTCACTCTGTCACTGGGAGACAGAATCCTGAGTTTTCTGCTTCAGGGAGCCTGCATGGAAAGAGTAGGTCACTGCCGGAAATCAGGCTAGTTTTAGCAAAAGGAACGGACATTAGGCACCTCCAAAGGGACAAAGGACCAATATACCTGGTTGGGGACAGGATTCTGTCATTTGATTATTCCTGACTCATGTTTTCATGAGGTAGTCCCCCACCTCATATAAAAGCCTCAGTGTTGGCTTCTGACCATGGTGTATGAAAAGCCCTTGTCTAAAGGTTACTGCCCTGAGAAAATAATAAAGGAAGAAGAGGATAGACATGAAGACACTTTAAAGCCTCCTGAATAGAATGCATCCAGAAGCGAATTCCAGGAGATTCTGTCATCATGCTTGCCTTTCAAGCAAACAAAATTAGCTGCTAGAACTGAGAAAGAGTGTAAACACCAACTAAATGCCTCAAAGAATCATGGTAGTAAATTACTTCTCCATGTTGCTCCATATAAACCTGCTGTGCCACCTGTTGAAGGCAGCACTGATGCTGCATGTTCAGTCTGGTCCAAGGCCCCAACAGGAATCCGTTGTGCCAAGAAAAGGCCCTACTGGAAGGATTGGAGAGCAGCTGGTTCTCAGCAATGCAAGCATCAGGCCAGGCTGGGGCTGCTTAATGCTGCTTAAGAGATGACAGTGGTGGACCCCAACACCTCTCCAAGGGATGTAGAATCTGCTTTTCCCATTTCTGAATGCTACTGAAACAAATCTACAACTAGAAAAATCAAATATTCATGAATTCAAGACTTGGGATCTCAGTACTAAGACTTTAAAGAAGTTGCCAGATGGATCGCTTCTGTGGTGACAGCCCTGGCAGGAGCATTCAAGTGCTCTATGAGCTACAAAAGAAACCAGTTGATGGTGTGAACACCACTACAGAGCAACCTGCACACCACAGCAATTTGACAGCTCAGGTTCTGTGTCTCATGTGGCACCGTGCTTGTCCTTGGAAAGAAGGCCTACAAAATTCTTCATATCTCCATTCCTTGACATCTGCTGGCAAACTCCCACTCATATTTTAAGACTCAGCCTCTCCTGTGACACCTGTGTCTTCTCTCCAAACAGGGAGGGACGCTTGCCTCTTCAGAGCTCCCCACACTGGAGTATAACTGCTCCTGTGTCTGATGCCCTTAGTCTCAGTGCCAGGAGGTATTCATGCTTATGTCCCCATGGCCTGTAACAGAGCCTGCATCAGGATGCTTGGTAAAGGACTGTTGAATGAATGTCAAATATGGGTCCCTCTGATGGGTCTATACGTGTTGATCTAGGATTGGAAGGGTCACAAAGAGTTGTGCATGCTTACAATTTCAATCAAATATCACTATTTTTAGTTAAGAGGGAAGAGTAGTGTGAAATTGGCAATAATTAGATACTCCAAATGTTCTTTAAAAACTAATAGCATTGATGTATTAAGAATGCAATCAGCCGGGCACAGCAGCTCACACCTGTAATCCCAGCACTTTGGGAGGCTGAGGCAGGTGGATCATGAGGTCAGGAGTTCGAGACCAGCCTGGCCAAGATTGTGAAACCCCCGTCTCTACTAAAAATACAAAAATTAGCCGGGCATGGTGACGCACACCTGTAGTCCCAGCTACTTGGGAGGCTGAGGCAGGAGAATTGCTTGAACCCAGGAGGTGGAGGTTGCAGTGAGCCCAGATCGTGCCATTGCACTCCAGCCTGGGTGACGAGCGAAACTCAGTCTAAAAAAAAAAAGAATGCAATCATACATTAGAAGACACATTCTGTTTTAGATTTTTACTTAAATATTTTAAATACTTCCTTAATCTGCATATTTACCTTATTGATAGATTTCAGAAGAAATTGATCATTTCATGGAACAAGATTTATTAGACACATAAGGAAAGTGAATCATAACAACTGTACAGGTGGGAAATTGAACAACAAAAATGACCCTGAGATACCCACATTCTACTTTGGCATATAGTGGGAAAAACATTCTAGACTTCAAGTCTAGGCCTATCTTGGCTAATGTAACCGATGACTTCACAAACCATTTATGGGACTAGAAGCTGAAAGGAAAGTACTGGTGGATAAACATCATATTGAAATTATGTTGAGTCACTTATTTGCTATAAAACACAAATTGTTTTGTGTAAAGGGGTTAAGATGGCTGGAAAACTGTCTCCACTCAAGAGCAAGAAAGCAGCATGTGTCTTACCCTGTACCTTCATTTTTACTTGTACTTCATAATTTCTGAGGGAGAAATACGTGGAAACCAGATGCTTGATATAGTTTCAGAACACGTCCTTAAAGAATATGACTCCAAGTCTAAGAATTGTAGGTCCTTTGCTTCTTAGATAACTACTGTTAGCCTTGATCACAGAGATTCCAGGTTTAATAACTTCAGTTCTCCCCACTGTGTATATAGATGTTAAGTTACACAGATTTGGCATTATTCCCATTTTCAGGTTAATATCAGAACACTTGTTATCAAGTCAGGATAGTAATTGTGAGCCTAGATGCTCTAGGTTTGGCCATACGTGGTTATCTACACCACCAACTGTTCCAATTAACAATTTACCAGTTGCTTCTACCCAAAGTACCAAGACTCCAGCAAATGGGGAATATTGGAAACTGGCTTGGCTTCTTGAAGCAACATGGTAATCAATAAGAATCTTGGCTGGGCATGGTGGCTCATGCCTGCAGTCCCAGCACTTTAGGAGGCCAAGATGGAAAGATGGGAAGATCGCTCAAGCCCAGGAGTTCAAGACCAGCCTGGGCGACATCGTGAAACCCCATCTCTACAAAAAAATACAAAAATTAGCTGGGTATGGTCGTGGGTGCCTGTAGTCCCAGCTGCTGGGGAGCTGAGGTGGGAGATCACCTGAGCCCAGGAGGCAGTTGCAGTGAGCCAAGATTGCACCACTGCACTCCAGCCTGGGTGACAGAGTGAGACTCTGTCTCAAAACAAACAAAACAACAATCTGGCTGGGCGCGGTCGCTAATGTCTGTAATCCCAACACTTTGGGAGGCTGAGGAGGCAGATCACTTGAGGTCAGGAATTCGAGACCAGCCTGGCCAACATGGTGAAACCCGTCTCTATTAAAAATACAAAAATTAGCCGGGCATGGTGGCACACACCTGTAATCCCAGCTACTTGGGAGGCTGAGGCAAGAGAATTGCTTGAACCAGGAGGCAGAGGTTGCAGTGAGCTGAGATCATGCCTCTGCACTCCAGCCTGAGCTACAGAGCGAGACTCTGTCTCAAAAAAACAAAAAACAAAAACAAGAAGAATCTTACTACTGCTTCTTCGGGGATACTTTTGGTATTATTTTGACAAATGAATTGTGAGGATTCAAATATAAGAAAGGGATTATTCTTGGTAGAGTTAACAAAATTGTACCAAATGACTTTTTGTGTTAAACACGATTCATTCACCCAACCCTAGAAAGGAGCCTGAATGAAGTCTAATTTGGGTGACAGATTCCCACACAAATTAGATGTATGTCATTCAGGTATAGAGAATTGATTTTATATTAGAAAAAACAAACCTTGTAAACAGTTTTATAAATAACTGTTTCATGATTTTCCTTAAGTAGTACTGATCTCTTACATATAGATCGTTTGTGTCTTTCGCCTCAAGTTAGTATAGAACAGGGCAAGTGGCAAAGCTCGAGGAAAGTGTGACCTGAGGTACATGCTGTCAGCTTGATGCTGGAGTTTGGCCTCTCAAATCTCTAACCTGTTAAATGAAGTTAATTAGGATTAATTTTTTTTAATGTATGTTTACTACTGAAAATAAGTGCTCGGCCAGACGCAGAGGCTCACGCCTGTAATCCCAGCACTTTGGGAGGCCGAGGCTGGCAGATCACCTGAAGTCAGGAGTTTGAGACCAGCCTGGCCAACATGGCGAAACACTGTCTCTATTAAAAATACAAAAATTAGCTGGGTGTGGTGATACATGCCTGTAATCCCAGCTACTCGGAGCCTGAGGCAGGAGAACTGCTTGAACCCAGGAGGCGGAGGTTGCATTGAGCCAAGATTGTGCCATTGCACTCCAGCCCAGGCGACAGAGTGAGACTCATGTCTCAAAAAAAAAAAAAAAAAAAAGAGGAAAAGAAGTGCCCAATAGCTTCAATGGATGCCACATAATTTTGGAATAATTTTTACAATCAGGAATTTCATTGTCCAAGCCCCTTAGAAAAAGAAGCAACCCAGCCCCATACCCAGAAAGTCAAGCTGTATAGTGCTGTTCCTTAGTGAGACGGTCAACTCTCAGTAGAAAAATCTCCTGTTTGGATTAGTGCTTAGTTGACCTATTGTGTTCAGTTCCTCTAACATGAGTAACTTCTATTGGATAGGAAATTTTGAAGCTCAAAGGGTGTAATGAGAGTTAACATTACTGATTTTCCACTGTTACTTTTTAGTGTTTTCATAACTTGGATGTGTTAACCTATGGCCCATCAACTATGCTCCTAGTCTCAGGTGACAACATGTTCAATTTAAGATGGCAGGCAGTACAGTGGACCTCTCTCATCCCATGGGAAGGAACCCAGGATGTTTATTATGTAGTATTGTATAGTCTCTGCAGCAGTAATAGAGAAAGTTAAAGGTAAGCGGTGGAGAAGTAAAATCTAGAGTTTCTAATATAACCCTTCTCACTTTTCTTTTCAAAAAAAATAAGAGGGTCTCACCATGTTGCCCACACTGGTCTCTATCGAACTCCTGGGCTCAAGCGATCCTGTCGTCTCAGCCTCCCAAAGTGCTAGGATTACAGGCATGAGCCACTCTGCATGGCCAAGCTCACTCTTCTTAAAGGTCTGCTAGTAAGAGGGTTTCTACTTTTTGAAACAAATTCATGATTACCTAAAATGAAGCTAGGTTATGAAGTATATATAAATATGCAGCCCAATAGGCTGGGTGTGGTGGCTCACACCTGTAATCCCAGCACTTTGGGAGGCTGAGGCAGGCAGATCACTTGAGGTCAGGAGTTTGAGACCAGTCTGGCCAACATGGTGAGACCACATCTCTACAAAAAATACAAAAATTAGCGGGTGTGGTGGCCTGTGTGCGCCCATAGTACCAGCCACTTGGGAGGCAGAGGCAGGAGAATCACTTGAAGCCAGGAGGCAGAGTTTTCAGTGAGCTGAAATTGTGTCACTGTACTTCAAGCCTGGGCAATGGAGTGAGACTGTCTCAAAATATATATATATTTGCAGCCCAATAAAGATACTTAGATAAAACTATTGGGTTTATTCCTTGAAAACTAGGGCATGTGTAGCTAGATCTGGCTCATAAAAAGCAAAGTTATTTACATATATTTTAAGGTAAAATTGCCTCTGATAAATGTCAAAGAGGAAGTTTAGGTCTTTCTTCTGGCAGAAAGCCAGAGAGTAAGTGCTGAATGTGACGCAGAATCATGTTAGGTAACAAGGACTTTGAGGTAAGTGGCTGAAGTCTTCTGTGGAGTCAGCCGACTCTTGCAGGATTGTGTGGTATCAGTCACCTTTAGCATTTGCCAACCCAACTCTGATCATTCTTCTTCTTTCAAGGTATCTCAGCGTTTGAGTCAGCCAGGAGTAGCAATAGGTTTGGCTTGGACTCCCTTAGGTGGAGAAATCATGTTCGTGGAGGCGAGTCGAATGGATGGCGAGGGCCAGTTAACTCTGACCGGCCAGCTCGGGGACGTGATGAAGGAGTCCGCCCACCTCGCTATCAGCTGGCTCCGCAGCAACGCAAAGAAGTACCAGCTGACCAATGGTAGGAGCCTGCACCCGGCCAGGCAGGCGTGACCCAGGAGGCGGTACCTTCCATGGCGGAGACTGGCATGAGCTCGAGACTGCCAGTTACACATCTAGCAAAGTACACACCGTTTTGAACCCCTGTGGAAATCCTAGTTCCCATTTCAGGACTATTTGACTAGTGCCTGAACTAGAAACTAATTCAAAAGGTTTATTTTGTTTTAATACGACTTAGAGTAGAATGGAACTGTTCTTCCACACCCTCACCCAAATTGTACTGTCCACCAATATTTTGAAGAATTCATTTACCCAAAACATTCATTTTTGTTTGTGACTTTTTTTTTAGGAGAAAAAGAAAACAGGTTTAATTTTTCTACATTAAAGTCCCTTTTTCCTTTTTAAAGCTTTTGGAAGTTTTGATCTTCTTGACAACACAGACATCCATCTGCACTTCCCAGCTGGAGCTGTCACAAAAGATGGACCATCTGCTGGAGTTACCATAGTAACCTGTCTCGCCTCACTTTTTAGTGGGCGGCTGGTACGTTCAGATGTAGCCATGACTGGAGAAATTACACTGAGAGGTCTTGTTCTTCCAGTAAGTATGAAAAAACAATTTATATGGTTATTTTTTATTTAATTTTTGAAAATTAATATTATTTTTAAATACGGGTTTGCCTTCTTTCTATGAAAACCTTGGTTTTAAGTATATATTATATTTTTATGCCTGTAACTAATTCATATTTTAAAATTTTGATCAAATAAAAGAAAAACTGACAATTTTTCACATTTTCCTTTTTTTTTTTTTTTTTTTTTTGAAATAGACAGGTCTCACTCTGTTGCCCAGGCTGGAGTGCAGTGGTGTGACTGTAGCTCACTATAGCCACCAAGTCCTGGGCTCAAGCGATCCTCCTGTCTATCTCCCGAATAGCTGGGACTATAGGAGCACGCCACCATGCTCAGCTAATTTATTTTATTTTGCGTAGAGACAGGGTCTCTCTGTGTTGTCCAGGCTTGTCTCAAACTCCAGGTCTCATGCAGTCCTCTCATCTCCACCTCCCAAAGTGCTGGGATTACAGGCGTGAGCCACCACATTCAGCCCACGTTTCCCATTCTAAGATTTGCTAAGGGAAAAAAATATTAGTGTGGTCATCAGAAATATTGGCAGTTACATGAAAATTTGAGGCCTTGTTCTACTTGACAAATTGTTAAAGATATAGCACATGTGCAAAATGGGATAGTAGTTGTTTTTAAGCTTTAAGCCCATTTCTTAAATTTGAAGTTTCTTTGAGACCTCCTGTCCCCCTGCAGAAAACTTTGCTAGTATAGAATGGAAACTCTAATAAAGATTAACCATATCTAATGACTACATTTTGAAAAGGTTCTATACATGTGGGGTCTTGAGGCTCCAGATCCTAAACTGCTTATAAAAATAGTGTGATAAAATGTACAGAACTTGAGAGTATTTAAAGTTGTTAGTTGAGTATTAGTCTACAACAGACTAGACTACAATTTTAGTCCACAACAAGATTTTGGCAGGTTCATAGCAAGATGAGGAAAAAAAAAAAGAAATAGTCTTTTTTTCTTTTTTCTATCGAGATGGAGTCCGGCTCTCTTACCCAGGTTGGAGTACAGTGGCACAATCTTGGCTCACTGCAACCTCTGCCTCCCAAGTTGAAGTGATTCTCCTGCCTCAGTCTCTCAACTAGCTGGGATTACAAGCATGCGCCACCACGCCCGGATAATTTTTTCTATTTTTAGAACCTCCATAGAACAAATGGGTTTTCTACTTGGTCCCCTCTCAGAGCAAATCGTAGCCCAAGTAAAGGCTTCTGCAGCCTCAGGAGAGACAGCCACAGCGGCCTGGGGTACACCTTCAGCTCCAGACCATTACAAGAGGCAGGATGGAAAGCAGCAGCACTTGAAAGAAAGGCCTGTGAAAGCTGGAGAAAACCTCCTTTGAGAACAGAGGACAAGACGGGGCTTTGGGATTTGAAAGTGGTCAAAGAATTATTCAGGAAAAAACTATAGTGAAAAACAATTTGTTGTTAGAACTCCAACATCTAAAAGGAGTTCTAACAAACAGGAAAATGGAATGGAACAAATTATCCAAGAAATAACTGAACATTTCCTAGAAGTTAAGGCATCTTGAGATCGAAAGGACCATTACTAACCAGGAAAAACATTTCATCCCCTTGACTTTTCAGATTACTGAGGATAAAGCGGCCTCAGCACTGACACTGGATGTGCAGTACCTTCAAAACTATGAGGGAAAATGGGCCAGGCGTGGCAGCTGACGTCTGTAATCCCAGCACTTTGGGAGGCTAAACAGGAGGATAGCTCAAGTCCAGGAGTTCAAGACCAGCCTGGGAAATATATCTCTACAAAAATTGTTTTAAAAATAGTAAGGAGGCTGGGTGTGGTGGCTCACGCCTGTAACTCCAACACTTTGGGAGGCCAAGGTGGGCGTATCACTTGAGGTTAGGAGTTTGAGACCAGCCTGGCCAACATGGTGAAACCCTGTCTCTACTAAAAATACAAAAAAATTATCCGGATGTGGTGGCGCATGCCTGTAATCCCAGCTACTCAGGAGGCTGAGGCAGGAGAATCGCTTGAACCTGGGAGGCAGAAAGTTGCAGTGAGCCAAGATTGTGCCACTGCACTCTAGCTTGGGTGACAGAGTAAGACTGTCTCAAAAAAAAAAAAAATAGTAATGAAAGCTGTGAGGGAAAATGTTTTACATCTAGTCTTGTATACATGGCCTTAGTATCAATCAAGTGTGAAAGTAAAATATTTTCAAACATGCAAGGAATCAGTTCATCTTACACTCTTTTGAAGAAGGTACTTTGAAGGAGTACTTCAGCAGCATGAACAAAACCTTGAAAGAAGATGCCAGTGGGGCGGGAAGGCCTGGAGCAGCCAGCCAGTCTTAATTGGAGCAGATGCAACACATTACCCCAAAGCAAGAATACTCCATACTCTTCAAGTTCCTGTGGGCCAGGAATTCAGGAGAGGCTGAGCTGGGTTCTTGTGGCCCAGGGTCTCTGGCCTTACAGTCTAGGTTCCAGCCAGGCTGCAGTCACATGAAGGCTGACAGGCTGGAGAAACTGCTTCCATGGTGGTTGACTCATGTGACTGGCAAATTGGTCCCATCTAGTGGCAGGAGGCCCCAGTTCCTCACCTGATGGACTTGCCCATAGGCTGCTTGAGTGACCTCAGACATTATGACTGGCCACCTCCAGGGCAGGTGATCAAGAGAGATTCAGGCAGCAGCTCTCGTTTTTTGTGACTCAGCCGTGGAGATCATACAGCATCACTCCCACCACACTCTGTTTCTTACCGAGTCACAAAGCCTGGCCCACATTCAAGCAGGGGGACCATTGTAGACATGTTTGAAAGCCACCATAGGAGCCTAGTTTAGGGATACATTTTCTTCATTAACCAGCATGGAGGTTCTGGCTTTAAACCTGTAGAGAGGGAAGTAACCCCAGCACACAGCTAAGCTCTGCAGGAGCGGCGCTCATGGTCAGAATCACGTGCTGCTTTTTCAGATCAACCTAAAGACTAGACGGTTGTGATTACACCTGAATGCCAATTTACTTTGACAGCATTTATAAAAACAATCATTGACAGAAGAGGAACTCATACCTATCAACAATTTAGAATCCCCCTCATCAGAGTCTTTAATATAACACCAATTGAAACATTAAAAAAAGGTTACTACTTATCCTTTTTCCTGGCTTTCCTAGCTCATGCTATAACAAAACGGAAGATGATTTGGATGTTTTAAAATAGTAGTGGTTAAATTCAGTGAAAGAAAGCTGGGTCAGGGTTTCTTTCAGCTTGAGGGTGATCATTAACCCTAAAAACTTTTTTCTCTCCTTACAGGTGGGTGGAATTAAAGACAAAGTGCTGGCGGCACACAGAGCGGGACTGAAGCAAGTCATTATTCCTCGGAGAAATGAAAAAGACCTTGAGGGAATCCCAGGCAACGTACGACAGGATTTAAGTTTTGTCACAGCAAGCTGCCTGGATGAGGTTCTTAATGCAGCTTTTGATGGTGGCTTTACTGTCAAGACCAGACCTGGTCTGTTAAATAGCAAACTGTAGGTCCAAATCTCAATTTTTTAGAATTTTAAGTTATGAAGTGCTCAAAGGTACTGACACAGTTGATTTTATTCACACCATTAGGGGTATGCAAGATGTCCCTGTTTTATAAACATAATCACAACAGTAATAAACCTCAAGTAGTGGCTAGTGTTTAGTATAGAAATATAAGATGTTGATTTAGTAAACTGATAAAAATCGAATTCTTGTCTTTTTAGTGGGATCCTTACTGTCCCTGGAAAGATATAGCATAGTGGTTCTCAGCACAGTCTCCAGAACAGAAGCATCTGTAGTACCTGGTAACTTGTTAGAAATGTACATTCTCAGGCTCCACAGCAGGCCGCCTGAATCAAATCCTGGGAGGTGGGGACAGAAATCTGTGTTTTAAGAAGCCTTCCAGGTAATTCTGCTGCACACTCAAGTTCAGGAACCACCGGTATAGACCATTACCTTAGTGGATTTACCTGTAGAGTTTATTGGATCCTGAAACCAATCAATTACTTAGAACTAGGCAAAGATGAAAGTATAGCCAACTATTCTTGGCTATATATATATATTCAAGTGGGCCGGGCGTGATGGCTCACACCTGTAATTCCAGCACTTTGGGAGGTCGAGGTAGGCAGATCACCGAGCCCAAGAGTTCAAGACAATCCTGGCCAACGGCGAAACTCTGTCTCTACAAAAAATATACAGGCGTGTTAGCATGTGCCTGTAATCCCAGCTTCTTGGGAAGCTGAGGCACAAGAATTGCCTGAACCCAGGAGGTGGAGGTTGCAGTGAGCTGGGATCGCGCCATTGCACTCCAGCCTGGCTGACAGAGCGAGACTGTCTCTAAAAAAAAAAGACTCAAGTGGACCCTACAATGAAGCCTACACATCCCAATAGAAGCCCCTTCTTATGCTGAGGGAAGCAGCCCTCAGAACATGATAGCTTGTATCCAGCAGAGTGGCACGTGCTGGCACACCTCACAGAAGCACCCTGGCCCTGGATGCCTGCAACCTCAGAAGAGTGCAGCTCCCAGAGGGAGGCAGCCATCCATCTGGGATGGTCCTAAGCATGGAATCCTAACTCCTGATTCCGTCTCCTATTTCTTGCTTGGCTACGCCAGTTCCCAAATCTGGTAGATGTCCATGCCCATGTGCTCCTGCTGGGACTCAATTCAGGCTATGTATGACTATGAAGTCAGGCTCATCTGCTTACTGGCTGTGTGAACTTTTTGTATCTTGGTTTTCTTCATCCATGAAATCCAAGTAATACTACCTAATTGTTACTGTGGAGATTAAGTTCAAATGCAATGTATAGTAATATTAAGCAATTTCTAGTTATTATTCTAGCCAGTAATGGACTTCAGAATCTTTTATTACACAATATAAGAATATGTATGTAAAGACATTTTGGAATTTCCTGGATGAGAAGGAAGTCTGGGCTGGGCATGGTGGCTCACGCCTGTAACCCTAGCACTTTAGGAAATCGAGGCGAGTGGATCACTTAAGCTCAGGAGTTCAAGGCCAGCCTGGGCAACATGGCAAAACCCCATTTCTACAAAAAATACAAAAATTAGCTGGGCATGGTGGCACCCGCCTGTAGTCCAGCTACTTGAGGCTGAGATGGGAGGATGAGGGAGGTCGGGGCTGCAGTGAGCCAAGATCACGCCACTGCACTCCAGCACCCTGGGCGACAGAGTGAGACCCTGTCTCAAAAAAAAAAAAAAAAAAAAAGATTGGGCCAAAATACTGTGATAAAATAGCAGGCCTGCTGATAAAAGTTTATCTGAATGCATTGAGAGGAAAAGTCCAGACCTAGGACTAGTTATGGCAGTTGGAGAGAAAGAACATCGGGATGTTTGAAAATATGCCATTGACTATCTTAACTACTGTAATTTTATCATTTCCAACGTCATCTAACTGGGGACTAGAACAAACTGTGAATTCACTTTCAGCAACCAGAGGGCGCTAATCCACACCCACATCGCTCTGCCCTGTTCCACCCAGCAGGGGCAACAAGGATATAACTTGGGGTTCTCGGTATTCTTCCTTTAGTCCTGACACAGGCAGCCTTGCACTTTGTAGCAGCAGGAGGGCACTTGCTTTAAGCATATCTTTCGAAAGGCATCCATTGAGAGAATAATGCATTCTCCCCTTGCTGTGTATGACATGGAACAGTATGACCATTGCACTAGCTTTGTTTTTGGTTTGTTTTGTTTTTTTTTTAATTCCAGGGGTGGGAGGTTGGTTGGTTGAAGTCTAAGCTCTTCCTTTTTCACCTGGGTTTTTTTTTTTTGGGGGGGGTGGGGGGTTAGGGGTGGGGCGGGTGGGGAAGAGCCAAAATTTTAACCATTTTTAAGCATATAATTTGGGGGTATCAGTTACTGGATCTAAGCATGTCCACTCTACACGCTTTTTTTTTTTTTTTTTTTTTTTTTTTTTGAGATGGAGTCTTGCTCTGTTACCCAGGCTGCACTGCAGTGGCATGATCTCGGCTCACTGCAACCTCTGCCTCCCCAGTTCAAGCAATTCTCATGCCTCAGCCTCCCAAGTAGCTGGGACCACAGGTGTGTGCCACCACGCCCAGCTAATTTTTGTATTTTTTAGTAGAGACAGGGTTTCACCATGTTGGCCAGGCTGGTCTCAAACTCCCAACCTCAAATGATCCGGCCACCTTGGCCTCCCAAAATGCTGGCATTACAGGCGTGAGCCACCACACCCGGCTTACATGCATTTTTTATCACCACAAACTGAAACTCTGTACCCACTGAAAAAGAGCTCCAAATTCCACCCTCACCCCAGACCCTGGTAACCACTATTTCACTTTCTTTCTGAATTTCCCTTCATATGAGTGGGATCAAACAAGAGTTGTCCTTTTGTGTTTAGCATTCTTACTTAGCAAGCCATCAACTGCTCGAACAGTCACTGGGGCAACTACTTTTCGCCCAGTGTCCTCCAGAAAAGAAAGATCTGGAGGGTCAGGCCACTCTTTTTCTTCAAAATAATGGGGTGCAGAAGGGTAGGGATGAACCTCTTCCTCCTTTGCCACTTTAGCTTTAGCTCAAAGGAACTCCAACTTTTTATTATTTGCAACAGTTAGCTTTCTTTGTTTCACATCTCTGCCTTGCAGAACCATGACCTATCAAGGTGTTTTGTCAAACAAAAACTAATACTTTCCCTGGGAAAAAGCCATGTGGTAGCAAGTACCAGAAATTTTTATGGCCAAATAATACACCACTATATCCATAGACCGCATTTGGTTTATCCACTCATCTGCTGATTGTTTCCCCCTCTTGGGTATTATGAGTAATGCTATGAACATGGGTGTACACATCTCTCTTGAAGTCCCTTCTTAGGTCCTTTAGGGATACATATCCAGGAGCAGAACTACTAGATCACATATGCTAAGGTCTGAATGTCCCCCCACCAAATTCGTATGTTGAAGCAACCACCAACGTGATAGGTGAGGCTTTAGGAGGTGATTATGTCATGAGAGCTCCATCCTCATTAATGGATTTAGTGCCTTTATAAAGGGGCTCAAGGGAACCAATTACCTCCTTTTTGCCCTTCGATTCCCTTCCACCATATGAGGACACAGCAACAGGCCCCGTCCTAGAAGCTGAGACTGGGCCCTCAATAGATGATACCAGTCTGCCAGCACGCTGATCGTGGGCTTCTCAGTCTTCACAACTATGAGAAATAAATTCGTACTTTTAAATTACCCAGTCTCAGGTATTCTGTTACGGTTAACACAAATGACTAAGACAACAGGATAATTCTGTTTAACTTTTTGAGAACTGCCAAACTTTTCCACCGCAGCTGCACCATTTGACATTCCTTCCAGCAATGCACAAATGTTCCAGTTTCTCCACATCCTTGCCAGCACTCATTTTCTGGGTTTTTTATAATAGCCCTCCAAATGGGTGTGACGTATTTTGATTCTATGTCCCTAATGACTAGTGATGTTGAGCATTTTCTAGCATTGATTTTTAAGATGTTACCCAAAGACCCCTTGTATCAAAATAAGCTGGATTTTTTTATTGAAAATTATTAACTCTAGAAATTTTAGTTTAAACTAGACTTAGGGATATGTGTATTTTACCGGTATTCCACGTTTTATGCATGGGTTTTTAAAACTTCTCAAGTATTAAAACTAAAAGCTTTAGGTGCTTTGCTTATCAAGAAATCCTACACTGTCCACTGGAGACATCCATGTTTTTACTTGGCTCTGCCCCTTTAGTGGTCCCTGTGAACCTTACCTCAAACCATGCATCTGGGGCAGAGATCCTTACTTGCTTGGTGGTTACAAATGCAAATACAGTGAAGAATGTCATCTTTGTGATTGTTCCTGAAATAGTTCACGAGAAATCCATGACCGTAAAGTACTGTGATAGTGATGTCTACCACTGTGAGCTTCCAGTACTAGGTGATTGGTCTGCATTCACAGTGACCAAAATCAGCTATGTGGCCAGGTAATTCACTGCTGAGGGCTTTGGATTTTCCTTTATGAACTACTGAAATGAGGTCAACTTGACTATTACTAAGGGACATTTTGCTACAAAGAATGTTAGTTTTGCCAATTCCCTTTCCAAATCTAAAATTTATTTTAACCAGGATTTTAGATGTAAACATCAAGTAGTTTTGGTTGTTTCAATGAAGTAACATGTTTAAGCTCACATTATTTGAAGTACTTCAGTTCCTATTGCCATGAAAATTGTATCCAGCAGCTAAAAAAAAAAAAAAAAAAAAAGACTACAGTTAGTCATTATCCAATTTGATGATTTATGGTCCAACACTAATGCTCATTTTTTTTGTTTGTTTTACAAACATTTGGTGGATACCACAATGAAAACTGCACTTAAAAAACAAAAATGCTGAAAGAGGAAGGAAATATCAAAAAGGTCTGAATAGACAACAGGCAAATATGGTGAGTGGTCATTGAGATGTTTTAAAAGTTACAGCAAAAGGACTTCTAAAACAATTTTAGGAAAAGCTTTGTCATGAAAATTCATTTCTTTGGAAATACTGTAGTTTGTACTTAATGACACTGTCAGCACATTTCTAGGCAATACAAACTCTTGAGGCTAAATCCTCATCCTGACATGACAGTGCAAGCCTGTCAAAATGTGACCCCAAAACCAGGTGTCCTTTTGCTCCATTATTTATATCTGTAAACCTGTTATTATTTTCAGAATTCAGAAAGGCCTAAGAAAATTACATCTATGATAATAAAGTGTATTTCTTTGTCAAGTTTCTAGAGCTATATAAGGATAGCGAAAATATTTGGTTCAGCAAGACACTGGGGTATCAAGTCAGGCATAATAAGCACTTTATAGCACATCTAGCCTTCCTCATTCCCTTACGCAGTGGACATCATACCCTTTTGTGGAGGAGGGACCAGGCAGAGAAGGTATTTAAATAAAAACTGGTAGATACAGAGTCAGAAGTCAACCCAGGCAGTTAGAATCTACAACCCACACTGTTTGCCACCAAATCTTAGTAGATGCTTGATAAGGAATTTTGTTTGGATGGTGCCATTTTTAGATAAACGTACGTTTCTTTTGGTAAATTCAGGTTAGGATCATAAGCAGTAAACTACCAAATACTCCTTTGTGCTTTGAACATGCACACTGGATGAGTGGGGAGGGGAATGACAAAGCTTCAAACTCCGGGTCTCTGTAACACTCTATCTGTACCTTTCATGTTTAACCTACACAAATACCACAGTCCTGCGTGGTAGTTCACACACACTATTCACCCTGTCGAGTTTCGACATTACTTTTATGTCCATTCTAATGCAGCAGTCACAGACTGACCCCCCAGGTATGTTGGATTTGATCCATTATTTTCTTAATTTGGATTACTTACCAATTCTTCTAATCAGGAGTGTGAATGAAATAGAATTCTACCATTAGTAGAATCACTGCAGATGTTTCTAAATATGAAGAGCTTTTGGGGGTTGGAGGCAGCACACTATTATTTTGGTGAGCTAAGCTATCTACAGCCACTTACATACGTTTGAAGTTTGCAGAAAGGTGGGTCTTAAAATCATACATATTACAATAAAAATTACTCACAAAGGAAAAACTGTTCCCCAAAAATTAACACACCAAACTGGCCCATGATTAAATAGGACAATTTCAAGTTTAAGGGTATAAAAGCAATAGAACAAAGTTAATAAGTATCTCCCATACCTACCCCATGTACAGCCTCCTGAAAGACACCAAAAATAAGAAATGGAGGAAGTCTTCGTTATAACAAGCAATTTCAGGACAAGAGTTATGCCTCATAAATCAAATGTGTAATGGACCAAGAAATATGGCTATAGATCTTACCTCTATAGGCTAAGAATATGAAGACCCAAATGCAAATAGTTAATACTAAAATGTCAAGCTTATTAACTGTTAAACACAAAATGTACTACCTTAATTTGCTTAAATTAGCAAAACATGAGGTGAAAATGAAAATGGAAAACTTCACACAGTTACTGGTGTCCTCTGGAACCTCTCCAGAAAGCAATGATGAAGTGTGTAAAAAATAATCCCAAGAATATAAACAGAAAACATACAGGTATGTTCATGGTTTACTTATATCCAGCAAGAACCTAGGTAAAATTACAGTGAATCCTCAAACTAACAAAAATTATTTTTCCAAGATTATTAAAGTGGTGAAACACTCAGATGACCATGTTGTGTGATGAAAGGCCTACAAGGTAATACATAAAAGGGCTCCCAATATCTTTGAAAATAAACATGTGGCTGGAGCCAGCTGCTCATGCCTGTAATCCCAGCACTTCAGGAGGCCAAGGCAGGAGGATCACTTGAGCCCAAGGGGTTTGAGACCAGCCTGGGCAACATAGCGAGACCCCATCTCCACAAAAAAATTTAATTAGCCAAGCATGATGCCATACACCTGTACTCTCAGCTACGCAGGAGGATGAGATGGGAGGATCACTTGAGCCCAGGAGTTTGAGGCTGCAGTGAACCGATTGCACCATTATACTCCAGCCTGGGTGACAGAGGATGAGCATATGTACATACACATAAAAAAAACTGGAAAAATAAAAATGTCACCTGAGTGGACAGTTAAGATTACACATCTCAATTGTATGTGCAGTTTTATAATTTCCAAAGTCTACATGAACTTTATAATCAAAACACTTAATAGTAAAACTACAAAATGATATACCTCCACGAATATACCCAATATGTTTTGTTTTTTGAGCCAAGAGTCTCAGTCCGTCACCCAGGCTGGAGTGCAGTGATACGATCTTGGCTCACTGCAACCTCCGCTTCCTGGGTTCAAGGGATTCTTCTGCCTCAGCTTCCCTAATAGGGTGTGCCATCATGCCTGGCTTTTTTGTACTTTTAGTAGAGACAGGGTTTCACCATGTTGGTCTCGAACTCCTGACCTTAAGTGATCCGCCCACCTTGGCCTCTCAAAGTGCTGGGATTACAGGTATGAGCCACAGCGTCCAGCCACGTTTATTTTGAAAGATATTGGGAGCCCTTTTACATATTATAATGTAACCCTTTCACCATACAACATTAAATATGGAATAAAAGTCACTTTTTCCAAGCACACATGCTAATGAACAGACTTGAATATAAATCTGTGGTTGAACTGTTGTTCTCTTTCACCATAAAAATGGCTACGCAAGGCCGGGCGCGGTGGCTCACGCCTATAATCCCAGCACTTGGGAGGCAGGCGGATCACAAGGTCAGGAGATTGAGAACATCTTGGCCAACATGGTGAAACCCCGTCTCTACTAAAAATATAAAAATTGGCCGGGCATGGTGGCACGTGCCTGTAGTCCCAGCTACTCTGGAGGCTGAGGAAGGAGAATCGCTTAAACCCAGGAGGCCGAGGTTGCAGTGAGCCGAGATCACGCCACTGCACTCCAGCCTGGGTGACAAGAGTAAAACTCCGTCTCAAAAAAAAAAAGCTCCACAAGCACATTATAACCAGTTCAAAAGATATTTATGTAAGGAAGAGACTACACAATCATCTTTTCTGAAAATGGATAACAGAAATAAACTCTTATCCAAAATTATCCAGAATCAGTGGTGGGATAAGGGTGAAGCCCAAATTTTCATTGACTTTCTAGGCTTACAGTACCCATAAAAACCACACAAAATTCTCTTTCACCATTCAGAAGGCAATTTCAGAATCTTGCCATGTGCCTCAAAGTAATTAGCAACAGTTAACTACATGGTACTGAAGGCATAATGGTAGCTAACATTCGCTGGATGCTGATATGAGCAAAGCACTGTTTCAGGTAACATACCTGTACCCCATTTAAAGGTTTTAAGTATCTACCATAATTTAACCCCACTTTACACATTAGGAAACTGGGGCCCAAGGTCACACAGCTGGTTAGTGGGGTAGAGCCGAGACTGGCACTTAGGTGCCTGGAAGTCTGGTTGCAGAACCAAGGCTCTTAGCCACTAGGCTATGAAATAGTGAATTTATTATATCATTGTGCTTTTTTAAAGAGGTGAAAAGTGGTCAGCATTTTAGTCATTCTCCTGACAGTTGTAAGAATCAAAATGTGGGCAAGAGGGGCAGGGCATGGGAAAGACTAATCCAGAGGCCATATACCCAGTTATTTGCTGTGATTAGAGTTAAGTCTACCGCACTTAAAAATGACAACACACAGCTTTCTGCTATATAATTAAAGTATGGAATGAAACAGGAAAATAACTTCGGATTTTATCAAACTTAGAGCTAAAGCAGACACAGTAAGATTTTTTTAATTTGCCAGATATTCTTTTAATGAGAATTATAAAAGACCAAAAACATTTTTTGCAAACTGCCTTTTTAAACAAATGATTTGCTTTTAATTACAAATACTGTGCATGACGATGCCTTCTTCTGCAAAACCAATAAATACAAGAACAAATTTTAAAATATGTGATTTGTCCAAGATATCTGAAAAAGGAAACAAAAGCCTGATTTGCAGTATTTATAAAAATCAATTTATTCTCTAACCTTTCAAAGATTAAGCTCAAAGGTGTGACTCATCTGTAGAAGACAGAAAGAGAGCACCTTATAGATGCTTTAAATAGCTTTTGATTATTTTTCCGATGTCACCTTTACTTTCTGGAACTCATGGCTTCACAAAATAGCTGATTTTAAAATATTTCTAATGAACTGATTAATGGGGGAAAAGAAAATATTGAACACGTTATAAATTTTTTACCATAAACAAATATGCATATCAAAAGATACTAACTTTAAAATGGTACAAAAAAAGGAAAAACCTGAATTACAGAAAAGTCAAATTTATTTAATGAAAAACTAAAATTAATAAAAATTAGCAAATACACACAAAAAAAGCACACAGCAGCACTATGTATTGACTCACAAAGGGAAAAGCAGTGGCCCATGACCACTCAAGATGGCTTGTCAGTTAAAGGAAAAAAACCCAAACACGCACACACCCACGCAGGCACACACTCCCACGCAAAAACAAACTTTTTCAACAATACAATCAATCTACAACAAACACAAAACTCAGAATTATTTTACAATGCTTCCTTTCTTAATACAAAAGATGCCCATCTTGGGTGTATATACATATATTTTTTCAGTGGTTTACTGTTGACTTATTTTTAAATATATTAGTGTTACTACATGCAACTGTTTCCTGTATTTAACAGCCTTTCTTTTTATTTACCTTCATGTGTCTAGCTTCCACCTACCGAAAGAGTTTTAGGTTGGCAGACAGATGGGTGCCTTATTTTCTGTGAAACTGAAGTTTTAAACACTGGCCAGAAAATGTTTGATTGCCATTTCAACACATGGAAATAGTTACATTGATGCCTAAATTGCCATTTTCTGCAAAAAGCTGTGCAATGCTGGTGTCAAAGACTAGACAGTCGCTATTCATAATGGCTGTTGCAATTCCTTCATGAATAGATCGAGGAGTCGCTTCCCAAGTCAATCGTCGCCTATGACCATTTAGCTCAAGTCGGTAAGCAAAATTTTCAGCTTGCTTGCGTGTTCCTATCAGCTGTACGATTGCGAAGAACTGCTGGTGACCATCGTATTTTTCCTGTTTCTCTAAGACTAACATGAAGTGAAAGCCAAAACAGGACTGCATCATCACCCAGTCAACAGCACCAGGAAGATTAATGTCTGTAGCAAGAAAAACTATATCCTCTCCCTGTAGGGTTGTAATGGACTTATGCTGATGCATCAGATGGGGCATTACAGCATCCAGAGAGCCTTGCCATTTACAGGAAGCACCAGGGCACGGACAGGAATAAGGCCTAAACTCACAGAGCTCTTCATGGTCTGCTTTTTCTGTGTGTGGCAGAGTTATTTCACATCCAGAAGACGCATATTTACAGGGGAAAAGTACTGAATTAGCCACTTTCTCCATAGCCAAGTTGCGAATGGATCCCAAAGGGCCCCGGCAAGTTGGACAACATGTGAGCTTTGGGCGACAGTTGCTACAAACAAGATGGCCACTCTGACATTGAAGAATGGGCGGTAACACATAGTCAAAGCAGACTGGACACTCAAAAAGACTCGCCAAGTCATTGTTGGATGCAGTTGTGCCAGTCAGGGCAGGCACCCTCTGGGATGGTGGACACTTCGAGGTACCGGTAGGTAATGCTGTAGCAGTCTGACGGCTCATTTCTGAAATAAATACATAAGGAGGCAGGAGAAAAATAATTATAACCATGACTTACTTTATAAATAATGTTTACATGCCATAAGTCCTTTTAAAGTTTCATACAAAATTTACTGAGCAAAAGAGGAAGAAAAATAGGATTAAAAAAGATATTAAAAAAATAAAATTACACTGAATGTGCACTTTATTAGGATCTGTACACTGGATAAGCTCTCTTTTCAAAATGTTCCGGAAAACATGTGGAACTCCCTTAATCGTCTTTGGATAGACTACATAGAATAATAAATGCTAAAATAGAAAATGGACCATAAACAACTAAAGAAACTATACAAGGAACTGAAGTTTAATCGAATCCGTTTTGCTAGGACTCTCCCTGAGGCTCCCTTACTCTATTTCTTTCTAATTTGGAGTCAGCTGTTGATAGGTACAGGGAGTTACAGGTGAACTCCTGTATAAAATCGGCACTCTGTATCCACACGGTCTGCATCCGAGGACTTCACCAGCCATGGATTGAAAATATTCAGAAAAATTTATAAAGAATACAAAATTTTTAAAATACAGTCTATAACAACTATTTACATATTGTTTACATTGTATTAAGTAATCCAGAGATCACTTAAATTATACAAGAGAATATGCACATACAAATATGACACCATTTTCTATCAGGGACTTGAGCATCCTCAGGTTTTGGTATGGAGAAGGGGGTCCTAGAACTAATCCGAGGATACCGCGGATTGAATGTAGTTCCAATGCCAAAGAATCAGAGTATCACCTTCCATTAACTCTTCTTAATGGTAAGCAATTATCTACTCTAGAGGTGTATTTTGGAAATGAGGGGAAGGGTCACAAGGGGAAAGGTCTGCTGCCATCCCATTATCCATCTCTATCTAATTAAGTCTTCCCCCCAAATTATCACCAGCCAGGTATTAATCTTATTTCCTACTGATCAGTGCCCACCTCAAGAGTGAGGGGATGTACTCGCTAGTGAAGGTGGCGAAAATATAAAAATAAATAAAAACACAACTAAGGTGAAGTGAGGCATGGGAGAAATGGAGGGCCATCTCAAAACTTTTTAGTCTGGTAGAGAAAGTATATCTTTCTGTTCTACTTTCAATCCACAATATGTGTCAGACATAATGAACAAAGGAGGACAGTCAGGAAGAGACAATGAAAAAGGAAAGAATAAAGATGATAGCACGGCAGAGATATATGCCATACTGGGGGTGGGGGATGGAGTCAACAGGTGAAGAACCCCTTGCAGCCTAGGGTTCTCCAGCGTTGCTGAAAACATTCATCAGCAGAGTAATAAACATTATTTAACAGGTAAATATCATCTGGAAGAAATAATCGACAATGTAACTAGCCAGGCTGAGTCAAAGATAAAACAAGCAACTTTTCCCAGGAAGCTACCTGGGCTGGAAAATGGCAGGCCACTATTTGTCTTGGGGGTGAAAAAAAAGATCAGTCAATGTCCTAAGACTGCACTCCTAGTAACTCTACTAAGCCATAATCTTTTTTTTTTTTTTTTTTTTTTTTTTTTGAGATGGAGTTTTGCTCGTTGCCCAGGCTGGAGTGCAATGGCGCGATCTCGGCTCACTGCAACCTCTGCCTCCCAGGTTCAAGCAATTCTCCTGCCTCAGCCTCCCAAGTAGCTGGGATTACAGGGGCCCGCCACCATGCCCGACTAATTTTTGTATTTTTAGTAGAGACGGGGTTTCACCATGGCTGGTCTCGAACTCCTGACCTCGTGATCCACCCGCCTCGGCCTCCCAAAGTGCTGGGATTACAGGCATGAGCCACTGCGCCCGGCCACTAATCCATATTACAAAATTAAAGCCTCAAAATTAATGTTTTATCTCAATTATAGTCATTCTGTTGCAAGGAACTTTTAAGAAGCAATGTTGGTTACCAATGTGACCAAATAAATGCAACTTAGGTTTAGATTACCCAAGTGGTTACCAACTGATAGCTTAAATGAGGGCTGAGGGTGACGGAAAAAATAAAGATTAATTCCACGTCACTAAACGGGTATTTTAAAGTTCCAGAGGCAACAAAAGTGACAATTCCATCGTAATGTGTCTCATCATATGGACTCAGAACATGAATCAACTCTCAATCTGAAGCCCAGTGTGACCCAGGTATTCTGTCCCCTGACAAAGGACTATAAGGGAGCTCTCCTGTAATCCAGTTTCCCTCTCAGTAGATTCTTTGTACATATGACATCCATTTTATGTCACTTGTAAAACAGTGGGCTCAGCATTGCCAAAACACCCTGGCTGTATGCTGTATGCCTACTGCATGGTCCAGTTTACTTCAGTAAGCAGCGTAACAATTACAAAGTGGTTCCTTGGGCAAAAAACAGTCTAGTCAACCAATGCCTTTCAAATTACTAAATCAAACCAAAGAATCACATCCAAGGGCAGTAAACTCAGTTTATATTTAACACAATATAGCTACGGACCAAGCAAAACACTGTTGTTCACAATTTCTTGACCTAGCAATAGTTATACATTTATCAACAACAGTTCGGGCTCACATTACAATATATCTTTGCCATTTTCCAAACACTACAGAAAGCACATTTTAACTCCTATTCAAAGTGTGAAAAAGAAGCGAAATGTGAACGGTATTTCTTGGGAACGGAGGTATTACAGGACAGCAACTGCTAAAGCCTCTCAAAGCTCCAAGGGTGGAACCCAGCTCCATCTTGAAACAGAAAAGGAATCCCAACCACACAGGCGCCCTGCAGTAGGAACCAAGGACAGCCCTGCAGAAGTCATGACGTAACCTGAAGTTTGATTTAAACAGAAAAAAGAACAGCAGCCCAAATGAAACATGACTGAGAACCTCGGAAACGTCTCGATTCTGCTGCAGCCATTCCCTAAGCCAGGCAGGTTCCACTGACTAATAGCGTTCAAGTTTCACAGCCTCAGCAAACCATCCTCTTAATGTCAATACCTTTTCTCTTCCTTGTCCTGGCCGCTGGTAAACATGTGAACAAGACTCCCCTCCAGGAGTACAGAGAAGGTGGAGTAGCCTTTCCCGTCATGAGAAGTCAGGCCACGCATTGCGTTTCCCCCAAGAAGTAAAGGAACAGGCCCCTCCTGGGCTCTTTCTGCTCCTAAGCACAGAAGACCCAAATTCGCGTCTGAGGTCAGGATCCAAATACCATTTACTTCTCAGAAGCACCAGTTACAGAGGTGGAGAAAGGAAGCCTTTCCATCCCCAGGAGGCAACCACACCTCCCTGTGAGCTCAAATTCGACTGCATCTCCAAAAATGGGAGCCACAGCTGCGCTGTCCTCCAATGTGCCCTAAGCTTTCGTCTGTCTCCCAAGTTTGTTTTCTCCAGATTCACTGGGTAGGGTCCTGCCCAGCTCCAGTGGAGGCCACGGATGCAGGGGGCGACGCGCTGGCTGAGAAGGAAGTGCGCTCCCTGAGCCAGCTCAAGAGTTACTGCAGGAGCCTGCCTGCCGGGAGAGCCATTTGGAGCCTCGGCCGGGGCTGGGCCTGCGTTGGGAACGCCTACTCCAACCCGGGGCGCCAGGGCCAGTTCAGGGCGCGCGGCGCACAGGGCGATGCCCGTCTTGCTCGCGCAAGGGTGGGGCCGTGCCCGCAAGCCCCGCCCCCCAGCCAAAGGCCGGGGGCGTGGGGGAGCCCCCGCCACCCCGCCGTTGACCCCATCCCACCCCAGCGACATCGAACCTTCCTCAGCATTTCCACCAGTTTAAAATTAGGTGGAACCACGCTATTTTCGGTAGGTCAGAACAGTCGAATATCGGCAGTTTCTTATGGTTTCGATCTAAGAGCTACAGCGTATCTGGGAAATGCGTGGCCACACTGGCGCTACGCTCCAGGTTTATCGTGCGAACTCTAAATTTTTAGAGTGAAAACATTCTCCCTAATTCATTCAACGGCTATTTACCGGGCATCAACTACCATATTTCCTCAATTCTAGCTCACTTCATTTCTACTCCTATCAGCACTATATTTTAAACTCTCCTTACCCACTGTGAAAAGACTTTGCAGGAAAAGTAGTAAGCACACTTCTGCCACATTAAACTCCTACTTAAACCTCCTAAGAGATTATACTCTCTTCCCACTCTGGGAAAGCCATCTTAAATGGCCTCATTAAACGCAGAGTAGCTTGTTTTGTTTTTAAACAAGCACTACCCTTGCCCCAATAAAGTCCTGCGCCTCAGATTTGCATTGCATCAGCTAGTGCGTGCAGAGGTTTAACCTGTCATTACATCATGCTTAGGGCAGCCTCAAAATGCAGCAAGAGTTGGCAGTGAGGAGTGAACCCAATGCAAGGAATTGCAGATTACCCACTTTCAGCAGGAAATTTTAACTCTAACCACTTCCTCACTCTATTAAGTGTGTTCAATCACCTCAACCTCGTTTTACAATACAGGCTACACAAAACAGCATTAGGAAAAGAAATATAATTGAAAATAGACACAGTCAGCCCCACAACTACTTTTTTTCCTTTTTTTTGAGACAGGGTCTCACTCTGTTGCCCAGGTCTGAGTGCAGTGGCACAATCTCCACTCACCGCAGCCTCGGTCTTCTGGGCTCGAGCAATCCTCCCACCTCAATCTCCCCAGTAGCTAAGACCACAGGCTGGCACCACCACTCTCGTTAATTTTCTTTGTAAAGATAGGGAGTCCCCATGTTGCCCAGGCTGGTCTCGAACTCCTGGGCTAAAGCCATCAGCCTGCCTTGGCCTCCCAAAGTGCTGAGCCACTGTGCCCAGTCTATATTTTTATTTTCTAATATTTTTTCATTCGACAGGTCTTAAATTTCCCTAGAGAAGAAAATTTCATATAGAGAAACTCTTCCAAACAGAACCAAAATGTATACAACAAAAAGATGACTGATTATTTCTCAAGCAAAAGATATTTCACTGTTTACCAAACTCCAAAAGATCTGTACAGAGCCTTACAGCACACTCTGAAAACCACTGATCTATGGACAGGCCCCTCTACTTAATTAAGTCAGAAAAGTGGAAGCATTCTAGAGTCATCTACACTTGGATTCAGACCCCGGCTCCACCAGTTGTTGAGCTGTAAAACTGGACTGTTTCCAGCCTCAACTGGCTTTTGTCTAGATTGAGATGGGTAATTTATGTGTATCATGGATGGTACATATTCCAGAATATTTAAGTTTTCAGCTGAGACCTGATTTAATTGCCAAGTCATCAATTAGTCACAGACTCAGAATTTGTAGATTCCAAGAAACACACTCCAAAAGATGCCTTAACCTTGCAAAGGTGATCAAACATGTCTGCCAAGAATCAACCACCATTTAATTTTTAGCACAATAAACCTTAATTCTCAACTAGGTAGAATATTTACACTAGTTTTACAAAAAGCTGAAAAGTTCACAGAAGTACCTTAAGACAAGCCCATAGAATCCAAAACTGGCAAAAATCCAAAACTTAGCAAGAATGCACTATTACCTACACTTTCTAAAGCCTACGTCCCAAGCCCAGTTTGGTATATAGTTTAAGTAGATGTCAATCTAAACAAAAACATTTTAGAATCAGCCTTTAATGTTGTCTTAGTAATTTCAGAGCATTCAGCCATTGCTTTACCACCTTAGCATACTTAACAGTAGAAAGATAAACTTTTATTCTCAATTCCACGTGGTAATCTTTGTTTCCTTTTATAAATTACTTATAAAAGTTTAAAATGGAGAAATGTAGTCAGATATGGAAAAAAATCATAATATATTGTAAATGAAGTTACAAATAGAACACAGACGTGAGGGACGGGGTGAGAAACCAAGAGGGCTACAACATCAGACCAATGAATCAGTTACCTATATGAGGATACTGGTGATTTTTAGCTGTATTTTCTCCAAAGGGGACAATAAACTGCTTTATAAAGATTAGTCTGATTAACAACTGTGAAAACAGTCAAAATGAGCAAAAAGTAAAACATGTTTATTCTTAATTTAGTAAAAAACAACAACAACAAAAAACAGCTGGGCGTGGTGGCTCACGCCTGTAATCACAGCACTTTGGGAGGCCAAGGCAGGTGGATCACCTGAGGTCAGGAGTTCAAGACCATCCTGGCCAACATGGTGATACTTTGTCTCTACTAAGTAAATACAAAAATTAGCCGGGCATGGTGGCGTGTGCCTGTAATCCCAGCTACTTGGGAGGCTGAGGCAGAAGAATCACTTGAACCTGGGAGGCGGAGGCTGCAGTGAGCCAAGATCGACTTGAACCCAGGAGGCGGAGGCTGCAGTGAGCCAAGATCGTGCCACTGCATGCACTCCAGCCTGGGCGACAGAGCAAGATTCCATCTCAAAAAAAAAAGAAAGGGTAGGATGCAATTATCACTACCCCATCTCTAGTAAAACAAAAATTATTCTTAGAAACAATAAAATATAAAATAAAATTATAGGTATCAGATTACAAATTTGCTCTTTCCATTAGAAATCTTAATTAAATAAAACTCCTCCATTCAAAACACTTAAGGCTTTTCTTGTTCCCAGAATGCCTTTAGGTTAAAAGGGTATTTTCCAAACTCATTTGACATTGTGGCAGGTATTATGTAGAAAATGTTTTACGTTAAAATGTTAATTAAACATTGCTTCTATTTGAAGACTTACTTGCTTCTTACACAATGACAAAATCAAAGCAAGTCTCTTAAAAATTCAACAAGTTAAAATGCCAAAAGTTAAAAAATCAAACACTGTTATAAGGACAATAAATTAAACAATCTATAGCTTCCAGAACTGTAGCAAAGCAATAAAATGATTTCTTAAAAATTGTATGTTTTTCCTAAAACCTCCATTTTTCCTGAAGATAATTCTGAAAACTTTGCAGCTACAGAAGAAGTTACACTGAATAGGTATAGAAAGATTGATTACTGGAGATGAGGGAAACCCAGGAAAGCTGCTGTCAACAGAAGACAAAGAGGAAAGGCAAATCCCGACTTAAATGTGTTCAAAGCAAAATACAACACTTGCTAAGTCACTTTATTTTGAGGCTTCCACCCAAGCTAAACATTAGATATACATGGAGTTTGGTGGCTCATACCTGTAATCCCAGCACTTTGGGAGGCTGAGGTGGGAGGATCACTTGAGCCCAAGAGTTTGAGACAAGCCTAGGCAATATACTGAGACCTCATCTCCACAAAAAAAATACAAAAAAATTAGCTGGGTGTGGTGGCATCCGCTGTAGAGCCAGCTATTTGGGAGGCTGAGGTGGGAGGCTCATCTGAGCCTGGGATGTAAAGGCTGCAATGAGCTATGTCTGTGCAACAGAGTGAGACCCTGTCTGGGAAAGAATAAATAAAGTGTAAGATCCCCCTAAAACAATGCAAGCCCTTCAACATGCCAATAGTAAAACTTTCCCTTTCCCACTAGGCACAATAAAGATTGTACTAAGCTCCTAACTTTGTCAAAGCAATTAATCAAACCTAACTACACCTGAATCCTTAATTTTGTGGTGTGATCACAATACTTCAAAGAAAGTTTCTGAAAGGATTACGTAAGTGATTAACTCTCCATCTTAGTCTAAGTCTGAAGCTCTTGCATAAATTCCACAGCTTACAATCCTGGTCACAACTCTCTTCTCTAAGAACTAAGTAAGCTATGCCCACTGTCTTCTGCTATTCAATGATGTAAGTGAAAGAAAAGCCTAATGCCATTTTCATTCTCAACCCTTTGCAGATAACCTTCTGATATGCTAAAGCATTTTCCAAAATATATAGGTATCCTCAATCTCCAGCAAGCCAACAGAGACTGATGGCAAGAATGGCCACTCCCTTCCCTTTCCCTTAAGTAGGAAGAGCCACATAAATTCTTATTACATTACTCTTGTAACTCCTTAACCCCTCTATATAAATTTTCATGCTTAATTTTCTCGTCTTTCCTTGGACCTTGGTTGTTGGTTTTGGTCTTGCTGCTAGTCTCAACGGGTTCCAGAGTCAGCAAGCTAAACACAGTTCTTCATTAATGAAGAACTGCCCCAAACACATATTAAGCACCTACTAAGTGCCAGGTAGACTCAATGGTTTACATATGTTCTCATTTAACCTTTCCAATGACCAAAGTTAGACATTTATCCCCACCTTACTTAAGAAAATAGATTTCGGCTGGGCGCGGTGGCTCGTGCCTGTAATCCCAGCACTTTGGGAGGCTGAGGTGGGCGGATCATGAGGTCAGGTTATCGAGACTACAGTGAAACCCCGTCTCTACTAAAAATACAAAAAATTAGCCAGGCGCGGTGGCGGGCGCCTGTAGTCCCAGCTATTCGGGAGACTGAGGCAGGAGAATGGCGTGAATCCGGGAGGCGGAGCTCGAAGTGAGCCCAGATCACGACACTGCCCTCCAGCCTGGGCGACAGAGCAAGACTCCATCTCAAAAAAAAAAAAAACAAATTTCAAGGACAGGCATGGTGACTCACACCTGTAATCCCAACAACTTTGGGAAGCCAAGGCTGGCGGGATCGCTTGAGGTCAGGAGTTTGAGATCAGCCTGGCCAACGTGGTAAAAAGTTGTCTCTACTAAAAATACAAAAATTAGCTGGGTGTGGTGGCAGGTGCCTGTAATCCCAGCTACTACGGAAGCTGAGGCATAAGAATCGCTTGAACCCGGGAGGGGGAGGTTGCAGTGAGCCAAGATCGTGCCATTGCACTCCAGTCTGGGCAACAAGAGTGAAATTCCATCTCAAAAAAAAAAAAAAAAAAAGTAAGAGCAAGCTGGCACATGCCTGTAGTCTCAGCTACTCAAGAGGCTGAAGAGGGAGGATCAGGTGAGCCCAAGAGGCTGTACTGCACCATGATTGTGTCTGTGAATAGCTACTGCACTCCAGCCTGGGCAATACAGTGCCTTGAAATAAATACGAGCACAGCCAGATGTTTTGTTGTCTCTAATCTCATCTTCTTTTGAATAACCCTAAAAAAATCATGTATGTTCTCCTTACTTACCCTGGTATGGAATATTTAATTTGGCATTCAAAACATCTTTTCCATATTTACAAAAATGTGTCAAGAAAATAAACTTCCTAAAGTCTTTAAATTAAACCTTTACTTTCCATCAAAGTGATAGAATCACATATTCTAAGTCTGCCATTAAGTCATTAGATATGAAATCAAAGCAAAGTATGTATCATGGAGAGGAAAGAGCAGAGAAGAGCAACAGAACCAGGCAGAGGGCCAAACAGGCTTTTTCAACTTTTTATTTCATACCACACATTACTAAAATTTTTAAATAACCTTAAAACTTTTTAGCAACACACTTGAAATTAAAATTATTGAAACATCAGTCTTGATTACAAACTAATCTGCAATATAACCAAGTCTCAGTGTCTATATAAAAACATTCAAATACTATTTACCTAGTTATCTGAATACAGCCATTTACTACCTTATGTTTTATATTCTCTCAGGATACAAAATTCTCACATTCCAGTGCAAGCTTGCTCTTTTACTCCATCTTGGCATTTAAGCTGTGCTTTTTAAAACCTTACTTATAAAATTCATGGTACCTAGTTCTACACTCTACCATATAATTCATTCAACTTCACATTACATCTGACAAATCTGGTAGGTAAGTATGTATACACACACACACACACAGAGAAAAAAATTTTACAGCAGATCAAAATTAGCAGTAATCTATATTTGGGATACTAAACTAAGCATAAAAGAGCATATTGCTAGGAAGACTAAAGAAATTAAAGAAACAGGGTAAAAAGTCACATTAGTGAGTCTGATATATTTTGATTGATGGCTCTTTACTAGTAAAATAGAAAAAAGTAATGGAATTTATAGGAAAGAAATGCCATCTTTTAAAAAATCATGGAGCCTTATTAAAATTCAATTATATTCAGCTGAAATAGTTACAATCTATGTTGACATAAGCAGTACCACCTGAAACTCCAGGCAAACCATTTTAGTTATTTCAACTAAGGATGTAACAGAAGAATTAACCTATATTAATTTCCCTCAAACTAAGATTCTGTTCACAAGGAGTTCACATTTCTCTAAAAATTTAATATTTTACTTTCATGTTTTTAATAGTCTAAAAAACAGTATCAACACATTCTGAATCATCTGAATACACCTGTTAGCCATGTAATTAAATGCCTCTATTCATATTTATGGCCACACTGGCTCTAAGTTGGTCCTATTTTCTCTACGCAAGCTAGAGAAAAGCTGAGGTCGATCTAATAACATAAATAATTCATTTGTGTGAAGCAAAGCCTAAATGCCATCATGGTTTCCACTAAAGCACTTGTATGTCAGTGAAAAAATTAAGATTTCATACGACCACATGATACAGGGCAATTAAGGTATGCTTAACTCAAAAAGAACCTGCCCGGTAACAGTCAATTTCATAACCGTAAGTCAATCCCATAAGTGCAGTTTTAAGACTAAAATTCAGCCTGACAGTATCCAATATTTTAGTGAATCAGTAATTTGAATTTCAATGGTTCTGTGGTTTTGTTTGTATTTAAATTGCAAGTTTTGAACTGTCAGCAACACCTAACAGAGTTGACGGATCACTGGGCTCCTGCCTAATAAACTCTGTTCACCGACTTCACATACTCTTGGTTTTCCTATCTCAGTCACTCCTCAGCTTCCTTTTATTCCTGCTCTTCTCCCCCAAATTATTGAAATTGTAGCTGCCTATAAATTACTGTAATCTCTTCCAAACCAGTCTCTCTGTTTCCATCCTTGTCTCCCACCCTTACACCCTAAGATGTTCTTTTCTTATGTACACTGGTACTTTGGTGATCTCATTCAGTCTCCTAGTTTTAAATTCCATCAACATGCTAAGGATTTCAAAATTTTCATCTCCAGCCCAGATTTTAAAAATAAACACAATGCTCCAGATTTGTCTGAAACCCCAGATTTGTAAATCCAATTGCCCCTTCAGGGGGATGGCCAAAGAGAAACTCCTTATCACCTCCCAAAGTCTCTCCACTCAGAGTCTTCCTTTTTTCAATTAATAGAGACTCCATCCTTCCAGTGACTCAGGTCAAGCGCCTTCGAGTCAGCCTTGATTCTTCTCTTTCACAACATACATCTAAAACAGTCAGGAAATCTTATTATACCTCCCTTCAAAATGTATTCAGAATCCAACCATTCCTCCCTACCTCTACCACTACCATCTAGTCCAAGCCACCAGTATCTCTCATCTGGATTACCACAATATCCTCCCAACCAGTCTCATTGTTCCCAGCTATGTCTCCCACCCTCACCACCTAATATGTTCTGAGCACAGCAATTAGATTAATTAATCCAGCTCCGTTTTATATCAGATGACATAAATCTCTGCTCTACACCCTCCGCTGGCTACCCATGTTAGAGTAAAAGCTGAAATCCTAAAAATAGCCCACAAGGGGCCATTATGTATAAGGATACAGTATGGTGCTGTGTTCCCATTACTCTCTGACTTCATCTCCTACTTTGTTCCCCTTTACTCACTGCACTGACTTCCTTGTTCAATGGCAATGCTAGGTTGCTCCTTTGGGCCTGTGTCTTAAAATACTTTTCTCCTGAATATCCATGTGGCTAACTCCCTAACTTTCAAATCTTTACTTGTTACATTCAATGACACTCACTCAGACCCTCTATTTAAAATAGTAAGCGGCACCCTGCCCACTGCCCCTCTGTGTACTCCTAAATCTTTGGCCCATCTCACGCCTCCTACTCTTTTCCCAGCAAAGAATGTATTATCTTCTAACAGACTACATAATTCACTTATTATTTTTTATTTGTTGTTATAGGCGCCCACTGTCCTCAATTGGAAGGTAGGATTTTTGTCTGGCTCAATTATGTATCCCAAAAACTTAATACAGTGCCTGGCACATAGTACAGACTCCAATAAATATTTTTTGGATGAATAAATACATCAGAAAACAAGAACTTTGGACTTTCAGGCAGCAACATCCAAAGTCAGAAAGCAACAGAACAATGCTTTTAAAATTCTCAAAGAAAATTATGCCCTAGAATTCTATACCCAACTATCTCGAAAGTGTTGAGGGCAGAATGATGATGCAGTTTCAAAATACTACCTCCCCTGGATATGTTCTTAGGAAGCTCCTGGAAGATAAGCTCTTCAAATACAAGGGAAATAACCAAGAAAAAGAACGGGGTTACAATAAACAGAAGACTGCATCTAGGAGAAAGGTAAAGAAACTACTGAAGATAATGACAACTTTATGCTAGAAGAGGGCAACTGAAGGCATCCAAACAACCTGATGGAACATTTAGACAAGCGGCAAGGAATGTGAGGTAGCATTAGCAGTAAGCACAGAAGAAAACAAAGCCAAAATAGGAAGGAAGAAAAAAGATATTACCTACAAAAATAAAAACTAAAAAATGCAGAGAAAGAAGTAATCAGTTTATTACATGGCTCAAACTGAATAACTTTGACAGTCAGGATAAGCAAATAAAAAACTGCAGTGTTACTAACTAAATTAGGAATGTAGGAATGAGAAGGGTATGCACATGTGATGGGGGCAAGAAGAGTTAAAGTCACAAACGGAAATCAACAAAGAAAGCCAAAAACTGAAATCTAGAAACAATAGAGGCGTGTTATTTAAAGACAAAGATAAATGCAAAAATAATCAGCTAAAAGAGGTCAAAGTGGTGGCTACGGCAAGATAATTACTTGAACCCGGGCACGGAGGTTGCAGTGAGCCAAGATGGTGCCACTGAACTCCAGCTAGGGCGACACAGTGAGACTCTAAAAAGTCTATCCTCTAATGTTGGCAAAGGAGTGAGTGTGTATGGATGCCTGTTTGTAATAGTAAACTGAAAACAGCCCTATCCTAAGAAAGTGGTTAAATTATGGTCCACACAACAGAATACTGTGTGCTGCCTTCTTTAAATAAAATGGACTCATACATCAGACTTACTAACATGTAAGAATCAACTGTTTAAACGGGGTGGGGGGAGAGAGGCGAGGAGCAGTAGCTCACGCCTGTAATCCCAGCAACTTTGGGAGGCTGAGACAGGTGGATCACTTGAGGTCAGGAGTTGGAGACCAGCCTGGCCAACATGGTGAAACTGTTTCTACTAAAAATACAAAAATTATCCAGGCATGGTGGTGGGCACCTGTAATCCCAGCTACTAGGGAGGCTGAGGCAAGAGAATTGCTTGAACGCAGGAGTTAGAGGGTATAGTGAGATGAGATCAGGCCAACTGCACTCCAGCCCGGGCGACAGAGCGAGACTCCGTCTCAAAAAAAAACAAAAAACAAAAAACAAATTGGGGGGAGAAAAAAAGCTACAGAATATACAGATTACAATTTCATTTAGGTTAAAAGAAAAAAATAGGTAAGTATAATAGATATGCACATTGATGTATATATTTTCATGTATGTATGCATGTATGTAGCATGTAATGAAACAGAAAAGAAACTGGAAGGACATCCAAACTGCAGAATGTAGTTTAATGGTTTAAGATGCAGGATCAGACAAAGGGAGAGCAAGCCTGGAATTAGAAACCAGAGAGAGATGGGACCACTGAACTACAGGCACACAAAGCATCAAGAACTCCAAGAAACAGAGACTGTCGGCACAAATTCCATCGTTTGAAATTACAGTACACAGTTCAAACATATATAGTTCTTAGAGATGATAATCATGAGAACTACAAGAATTTAGGTCAGATCAAAGAAACTAACTTTAAAATATCTTTGGCTGAGTAAAACAAAAAAATGTGAAGCACACCCAGACTACACCAAAATGTCTATGATGGTTACTTTTTAGTAATCAGATTATAAATAATAGTTTGGGGGTGAGGAGGGATTTCGGTATCTCTCCAATGTTTCATAAAATTATTGGCAACAAAAAATATTACACTTAAAAATTTTAATGCACATTTTATCATATCTCCACATTTTCTGTTAATGAATTGCTAGTAACTTCTACAGAACATCAAATACAGAATTCAAGAGCTGATTTTCTCCTTGCTTTCACTTTTTTTCTCAAAATTCCTCAAATAGATGGATACTTACAGGAAACTTAAAACCAGCCTATTCACAAAAAACTACATATTTTGTAGACATTTTATTTTATACTATAAAAAAAAATCTTATTTATTTTTTCTTGAGACAGAGTCTCGCTCTGTCGCCCAGGCTGGAGTGCAGTGGTGCAATCTCAGCTCACTGCAACCTCCACCTCCCAGGTTCAAGCAATTCTCCCGTCTCAGCCTCCCAAGTAGCTGGGATTACTGGCGCCCGGCACTACACCCGGCTGAAAATATCTTAAACATTTTAAAAGTTAACAAAATTTATGATAGCCCCCCTCCCCTCACAAACTCAAAAGAATACAGTCTGCAAAAATTAACTAACGTCTGTATAGACAAGATATCCGAAGTTGTTCTAATAAAGCTAAATCAGGGCCCTTGACAAGTTTTTAGAAGTAAAGCTACCTTACCCAACAAGCCTGAGTTCTGGCCAAATTCAAAAGGGCAAAATTTAATGTGAAATACAAAGGAAGGAAACCAGGAAGAAGTTTTTAACAGGGAGAGGATTACTTCATTTTGTCAAATAAATTATTGAAGTAATCTTTCCAAGGTAGAGTCTTTGCAGAGAAGCTAGTATACACTTATATTTACTGTATCAACCATCACTAGACCAAGGTGGTCGATGTGACACTAATAAATAACTATACCAAGTACGCTGAAATATTTTCTACAAAATTCAAGACTGGCATTAAACTCCTTAAGAAAATATTTCTCACTGGCAAGATCTGTTTTATAAATATAATTAGTTCTCCAAAGGTTTTTCTCTTTCTAGTTTATTCCATGTGCCCGGACTCCCTGTTCAAAACAAAAACGAATAAGCAAAAAAAACCAAAAACAAAACAAAACAAAAAAAACAAGTCAGTTCAAACATGACTGGGCAACCACAAACCTAATGGAAGGTTTCTGCCAGCTTTATTCTGGTCATATCTTGTCTGTAACATTAAACCTAAAGTTCTGGAAGACTTTTTTTTTTTTTTTTTTTGAGACAGAGTCTTGTTCTGTTGCCCAGGCTGGGTGCAGTGGCACCATCTCGGCTCACTGCAACCTACACCTCCCGGGTTAAGTGATTCTCCTGCCTCAGCCTCCGAGTAGCTGGAATTACAGGGGGATGACACCATGCCCAGCTAATTTTTTTATTTTTAGTAGAGACAAGGACAGGGCTTCACCATGTTGGCCAGGCTAGTCTTGAACTCCTGACCTCAAGTGATCCACCAGCCTCGGCCTCCCCAAAGTGCTGGGATTACAGGCGTGAGCCGCCACGCTGAGCCTCCTGAAGATTTAAGGAAAAAAAAAATCGTTCTAGAAATACTGGTCAGAAAGTATTTGAGATGGTCAGGGAAAAGAATAAGACTTAAAAAACAAAAGAAGGGCCAGGTGTGGCAGCTCACACCTGTAATCCCAACAATCTGGGAGGCCGAGGCGGCAGGATTGCTAAAGCCTTTGAGTTTGAGACCAGCCTGGACAACATAGTGAGATCTCGTCTCTAATAAAAATAAAAATTATAATAAAATAAAATAAGAAGTACTGGGACACATGGCTATTCAGCTGGTAACTTTGTCATGGATAAGCAAATAATACTCCTTAATCACACAAAAAAACATAATGTTGAGTGAAAGAAGCCAAACAGAAATGAAAGAGTACAGGCCGGGCGCAGTGGCTCACGCCTGTAATCCTAGCACTTTGGGAGGCCAAGGCAGGCAGATCACCTGAGGTTGGGAGTTCAAGACCAGCCTGACCAACATGGAGAAACCCCATCTCTACTAAAAACACAAAAAATTAGCCAAGTGTGGTGGTGCATGCCTGTAATCCCAGCTACTCGAGAGGCTGAGGCAGGAGAATCGCTTGAACCCGGGAGGTGGAGGTTGCCGTGAGCCAAGACTGTGCCATTGCACTCCAGCCTGGGCAACAAGAGTGAAACTTTGTCACAAAACAACAACAACAACAACAAAAGAATGAAAGAGTACAAACTCTACTGTTCCATTCATATAAGGCACAAAATTAGGCAAAATAAATCTATGGTGTAAAAAGTCAAGAGGTGGTTTCCTGTGAAGGGGGCGGCTCCTTGTTTCTTCGATCTGGGAGGTGGTTACAATAGCGTTCCTTTTGTGAAAATGTCAAGCTGTACACATGATTTGAGCACTTTTTCCATATGTATTTAGGCTAAATGTCAACAAAATAGTTTACATTTAGAAAATAAAAGTCCTAATATTGCTCTAGGTATTCTCCTAGAATCTCCTTGAACAACAGCCAGATGCTAATATCAGCTAACACTTCACAGCATCTCTCCTCTCTTTCCCTCTGCACAGTTCTTCAACCTGTCTCTCTCTACTACCCATTTGCTCCAGCAACACTCCTCAGGTCCTAGAGCAGTCCAAATTCATCCCTACTTCATGGGGCCTTTATCTGGCTGCATCTTCCATCTAAGATGTACTCCTTCCCCCTTCAAAGGGCGAGCTCCTTATCCTTGGACACCAGGTCTCCCTTCCACCCCACTGGTCTCTTCAGCACTTTGACTCCTTTACAGTACACTTCACAATTTGTAATTCTGTTTCTTTCTTTCCTCACTAGAAGGTAAGTGGTAATATTTAGAGAAGTAACTTACTCAACAACTAATCTTTTTACAACACTTGCTGTGTTAGGCAATGTGCTTTTAGATGCAAAGTAGGCAGTGTCTCTGCTCTCATGGAACTTAAAGTCACAAACACAACTAATAAGTGATAGAGCCAAGAGACACATCCAGATCTGACTCTTAAGGGCTTGTCCTCTTAGCCACTTAATTATACTGACACTCTAGCATTAGGACATGGGGGCTGGGGGGGCGAGGGGAAGGCAGGGAACAGCAATATACTTAATAACTGTTCATGTACTAATAGAACTAAGGCTTAGAGAGGTTCAGTAATCTACCCAAAGTAGCACAAATAGACATTTCAGAGGCTAAATACAATCATGACCAAAGGCACAGAGATGCTAAAGCAGTGTTCAAGGAACAAAAGAACCCAGTTGGCCTAGGTAGGGCAAAGGGGAAACACAGGCAATAAGGCTAGAGAAGTTTGTAAGAAACACTATGCCTTGGTAAAAACAAAACACAACGAAAAGGCTAGAAGAGTTTAATAAGGACAGTGTGGAGTCAGTCGCTCAATAACTTTTTACTGAGCACCACCTATGTTCCAGAAAGAGTCCTAAACTCTTGAGACACAAGGATGACCAAGTCGTCATAGAGATTACAGTCTATCTGGGGAGGCATACAACTAAAGAAAAATTATAATTCAGGAGGATATGTTACAGTGGGACCGAGCAGAGTGCTATGGGAACACAGAGATGACATCCAATTCAATGTGCAGAGTTCACAAAGAGCTTCTCAGCTAGTGATGTCCAGGCTGAGATAAGAGAGCTTAATAGGATGAGAGGGGCTTGCAAGTAAAGTCCAAAATGGCAGGGGAGTAACAAGAGAGGCCAGCTCAGGAGAGGCTATGTACTTACGAACCATATCAAGAACTTAGAACTTTACACTGAAAGCCTTTTAAGTCAGGTTCACCTATTAGAAAGCTCACTTAAACTGCAGTAGGAAAACTGACTGTAAGGCTGGAGACCAAAAGGAGATCTCTTAAAGGTAGAAGGAAATGAATGTAAATGTGAAGAAGAGAGGCAATGCCAGCTTTGAGATAGAGAACAGAAAAAATATCTGCAAAAGACGTATCTAAAAAAGAACTGTTATCCAAAATATGCAAACCTGGCCGAACACGGTGGCTCACGCCTGTAATCCCAGCACTTTGGGAGGCTGAGGCAGGCAGATCACTTGAGGCCAGGAGTTCACCAGGCTGGCCAACATGGCGAAACCCCGTCTCTACTAAATATACAAAAATTAGCCGAGCACGGTGGGCTCGTTCCTCTAATCTCAGCTACTCAGGAGCTACTCAGCAGGCTGAGCACGAGAACAACTGCTTGAGCCTGGGAGGCGGAGGTTGCAGTTAGCTGAGTTGGCGCCACCGCACTCCAGTCTGGACAAGAGTAAGACTCTGTCTCCAAAAAAACAAACAAAAAAAAAACAAAAACTCACCAATAACAAAACAACCCAACCTAAAAAAAAGAGTCAAAAAGACCTTAACTAACTCCCCACCAAAGAGATATACAGATAACAACTAGCATATGAAATGATGCTCCACATCACATGTCATCACGGAAATGCAAATTTAAAACAGTAAGATACCACTACAGGCCAGGCGCAGTGGCCCACGCCTGTAATCCCACCACTTTGGGAGGCCGAGGTGGGCGAATCACTTGAGGTCAGGAGTTCGAGACTGACCTGGCCAGCATGGCAAAACCCCGTCTCTACTAAAAGTAAAAAGAAAAATTAGCCGGGCGTGGTGGTGTATGCCTCTAATCCCAGCTACTCAGGAGGCTGAGGCAGGAGAAATCACTTGAACCTGGGATGTGGAGGTTGCAATGAGCCGAGATCACGCCATTGCACTCCAGCCTGGGCGACAGAGTGAGACTCCGTCTCAAAAAAAAAAAAAAAAAGAACGGCTAAAATCCAGAACAGTGGTAGCTCCAAATCCGGCCGAGGATACAGAGCAACAGGAACGCTCATTCATTGCTTGTAGGAATGCAAAATGGTACAGCCAATCTGGAAGACAGTTTGGCAATTTCTTACAAAACTAAAGATACTCTTCACTTTGGGAGGCTAAGACAGGCAGATCACCTGAGGTCAGGAGATCAAGACCAGCCTGGCCGACATGTTGAAACCCTGCCTCTACTAAAAATCCAAAAATTAGCTGGGCGTCATGGCAGGCGCCTGTAATCCCAGCTACTCAGGAGACTGAGGCACGAGAATCACTTGAACCCAGGAGGTGGAAGTTGCAGTGAGCTGAGATTGTGCCACTGTACTCCACCCCAGGGCACAGAGTGAGACTGTCTCAAAAAAACAGCAGCAAAACAACTAAACTCTTACTATCTGATCCAGCAATCACATTCCTTGGCATTTACCCAAAGGAGTTACAAACTCATGGCCACACAAAAACCTGCAAATGGACGTTTACAGCAGCTTTATTCAGAATTGCCAAGACTTCGAAGCCAACCAAGACATCCTTCAGTAGGTGAATGGATAAACCAACTGTGGTACATCTAGACAACAGATTATTATGCAGCCCTAAAGAAATGAATTACCAAGCCATAAAGACGTGGAGGAAACCTAAATGCATATTACTAAGTGAAAGAAGCCAATGTGAAAAGGCTACATATTTTAAAAGCCCAGTTACACATATGACATTCTGGAAAAGGCAAAACTATGGTGACAATAAAAGAAAGAAGATAAGTGGTTGGGGGTGTGGGGACAAATAGGTGGAAGTCAGAGGATTTCTAGGGTGGTGAAAGCATTCATGTATGTCATTATGTATTTGTCTAAACCCATAAAATGTACGCCACTATAATCTTTGGGTAATAATGGTGTGTCAATGTAGGTTCCTCAATTGTAACAAACGTACCACTTTGGCGGGGAATGTTGATAATGGAGGAGGTTACACGTGTAGGGGCAGGGGCTACACGCGAAATCTCTTGTCTCTTCTACTCAAGTTGCTATGAACCTAATGCTGCTCTAAAAAATAAAGTCAATTAAAAAAATCTGCATAAGGGGATATATGGGTCTACATCTCAGCAGGCAAAAAGATTGGAGGCCAGGCACAGCAGCTCACACCTGTAATCTCAGCACTTTGGGAGTCCGAGGTGGGCGGATTACTTGAGCCCAGGAGTTTGTGACCAGCCTAGGCAAGATGGCGAGACCTGACCTGGTCTCTACAAAATAACTTTTTAAAAAATTAGCCCAGTGTGATGGCACATGCTCCTAGTCCCAGCCACTTATGAGGCTAAGGTGGGGGGAACCTTTGAGCCCAGTTGGAGGCCACAATAAGCTATGACATCACCACTGCACTCCAGCCTGGGCAACATAGCAAGACTATCTCAAAAAAAAATAAAAATAAAAATAAAGATCTGAATGTCATTAGAATACGCACAGTAGTAGGTGAGTAAACAAATACCTACTGAGCACTAGGTACTGAGGATATATATTAAAAACACAATTCTTGCCCTTATGCAGCAGATATTCTAGTAACTATAGCCATGGGAACTAAATCATTTAAAGTGCATTAGACATCCTGCTATTTTGAAGAATACTATTAAGGATACTTATTGTAAAAAGGAAAATTTCCTTTTTTGGCGGGGGGATGGAAGGTTCTGGGGATTTCATACAGATTTTGTTGAAAGAGAGGGCTGTACAAAAAATATCTAGATTTTAACATTTCACAAAGCGAATATGGAAATTCCACAAAATTCTGTTAATAAATCTCTTTAAACAAAGAACCTCCAATCTTTAAAAATTTTGTAAATCAACTGCTTAAAAATACAATTTAAGCAGTCACCTAAAACTCTGTAAATTACTAAACTTTGTTACCCTAGTTATGTAAGATCTGTTTTCAAAACACCATACTCACTGAAAATCCTATTTGTTATTTTATGTCATTACTGACATAGCTAGATAATTCCTTCATAACTCCAATTTAACCTAATCATGCTTTTTAATTACAGATATTAAGAAAGAATATTTCTCTACAGCAATTTCGTAAGAACTTCCCGAAGCTTAGAGGGAATAGATTAATATTTAACAGATGTAAAATGCATTAACATTGTTTCTGAATTTGTACTTTGTGGAATACTTATCCTGAAAAGTTATCAGTTTCACATCTATTATACGTATTTCAGTTTAAAATATTAAATGTTAGTAAATTATGTTGGAAAGATGCCAATAACGAAAAAAAAACTGTTTGGCATAAACTTTGGGGAACAAATTCTGGATATAATCGCAACTAACCATCCAAGATTACAGAAATCTGTATCTTTATTTAAATTTTCAGAATGAAACACTACACAACCAATTTGTGTAATCTACTTTGAGTCTCAAGATCTACCAGTCTAAAGTCCTCCTAACAACTAATTAAAATCCTCTCCACCATAATTTGAGCCAACAACTCCCAGATAAAATTACCAGACCATTACATTTGCCACCACACTACATTCTGCTCTTCAGTAACTTCTAAAAGTGATGGTAACACCATAGATACACACTCAAGTATTCACTGTCCCACTTTTCTAAGTTGGTTAACTCAAGTCCTTGAAAGTGAACTGATCAATAAATCTAAACTAGCTAAGAGAAGACCTCATTTTAATCAATTTGATTTTTTTTAATCACAAAGATATAGCCATTCAAATCCCCGGCCACAGCAATTTCCAAAATGCCACCATCTCAGAAAGTCTGTTAATTTATCATACAAATCTCCTTGTCCTTTTTAACAACAAAATGCATTGAAAGAAAAAACCCAGCACTAAAGATCTGTGACCTGATTTCACAAATTCTGGTCTATGCACTTTCATCATACCAACACATCATGCCAAGAAAACCTCGTAAGTTTAGCTATTAAACTACAGTCTTAACAGTAAGCATTTGTTGAGAACTTAGTATGGGGCTGCCACTGCTTTCAGTCCACCTATTGTCATCTCATCAATTCTCAACAGGGCTTGAGGTAGATACTGTCGTTACACCCATTTTGCAGATAAGGAAAGCGAAGCACAGAGAAGTATCTGCCCAAGGTCACAAACCAGTGGAGCAGGATTTGACCCAAAGCAGACAGTCGGACTTCACAGCCCGTGCTCTCAACATCCAACTGCTGAAGAGTTAACAATTTACCCTTGACAGCCGCTATAAGCAAAGGTAAATGCTCAACTGCTAGGAAGGGACAGTCAGAACACCGTCCCATATCCAGTATCCATGTCTCTCTGTTTGTTTATGGCCTCTATGACTTTGGCAAAAGAAGTACACACAATCTGATTTTCCGAACACCCAAGCTGGACTTTTCTGAATGTCCGAGCAAACAAATTATGTATCTTTCCAGGAACGGGCAGACAGCGAAAACGAACCTACGCATCGGAGTGGCCCAGGTTATTCACTTTAAGTTATAAATTTGGGAGAGTTAAGAAAGGACCCCAAACTACCCGGCAAATGAACCCTAGGAAATGCCAGGTTTATAATAAGCTAGAGCTTCCCCGGCACGCCGTTCACGCGCTCTCCTCTCTAACGACATAAACAAGGGAGGAGGCTGCATTCTTCCCACTGCACAATGAAGCCTCCGGCCGAAGCGGCAGGAAGAGCGCAGCCCCGTCCCGGACGGCTCCAGCCGGGGGTCGGGGGCAGAGAGCGGAGGCCGAGGCCCGCCGAGCGGCGCGGTGCGGCCCGGGCCTCCGGGCGCCGCGGGGAGGAGGGGGAGGGAGGGCAGGGCCCCGGCAGCTGCCCGCACTCAGCTGACCTCCGCCATGTTGGCCGCACACCCCGGGACCCTCCACAACAAAGGCCGGCACGAGGGCGCGGGGCGCGCCGGGCGCCACCCCCGGCCGGGCCCGCCTCCCGGGCGCGCGGGGGCCGGGCCGCCGCCGAGGCCCTTCCCCCGCCCTCGGCCCGGCCGCGCGGGGCCGACCCCCGCCGCCACCCCGCCGGGCCCGGGGCTCCAGGGGCGGGGGCGAGCCGGCTTGCGAAGGCTGAAGGCAGGGGAGGGGCGGGGGGCGGCGCTCGACCGGGCGGCCCGACTCCGGCCGAGACAAAGGCGCCGCCGCGCCGACTACTGCCCGCGCCCCGGCCGGGCCGCCCTTCCCGCCCTCCGCCATTACCGGGCCTGGGCGCCCGCCTGTCGGAGAGCCCCTCGCCGCCGGCTCCTCCCTCAGGCCGGGCCCCACTTACCTGTGGGCGGAGAGCGCGCCTCGGACCCCGGTCCTGGCACCAACGCGCTCCGTCGCCAACCCCCGCCACCGCGGGCAGCGCCACCGCCTCTTCCCGGCGCCGAGACCGACGGGACACCCTGGGCCGCCGCCGCCTCTCGAGAGCGCGCCCCGCAACGGCCGCCCCGGCTCCCCCCTGGCCGCCGCCGCCGCCGCCGTTTCGCGCGTCCTCGAGCCCGCCGCGCGCCCCCGCTAAATACCACACACTGCGGCGGCGGCCATGAGGAGGCGCGGCCCCGCGCGCTGGGAGCCTGGGGGGGCGGGGCTTTCGCGGGCGCGCAGGCGCACAGGCGTTGGCGCGGCCGGCGGCGGCCTCCGCGGGCGTAGCTGTGCGGGTCTCCAAAGGCGGCAGTAGGTGCGGGGGCTACTCGGCTACCGTTGCTGCGCCCGTGCACCGCGCATTCAACGGATCCTGGCACGTGGCGCTCTGGCCCGCGAGAAGCTAGCGCTTGCCCGTCGGCTCAGGGCAGCTCCTCCCGCGGCGCTTTGTTCCGGGGCCGCGTGACCCCCCCGGCTCCGGCCGGAGGGGTCGCCCAGCGGGATGCGAGCCCCAGGCTGGCCGCCGCCGCGGCCTTGTGCCCTCCCCCTTGTTTTGTCTGCTGATTTAGCCCAGCGCCTCCACGGATCCTTCCCAACTCCACTCAGTCCCAAAGAAAAAGCGGCTGCCCTGCCCGCCGACCGGGACCCCACCCCTAAAGAGAGTCCCAGCCTCTCCCGAGGTTGAGCCGCTCCTCAGCAACAGCGGGACGAGCTTCAAAAGCTTGTTTCAGCTGAAAAGTGGGTAATGGGGAAGCACGCGTTTTCCTGTGTCCATGCTCATCTGGAAAGTCCCTAATTAGGGACTCTGCATTCCACTTCTTGAAATAATAAAAGGAAAACATCACTTGCAATTCTTTGATGGGTGCTATGAGCAGAAGCAAGCATCTGAGACATTTACAAGCCCTAACTGGAATTCCATGTAAGATCTATTAAAATGGTATTCCGTCCGGACGCGGTGGCTCACGCCTGTAATCCCAGCACTTAGGGAGGCCGAGGCCGATGGATTACCTGAGGTCAGGAGTTCGAGAGTAGCCTGGCCAACATGGTGAAACCCTATCTCTACTAAAAATACAAAAATTAGCCGGGCGTGGTGGTGCACGCCTGTAGTCCCAGCTACTCGGAGGCTGAGGCAGGAGAATCGCTTGAACCCGGGAGGCAGAGGTTGCAGTGAGGCAGAGATCAGGCCATTGCACTCCAGCCTGGACAACAGAGCGAGACTCTGTCTCAAAAAAATAAAAATAAAAATAGAAAAATCCCATACCGGGCACGTATGTACAAATTCCCAGTGTATGATAAAGTTTATATGTGCAAAACACTAGTTTACAGTATTCCTAATTACATGATTTAAACTGCAATTTTACTTTCACATTTTTGGGGAGAAGTTATAGCTCCTCAGTACACGGGAAGGTCAATAGAGTTCGGTTCACTTCAGTTTAGAGGTAAATTTTCCATTTTTACAGACTATGTGCTTGGCATAGCCATGTGGCCTTGACCTGGTCGTGAAGGGCAGAGGAGTTCTGTCCTGGGCGAGGAGCAGCTCTGGGGTGAGATGTGTTTCTCGCCCCCAGAACCCCTGGGCCGCTCTGCAAGCAGTGAAATGGATACGGACTAAGAGAGAACTTGCCAACGTGGCGATTAAAGTTCTAAACACCCGGCTTTGCCAAAGTCAGATTTTGTCCTCCTTATCCCGCATCCCTTCCTCTACCCAACAGCATTTGTCCATCTGAAAATAACAGTCTGTCTCTGGCCCACTGCTGACAGTCGAGGACTTACCTTATAAACTAGTGGATTCTCTTAAACTGCAGGGGTGCCCAGGACACAGTGTCCCCTGAGGATGCCGCACACCAGTCTTGAAGTGCTGGATCGTTGACGTCAGGCACCCAGAAGCAACTTCTGCCTCTGGAATTCTCAAACGTGCTTTTCTTGGCTTAGTTTGTGCCTGCTCTCCTCTAGAAGAGTCCAAGTTACTTCTTACTTTCCCCACTTCCCTTTTATACAAAACAAATTTAATCGGGTTAATTCCATCTCTGAGAATTCCTACCTAGATTTGGGCGGGGCTCAATCTGATTTGGTTAATTCTGGGTGGTAGCTATGGGTGGGACATAAACATCACCATTATAAATTTAATTTACTCCCCCTCTCAAAAAAATGTACCTTCCATTTGAAAGAAAATAGCTCCACTGTGGGGGTAACTAAGCACCTTTTCTGAACAGGGAGTTGACTCTGCTTCCTTGACAGTTTATCCATAGAAAAGCATTTTGTAAACTGTAAAGCCTATCCAAATAATCCTCCAATTGATGGGATTTCAGTAACGGTGACAAATATTTTCAGGCCACATCTGGATAGGGAGCCTTCCTGGTCCCCTCAAATCACATCAAATGGTAATTCCATCTATTGCAATGGAACATAACGCTCTGGTCCTGCATCTGGCCCGTAGTTAAGGTACCAGTGATGTAAATTACTTTCCTCTTATGAATAAAACAGGCACTGGCCAGGCACGGTGGCTCACACCTGTAATCCCAGCACTTTGGGAGGCCAAGGCAAGAGGATCGCTTGAGGCCCAGAAGTTCCAGACCAACCTAAGAACATAGCAAGACCCCGTCCCTATAAAAAGTTTAAAAATTAGCCCGGCAGGGTGGTGTGCGCCTGTAATCTCATCTAATCAGGAGGCCAAAATGAGAGGATTGCTTGAACCTGGGAATTTGAGGCCATAGTGAGCTATGATTGTGCCCCTGCACTCCCATCTGGGTGACAGAGGGACACTCCATCTCTAAAAACATAAAAATAAATGAATAAATAAAACAGGCACTGATGAGAGTATCTTTATTTGGGGGTTTTGCTATGAATTTATATTAAATTGATATTTATTTATTTATTTATTTTGTAATCTCGGCTCACTGCAACCTCCATCTCCTGGGTTCAAGCGATTCTTGTGCCTCAGCCTCTCAGATAATGCTGTCAAAGTTGGCTAAACTAGTTAAGACTGAACAGATGATTTCCAAGTGTCTTCATGTCAATATAGTTATTTTACAATAGACCAGTTCACAAGACCAAACCCATCTATTGAATCACCGATGGGCTGTGTTTGTTTCCAGGCAATCACAGATGTCTCTTGCCCAGGAAACTATAGCTATCTCCTCTTACATTAAACCACTGATACCCATTTGTCATTCAGCTTAGGTGGATAGGTCTGGAAACATATTAGCATTCCCTTCCAAGCCTGGCTCTGCTGGTAGCGAAACAGAATCTTTTTCAGCCTGGAAACTGGAAGGCGGTTCCTCCCTCCCAAATAGACTCCTATAAGCTTTGCAAAGGAAAGCAGGTCCCCAACTTGTCAGACATGCCTACAGCAGAGCAGAAACAATGTTTTCTTTATCAGACACACCTGTTGCCAGTCACTGTCTGAGGTTGGTGAATGTGTTAAACAGTATCCCAAACAAATTTTCCTGGACATGGTGGAGAAGTTAGAGACACAACATGAGCATCCAAGAATGAAACAGGAAGTAGCTGAAGGAAGTTCCCAAAAGCCCAAGTGGTTGGGAAATGAGTTCGCCCATAACTGTAGTTTTCCTTCAATATAATCAAGTTTCTTTAGGAAAAAGGTTACATGCTAGGCATCACATTTTTCAAGAAGTTAGAGCCGGGCACGGTGGCTCACGCCTGTAATCCCAGCACTTTAGGAGGCCAATGCCTGCAGATCACCTGAGGTCAGGATTTGGAGACCAGCCTGGCCAACATGGTGAAACTTCGTCTCTACTAAAACTACAAAAATTAGCCAGGTGTGGTGGTGGATGCCTGTAATCTCAGCTACTCGGGAGGCTGAGGCAGGACAATCACTTGAACCCAGGAGGTGGAGGTTGCAGTGAGCAGAGATCACACCACTGCACTCCAGCCTGGGCAACAGAGCAAGATCCTTGTATCAAAAAAAAAAATTAGAAAATCATTGAGGTTTTTATGTAGCTGGTGGAAGTAGGTGATACTGACAATTAGTTTAAGTAATTGTTGTTCTTGAGTTCATTGGAATGCAGTGATAACTGTCCAGTGCATTAGGTACAACCCCTGCCTCATGCCCAACCCACAGATGCTCATTTCCATGGATCCAAATCTTTTCTTTACACTTGTCAGAATTTAGCCTTTTTCTTTTTTCTTTTTTTTTTTTTTTTCCAAGACGGAGTCTTACTCTGTCACCCAGGTTGGAGTGCACTGGTGAGATCTTGGTCACTGCAACCTCTGCCTCCCAGGCTCAAGCAATCCTCCCACCTCAGCCTCCTGAGTAGCTGGAAACACAGGTGCGTGCCACTGTGCCCAGCTAATTTTTTTGTATTTTTGGTGGAGACAGGGTTTCACCATGTTGCCCAGGCTGGTCTCAAACTCCTGAGCTCAAGCCATCTGCCCATCTCGGCCTCCCCAAGTGCTGGGATTATAGGCGTGAACTACCATGCGCGGCCTTAGCCTTTTTAAAAAATTTAAGTATTTGTTGAACTGCTATGACATGGCAATAAGTAGAATAAATCCCTGGAGGGCAGGGTGCATGTCTGTATTTCCATCTATGCCTAGCACAGTGGCTGACACATAAAGGGCCCTCAACATTTTTGTTGAGCAAATGAAGAAATATTAAACAAGGACCATGCCCTTAACTATCACGGTCTATGGAATCTGTTTCCAGTTTCTCTTTTACATCCTTTCATTCATTGTTAGTAGATATTTGACTTTCTTTCCAAATTATCTTGGAGAAACTAGCATTTAGAAACATTTAGCATTCAAGAAATGCTTAACACACGCACAAGTTCATGGGTTACTTAATTTTTTTTTTTTTTGAGACGGAGTCTCGCTCTGTCACCTAGGCTGGAGTGCAGTGGCGTGATCTCGGCTCACTGCAAGCTCCGCCTCCCGGGTTCACGCCATTCTCCTGCCTCAGTCTCCCGAGGAGCTGGGACTACAGGCGCCCGCCACCACGCCTGGCTAATTTTTTGTATTTTTAGTAGAGATGGGGTTTCACTGTGTTAGCCAGGATGGTCTCGATCTCTTGACCTCGTGATCTGCCCGCCTCTGCCTCCCAAAGTGCTGGGATTACAGGTGTGAACCACCGTGCCAGGCGGGTTACTTAATTTAATACTAACAAATATATGAAGTGAGCACTGCTTTCCCATTTTACAGATGAGGAAATGGAAACTCAGAAAGGATAAAGAACTTTCCCATGGCATGTACTAATAAGTGGAGGTGTGGAAGTTAACATCCAGGTCCGTCTGGCCCCAGAGCCTTTGCTCCTTCCTCATTCATCGTGTCTTACAGCTGAGGAGAAACATGATCTGTGATTCATATTCATCCAGGAGGGCTTACACATGAATCTGCAGGGCCCTCAAGTCCTTTATGAGAATTTGTCAATTCAGGGTTTTCATTTTAATGAATTTTAGAAGGATGAATTAAAGTATATTTTACATTATCTAAACAACTACCTGCAATTCACTATGTTAATGAAAAAATGGCCAGGTGCGGTGGCTCATGCCTGTAATCCCAGCACTTTGGGAGGCTGAGGCAGGTGGATCACCTGAGGTGAGGAGTTCGAGACCAGCCTGGCCAACATGGCGAAACCCCATCTCTACTAAAAATACAAAAATTAGCCAGGTGTGGTGGTGGCAGGCATCTGTAATCCCAGCTACTTGGGAGGCTGAGGCAGGAGAATCGCTTGAATCCAGGGGGCGGAGGTTGCAGTGAGCCGAGATCGTGCCACTTTACTCCAGCCTGGGCGAAAGAGCGAAACTCCATCTCAAAAAACACATGCACACAAAAGTTATAACACTTAGGGTACAGTGGTGACCGCTAGACGCATTAAAGCTGCAATGGTTAAAGGGGTTATTTCTGGCAAAAAGTACTAGGAAAGGGGAACTAGGTGGAGTTGGGGTAGAGAAAAGGGAGAATTTTTTTTTTTTTTTTGAGACAGGGTCTTGCCCCATCACCCAGGCTGGAGTGCGGTGGTGCGATCAGAGCTCACTGCTGCATCGACCTCCTGGGCTCAAGCGATCCTCCTGCCTCAGCTTTCAAAATAGCCACCACACCCAGGTAATTTTTGCATTTTTTGTAGAGACGGGGTTTCACCATATTGCCCAGGCTGGTCTCAAACTCCTAGGCTCAAGCAATCCACCCACCTAGGCCTCCCTAAATGCTGGGATTACAGGCACGAGCCACCGCGGCCAGTCTAAAGTCTATGTGATATTTGAATGAGAAAGCAGGCTCAAGGCTGGGCAAGGCGGCTCACGCCTGTAAACCCAGGACTTTGGGAGGCCTAGGTGGGTGGATCACTTGAGGTCAGGAGAAACCCTGTCTCTACTAAAAATACAACAATAACAAAAAAAATTTAGCTGGGCGTGGTGGCACACTTCTGTAGTCTCAGCTACTTGGAAGGCTGAGGCAGGAGAATCGCTTGAACCTGGGAGGTGGAGAGGTTGCTGACCTGAGATTGCACCACTGCACTCCAGACTGGTTGACAAAGCAAGACTTGGTCTTAAAAAGAAAAAAAAATGCCTGGCTGGGCACGGTGGCTCATGCCTGTAATCCCAGCACTTTGGGAGACGGAGGCGGGTGGATCACCTGAGGTCGAGAGTTTGAGACCAGCCTGACAAACATGGAGAAACCCCATCTCTACTAAAACTACAAAATTAGCCAGGCATGGTGGTGCATGCCTGTAATCCCAGCTACTCGGGAGGCTGAGACAGGAGAATTGCTTGTACCTGGGAGGTGGAGGTTTCAGTGAGCCAAGATCGTGCCACTGCACTCCAGCCTGGGCAACAAGAGGGAGACTCCATCTCAAAAAAAAAAAAAAGTCTACAACCTAATCCCCAGAACCTGTGAATAAATTACTTTATGTGGCAAAAAGGACTTAGCATATGTGATTGAGTTAAGGATTTTGAGATGAAGACATTATCCTGGACTATCCCATGGGCCAAGAGATAGAAGACGTGATAACAAGAGGTCTGAGCCAGGCTCAGTGGCTCACACCTGTAATCCCTTTGGAGGCCAAGGCAGGAGAAGCACTTGAGCCCAGGAGTTTGAGACCAGTCTGGGCAACATAGCAAGACTCTATCTCAACAAACAACAACAACAAAAGCAGAGGTCAGAGAGACCCAGAAAGGGGCCATGAGCCATGGAATGCAGGAGGCCTCTAGAAAACTGAAAAGGCAAGGAAACAGATTCTTTCCCTGGAGTATCCACATGGGGTCAGCCCGGCCGACACCTTGATGTTAGCCCCATAAGACTAATTTTAGACTTCTGACCTCTGGAACTGTAATATAATACATCTATGTTGTGGCAACCCACTAAGTTTGCAGTAATTTGTTAAAGCAGCGATAGGAAACTAGTACAGACACAAAACAAAGTGTAAATCCTCAGTCAATGTAGAGTGAAAGAGAGGTGAGGGGCAGCTGCGGACAGCACCCTTCCAAATGTCACCGAATATCTGCAAACAAAGCCAAAATATACCTGGGTAAATCAACAAAGTGGAGGCAGAAATCTGTCTGGATTGTTTGGTAAGTTGTATTAAGACAGAAGAGGCCATGGAAACTCACTGAACTTGGTATTTACATGTATACAATCTCAGTCTTTTCATCCCTTGATCCTATTGAAAGAAAACAAATACCTGTCTGCTAGTTTTAGTGAAACTGTCCCTACACAGTTAAGCAACTGATTCTTAATAACTGTCTGTACTGATTGTGGTAATCAATAAGAAACAGTTTCTCCCAGTTCATTCATTTCTTTTTTTTTTTTTTTTTTTTTTGAGATGGAGTCTCACTCTGTTGCCCAGGCTGGAGTGCAGTGGCCCGATCTTGGCTCACTGCAACCTTGGCCTCCCAGGTTCTAGTGATTCTCCTGCCTCAGCTTCCTGAGTAGCTGGGACTACAGGCACCCATCGCCACACCCAGCTAATTTTTGTGTCTTTAGTAGAGACAGGGTTTCGCCATGGTGGCCAGGCCAGTCTCCAACTCCTGACCTCAGGTGATCCACCTGCCTTGGCCTCCCAAAGTGTTGGGATTACAGGCGTGAGCCACTGCCCCCAGCCTTTCTTTTTTTTTATTTAGAAACAAAGTCTCACTCTGTTGCTCAGGCTGGACTCAAACTCACTGGCTCAAGTGATACTCCTGCCTCATCCTCCCTAAATGCTGGGATTATAGGCATGAGCCACCACACCCAGCCTCCAGTTCATTTCTTAATCAAGAGACATACTGATTAACCCAACTGACTTTCCAGCATGTACACTGTATATCTGTATTCATAGACACATTTCTCTTTTCTTCCTCTTAATAAAAATGTAGCTCTCAAAGATATCCTGAAAATAGTGCTCAGGCTTGCAACATTACAGCTTTAATGAGCCAAGAACTCTATTTTTTCCCTATTACACAGAACAATAATTCTCAACAGCTTAAATTTTCAAAGCACTTCACAGGCATTTAATTAATCCTCTCCATTGCCAGAGAGAAGGAAACTGATATTCATAGCATCTCATCCTGACATCCTTTAATTTGGCAAGACTTCTGCTGGCTTTGAAAAACAGTGTCTGAACCACTGAGGTTATTTGGGCCACCGTTGCTTAATCGGGCCTTCTTACCTAATGAAACCTGGTCATCAAAGCAGTTTAAATTGCCATCTCATCAGCGCTTTACACGGGGCAGGGGGAGCTGCTTTGAGCCTGGAAGAGAAATGACAGTGATTCCCTCAGAGAAATGACAAAGCTCATCTGTGCGGAGCCTGTGAGATGAAGCTTGTGATTAAGGCCTATTGCCAATTGCATCAGAGCCTGATTCACTCGGTGTAACTGGGGCACGATGTGTATCGCGAGGCCCTTCTCAGAACCCTGCTCTCCTGAGGCCCGGAGAGAATCAGCAGTTGAATTTCACTGTGTTCTTTGCTGAGCCTCTCCTGTGTGTGGGAAGCTCTAAGAAGCCCTACTTTTCTCTCTTTTCAGACCTGCTTCCTGCGGAAGGCATAACTAAGACAGACTAGTCATGCCACCTCAATCACCAAACAGGATTCTCCTCCAGCTGTGCCCCAGAGGCACAGCCTTTCCCTTCACTGCCTCCCAACACCCCCATCCAGACCTACTCCATTTGTTTTTTATTTTGGTGGGGGGTGGGGGACAATACTTCATTCCGTTAACTAGAACGAGTAACGCACCAGACCCATTCCATTTACTGCAATTTCAACTAGCCAATCTCTTCCCACTTCATTATGTCAGTTACACAGTGGCCGGAGTGACGTCATACCCTGTGTTCAATTCCAAGAAACAACCTCGAGAGATGCTTCCTGAGTGCTTGCTATATGCCAGGCACTGAGGGATCCTGAGTGAAGGCCCCACACCTCAAGAAGCTTGGTTTGAAGTAAGATAAATAGCAAAAAATAACTAGACTATAAGTACAATGATGGAGGCACAAACAAGCTATTACTGAGAGAACAGGGCACAAGGAGAAGGGAGAGAGAAGGGAAAATACCATTTATGAGGGGTAGGGAAGAATCATTGAATATTTTCTTTTTTTTTTTGAGACAAGCTCTTGCTCTGTCGCCCAGGCTGGAGTGCAATGGCATAATCTTGGCCCACTGCAACCTCCGCCTTCTGGGTTCAAGTGCTTCTCGTGCCTCAGCTTCCCAAGTAGCTGGGATTACAGGCATGTGCCGTGACTCCTGGCCAATTTTTGTATTTTTTATAGAGATGGGGGTTTCGCTATGTTGGCCAGGCTGGTCTCGAACTCCTGACCTCAAGTGATCTGCCTGCATCGGTCTCCCAGAGTGCTGGGATTACAGGCACGAGCCACCGTGCCTGGCCGTAGAATTTTTAAGAGGTGGCATTTGATATGGCCCTTCGAGGATGTGCTTTTGTTTCTTTTTATTATTTTTCAAATTTTAAATTCTTTTTTTGAGACAGGGTCTTGCTTTGACATCTAGGCTGGAGTGCAGTGGCACTGTCTCAGCCCATTGTAACCTCTGCCTCCAGGGCTCAAGAGACTCTCTTACCTCAGCCTCCGAGTTGCTGAGATTACAGGCATGCGCCACCACGCATGGCTAATTTTTCTGTTTTTGGTGGAGACAGGGTTTTGCCATGTTACCCAGGCTGGTCTAGAACTCCTGACCTCAAGCGATCCTCTTGCCTCAGCCTCCCAAAGTGCTGGATTACAGGAATGAGCCACTGTGCCCAGGCAGGATATGCTTTTAATGAGCACAACGGGAGGGTGTATTCTAGACAGAGGAACTAGGCAATGTGCAGGGTCTGTGTTTGGGGAAATGGAAGCCCGCTTTCACTGGGGCCTGGAGGAGACACTGCTGGACAGCTAGGTTGAACCAGACTGTAGGGTTTTATGCACAGTAAACATTTATGACTGCATTGCTCAACTTGGTTATTGTTGAGCCACTGTTAGACTATTCTATTGGCCCACAAATCATTTGTACTCTCCTTTACTTCATATTATTCTTAGCTATTGTTCTGTTTAAATTAAAAGAACACTCTATAGAGCCCGGCCTTACATGTTTAAATGGTTGGAAAAAATCAAAAGAAGAATATTTCGTGACACATGAAAATTATGGAGCTTGGCACCGTGGCTCATGCCTGTAATCCCAGCACTTTGGGAGGCTGAGGCAGGTGGATCACCTAAGGTCAGGAGTTCAAAACCAGCCTGGCCAACATGGTGAAACCCCGTCTCTACTAAAAATACAAAAATTATCTGGGCATGGTGGTGAGCACCTGTAGTCCCAGCTACTTCAGAGGCTGAGGCAGGAGAATCGCTTGAACCTGGGAGGCGGAGGTTGCAGTGAGTCGAGATTGGGCCACTGCATTCCAGACTGGGTGACAGAGTGACATTCCATCTCAAAAAATAAATAAATAAATACAAAAGTAAAAAATTATCTGGCGTGGTGGCGTGCTACTCGGGAGTCTGAGGCAGGAGGATTGCTTGAGCCCAGGAGGTCCAGGCTGCAGTGAGCCATGATTGTGCCACTGCACTCCAGCCTGGGCAACAGAGTGAGATACTATCTTGAAAGAAAAAGAAGAGGAAAGGGAAAGGGAAGTGGAAGGGGATGGGGAAGAGAGAAAAAAATAAAAGAAAGAAAGAAAGGAGAGAACAAAAGAAAATTATATGAAATTCAAAGTTTAGCATCCATTAATAAAGTTTTTTTTTTTTTAACTCCCATTCCCTGAATTATCTAGTAACATGAATAGAGTTTTATCGAGACACAGCCATACCCCTTCAGTTACATTTTGTCTATGGCGGCTAACAGCAGAGTTGAAAAGTTACATCATAGTATGGCCTGCCTTAGTTGAAATATTTATTATCTGGCCCTTTACAGAAAAAGTTTGCCAACCTCCGACATAGAGTAAATATATTAGCATATACATTTGTATGTCATGTCATCTTTCATAAATGAGAAGTAATGGCCGGGCGTGGTGGCTCAAGCCTGTAATCCCATCATTTTGGGAGGCCAAGGTGAGTGGATCACTTGAGATCAGGAGTGCGAGACCAGCCTGGCCAACATGGAGAAACCCTGTCTCTACTGAAAATACAAAAATTAGCTGGGCGTGGTGGTGGGTTTCTGTAATCCCAGCTACTCGGGAGGCTGAGGCAGGAGGATCGCTTGAACCTGGGAGGTGTAGTTTGCAGTGAGCCAAGATCACGTCACTGCACTCCAGCCTGGGCGACAGATCAAGACTCTGTCTCAAAAAATAAATAAAATGTAATGGGAAAAAACAGTTTTGAAATACAAGTAACACCAGAGATACAGACTCAAGTAACATCTTGGGAAAGCACTGATTGCTTGAGTACCTTAGTGGCAGGCACTTTTTGCTAAGCACCTTTATGTGAGCTAATAATGATAGCAGCTACAATATAGTCATGGCTTAATGTGAACAAGGATAAATATTTTGTATGCATTATCTAATTCCATCCTCAAGACACTTGATTGGAGAATTATCCCTGACAGAGGTTCACAGAGTTGGCACAACTTGCCCAGAGTCACACGAGACAGGAAGATCACTTGAGGCCCAGAGTTTGAAACCAACCTGGGCGCATCCAGGATTTTGTCTCAGGTCTTGGGATTTCAAGCCTCTTGCAGGTTAAATATTAAACTACCGTAATCTCACATACTGTGAGATCTGGAGTGCCAAAATGGAAAAGTTCATTCCTCTGTTCCCAGGAAGAGCCACTGAAAGTTTTTGAACAGGAAGGGTAACATACTCAGAGCCCCGGCTGTACTGGATTAATCAGGTATGCAAAGCAGGAAGAACTGGACTGGGAACTCTGAGAGGCTCTTTTTTTTTTTTTTTTTTTTTTTTTGAGACAGAGTCTCACTCCATCACCCAGGCTGGAGTACAGTGGTGTGATTATGACTCACTGCAGCCTCAACCTCTTGGGATCAAGTGATCCTCCCACCTCAGCCTCCCAAGCAGCTGAGACTACAGACATGTGCCACCATGCCTGGCTAATTTTTAAAATTTTTTGTAGATACAGGGAGGGTCTCACTCTATTTTCCGGGCTGGTCTCAAACTCCTGAGCTCAAGTGATCCTCGTGCTTCAGCCTCCTAAAGTGCTGGAATTATAAGCATGAGCCACCGTGCCCGGCCCCTAGGACACATTTGGATTAGTGAAGCTGTGGTGGTAGTAAAATCCAGAGGGCTTGTTGGTGGAATGGTTGTCTGAGGTGAGGAAGAGGGAAGGGTCAGAGCGCCCATGGTTCTGAATCTCAGAAATGGTAGGAAATGGTGGGTGGATTGGGGAGGGGGTTAAGTTTAGACACGGAATGCTGAGTGGTCTCTGGGATATCTAGATGGAGAAGTGCAGCAGACAAGATAAAATTTGGAAATGGAATTTGAGAAAATACTATGCTTTGGGGTATCATGTTCCTACAGGGGATGGTTAAAATCACAGGAGCCAATGAGATTCTCAAGGACAAGGCTGTGTAGTGAAAGGAAAGGGAAGGGCAGGGTTGGGCGCAGTGGTTCACTCCTGTAATCCCAGCACTTTGGGAGGCTGAGATGGGAGGATTACTTGAGGCCAGAAGTTCGAGACCAGCCTGAGCAATGTGGCAAGACCCCATCTTTATAAAAAAATATGAAAATTAGCTCGGTGTGATGGCTCACGCCTGTAGTCCCAGATAATTGGGAGGCTGAGGTGGGAGGATCACTTGAGCCTGAGAGGTCAAGGCTGCCATGAGCTGAGATCATGCCACTGCACTCCAACCTGGACAACAGAGGAAGATCCTGTCTCTAAAAAAAGAGAGAAATATATATTTTATTCTCCTTCATATACCCTCACAAACACCTGGGAGATCTGACTTGAATTTAAAATCCACAGACTGGCCAGGTGAGGTGGCTCACACCTGTGATCCCATACCTTTGGGAGACCAAGGCAGGAGGATCACGTGAGCCCAGGAGTTCTAGACCAACCCAGGCAACATAGTGAGACCCCATCTCTATTTTTAAAATAAATTATAAATTAAATTTGTAAAAAATAAAATCCACAGCCTTCCCAGAGTTCCACCCAGCAGCCCAGAGAGCAGAGGCCGACCCTGAGCCCTGCTCCTGAGCTACTTTTCTTCCCAGCCCTCCTCTGCCTTGCCATGTCTCATACATCAAAGGGACTTGCATGTGTCCATGTGGACACTGAAGCCCAGTGTCCCAGCTCAGGCCTCACCTGTTCCCGCACAGACACCCATTGATGTGTTTCCCCTCAGGCCTGGGGGTGCTCATCTGAGGCCTGTTCACCCTCTGGAGGACAGAACGAGAGAGGAGGCACATGTGGGCCATGAGTGCAGGACCAGGGCCATTGAGCAGCTCACTGATGTTAGAAGAGGCCTCCATAGGGGCACCTCTCCTTGGGTCCTTAGACTCCTGACTCCTTAGGGGCCCCACCAGGGTGGGCCTAGAGCCAGTCTAGGGTGGAGTATTAGTTTCCCATTGCTGCCGAAACAAATGACCACAAATTTTTATTTATTTAGAGATGGGGTCTCACTCTGCCACCCAGGCTGGAGTGCAGTGGCGTGATCTCAGCTCACTGCAGCCTCGACCTCCTAGGCTCAAATGATCCTCCCACCTCAGCCTCCCAAGAGTTTGGGACTATAAACGTGAGCCACCACACCCAGCTAAGTTTTGTATTTTTGTTTTGAGATGGAGTTTCACTCTTGTTGCCCAGGCTGCAGTTCAATGGCGTGATCTCAGCTCACTGCAACCTCCGCCTCCTGGGTTCAAGTGATTCTCCTGCCTCAGCCTCCCAAGTAGCTGGGATTATAGGCGCATGCCACCACACCTGGCTAATTTTTTTCTTTTCTTTTTTTTTTTTTGAGACGGAGTTTCACTCTTGTTGCCTAGGCTGGAGTTCAATGGCATGATCTTGGCTCACTGCAACCTCTGCCTCCCGGGTTTAAACAATTCTCCTGCCTCAGCCTCCTGAGTAGCTGGGATTACAGGCATGCGCCACCACGCCCAGCTAATTTTTTATTTTTAGTAGAGATGGGGTTTCTCCATGTTGGTCAGGCTAGTCTCGAACTCCTGATCTCAGGTGATCTGCCCACCTTGACCTCCCAAAGTGCTGGGATTACAGGCATGAGCTACCACACCTGGCCCTAATTTTTTTATTTGTTTGTAGAGTTGGGGTCCTGCTGTATTGCCCAGGCTGGTCTTGAACTCCTGGCCTCAAGCTATTCTCCCACCTCAGCCTCCCAAAGTGCTGGGATTACAGACGTGAGCCTCCACACCCGGCCCAAATGACCACAGATTTAGTGGCTTTAAACAACACAAATGTATTGTCTTACAGCTGTATAGGTCAGAAGTCTGGTGTGGGTCTCATGGGACTAAGATCAAGGTGTTAGCAGACCATGCTCCTTTCTGGAGGTTCTCGGGGAGAATCTGTTTCTGTGCTCATTCAAGTTTTTGGCAGAATTCAGTTTTTTGCAGTTGTAGGACTGAGGCCCAGTTTGCCTGCTGGCTGTCCATGGAGGGCCTGTTCTGAGCTCCTAGAGGCCACTGCACTTGGTTGACAGAGCCTGCCTGTCTCCATTTTCAAAGCCAACCACGGAGGGTGATTCCCCCTCACACTTCTTGGTTTTTTTTTCAGACAGAGTCCCACTCTGTCGCCCAGGCTAGAGTACAGTGGCGCAATCTCTGCTCAGTGCAACCTCCGCCTCCCGGGTTCAAGCGATCAAGTGATTCTCTCGTCTCAGCCTCCTGAGTAGCTGGGACTACAGGCGCCCACCATCATGCCTGGCTAATTTTTGTATTTGTATTTTTATTTTTATTTTTATTTTTATTTTTTTTTACTTTTTATTGATCATTATTGGGTGTTTCTCGCAGAGGGGGATTTGGCAGGGTCATAGGACAATAGTGGAGGGAAGGTCAGCAGATAAACAAGTGAACAAAGGTCTCTGGTTTTCCTAGGCAGAGGACCCTGGGGCCTTCCCCAGTGTTTGTGTCCCTGGGTACTTGAGATTAGGGAGTGGTGATGACTCTTAACGAGCATGCTGCCTTCAAGCATCTGTTTAACAAAGCACATCTTGCACTGCCCTTGATCCATTTAACCGTGAGTGGACACAGCACATGTTTCAGAGAGCACCGGGTTGGAGGTAAGGTCATAGATCAACAGCATCCCAAGGCAGAAGAATTTTTCTTAGTACAGAACAAAATGGAGTCTCCTATGTCTACTTCTTTAATTTTTGTATTTTTAGTAGAGACGGGGTTTTACCATGTTGGTCAAGCTGGTCTCGAACTCCTGACCTCAGGTGACCTGCCCGCCTAGGCCTCCCAAAGTGTTGGGATTACAGGCGTGAGTTACTGCGCCTGGCCTGCCTCACACTTCTAATCTTTCTCCTTTTTCATCTCTCTCATCTCTATAGCTCATCTACTTCTCTACCTACTTCTTTTTCCCTTTTAAGGACTCAAAAGATTAGATGGGCTCATCCAGAAAATTCAGGAGAACTTTCCCATTTCAGGGTCAGCTCAGCAGCAACTTGATGTCATCTGCAACCTTAATACCCCTTTGGCAGGTAAGGTAACAGGTTCCAGGGATTTAGATGTGTATGTTTTTGGCGGGGGTTGGGGGGGCATTCTGCCTTCCACAGGTGGCAATCCTGAGGAACAGCCTCTCTGAGAAGATGATCGATAGCTGAACATTGCAAAGGAGCAAACCATGAGCCATGCCGCCCAGTATAGGTGCCACTAGCCCCCGTGACTATTTAAATAAATTAGACTTGGCCTGGCAAGGTGGCTCATGCCTGTAATCCCAGCACTTTGGGAGGCCGAGGCAGGCGGATCACCTGAGGTCGGGAGTTTGAGAACAGCCTGATCAACATGGAGAAACACCGTCTCTACTAAAAATACAAAATTAGCCGGGCGTGGTGGCGCATGCCTGTAATCCCAGGCAGGAGAATCGCTTGAACCTGGGAGGCAGAGGTTGCGGTGAGCCGAGATCTCGCCATTGCACTCCAGCCTGGGCAACAAAAATAAATAAATAAATGAGACTTAAATACAGTGGGTTGCAGTGGCTTGTGCCCATAATCCCAGAACTTTGGGAGGTTGAGGCAGGAAGATCGCTTGAGCCCAGGAGTTCTAGACTAGCCTGGGCAACATAACAAGACCCTGTCTCAAAACAACAAGAACAACAACAAAAAAACTCAAAAGCAAAAATGAATAAATAAATACAATTAAAAATTCATTCCATTCCTCAGTCACACTAGCCACATTTCAAAGGTTCAATCCCCACATTTAACTAGTGGTTACTGTACTGGACAATGCAGGTTAATAGAACATTTCCATCATCCCAGAAGGTTCTACTGAATGGAGTTTGATTCAGAGGAGATGAGTTCCAGGCAGAGGAAGGGGCACATGCAAAGTTTTGATCCCATTGACACCATCCTACTAGGGTGTGGAAGGACATAACACACACCAGGAGCACAAGCCTGGCAGATCTGTATTCCAAACCCATCACAGAATCATAAGTTAACCATCGACTATAAGTATCAGAAAATGACCTCACAGACCCTGGGCCACCCCATGCCCTAGATGCAAACCCCAGTTCAAGATAGCTTGGATGCACCCCAAGCTCTCCTAACTCTCCGTTCATTATTCCTTCCTTTATACCCTGCTGCTTTCCCGACTAGGAAGGCCGTCTTTCCCCCAGTCTACCTCCTCATTGCTTTCTTCTTTTTTTTTTTTAAGACAGAGTTTCACTCTTGTTGCCCAGGCTGGAGTGCAATGGCGCGATCTTGGCTCACTGCAACCTCTGGCTCCGGGTTCAAGTGATTCTCACTGCCTCAGCCTCCCGAGTACCTGGGATTACAGGCGCATGCCACCAAACCTGGCTAATTTTGTGTTTTTATTAGAGACATGGTTTTTTCCTGTTGGTCAGGCTGGTCTCGAACTCCTGACCTCAGGTGATCCACCCCCCCTTGGCCTCCCAAAGTGCTTGTATTACAGGCATGAGCCACCGTGCCCAGCCACTTTCTTTTTTATTTATTTATTTTTGAGATGGAGTCTCACTCTGTCACCCAGGCTGAAGTGCAGTGGCGCAATCTCGGATCACTGCAATCTCTGCCTCCCAGGTTCAAGTGATTCTCCTGCCTCAGGCTTCTGAGTAGCTGGAACTACTGCCACCAAGCTCAGCGACTTTTTTTGTATTTTTGGTAGAGACAGGGTTTCGTTGTGTTGGCCAGGCTAGTCTCGAACTCCTGACTTCAAGTGATCTGCCTATCTCGGCTTCCCAAAGTGTTGGGATTACAGGCGTGAGTCACCATGGCCAGCCCTCATTTCTTTCAAGAGCCAATCTAAAGAGTACACTTTCAGAAAATCTCAGGTTGGTTTTTTTTTTTTTGCAAGAGAACTTATGCTAATTTCCCCTTTACTTTTATTTTCTTATTTTGTTTTTGTTTTAATCCACTCATCTACACACTGATCCCCTTTATTTTTAGATATGCACAAGGGATACAGTTGGGCCAGCATCCCCTCATTTTTATTCTTTGTTAAAGGTCTCCCTGTCTTGTCTCCATAACTAAATTGCACAGCAACTGTGACTTCTCCGTGTTTGGTTTCCCCACAGCAGATGGCAAAGGTTATTGAGAAGTTTTTACTGAAGAAAGGTATAAAGTAGGTATGGTGGAGAATAGAAGGAGATAGGACAATTCCAAAGTCATAAAGGTCATTCCAGACTGATTGGTGATGTGCAAAATGTCTCTGTTTTGTTTGTGATGTGGCTGGGATGAAAGAGGTTTTTTTTTTTTTGTGACCAGGGCTGGGCAGGGACAACTTCCTGTCTAGCACCTTCACACATACCTTCAGAGACCATTTCCTCCATCTTCCTTTTGTCCTGGGGAGCTCCCTTAGAATATGTGTCCACTTCTTGTCACTTTGAGTTGATGCTTTATAGACTCCTTGAAGGAAAGTTATAGGATGAAAATAGAAATAGAGCATCAGGGATCATTGTGTTGGGGATATCTTTAAGACATTCTAGAGTTTTAAAAGGTTCCATTTTGTAGATAATTCCTTGATCCTTTTTTTTTTTTTTTTTTTTTTTTTTTTGCAACAGTGTCTCGCTCTGTCACCAGGCTGGGGTGCAATGGCACAATATTGGCTCACAACAACTTCCACCTCCCGGATTCAAGCAATTCTCCTCCCTCGGCCTCCCAGGTAGCTGGGACTACAGGCACAAGCTATCACGCCTAGCTAATTTTTGTATTTTTAGTATAGACGGGGTTTCACCATGTTGGCCAGGATGGTCTCGATCTCTTGACCTCATGATCTGCCCTCCTCGGCCGCCCAAAGTGCTGGGATTACAAGTGTGAGCCACTGTGCCTGATGATCCTCTCTTTCTTGCTGGCTGAATATGCCAACCAAGGTGATTTTCTAAACACAAAGAGAAAAAATGCTGGGTTCCCCTGCCCGGGTTACCTGTTTCTTTCTCTAGTTATTAATGGTGCAAGCTTCTGTTCATCCTCACCTGATAGAATACAATGTAGTGGAAAAGCACAGGATATTTACATGAAAATAGATTTGGGGTGTTCAGTCCCCTGCAAGATGCTTGGTCCAAGAGAATGAGTTATTCACGTAGTAAATAACTAAGCCAGGCCGGGCACAGTGGCTCACACCTGTAATCTCAGCACTTTGGGAGGCTGAGGCTGGTGGATCACCTGAGTTCAGGAGTTTGAGACTAGCCTGGCCAACATAGCGAAACCTCATTTCTACTAAAAATACAAAAATTAGCCAAGCGTGGTGGCACACGCCTGTAATCCTAGCTACTCGGGAGGCTGAGGCAGAAAATCACTTGAGCCTGGGAGGCAGAGGTTGCAGTGAGCCGAGATAGTGCCACTGCACTCTAGCCTGGGCAACAGAGTGAGACTCCGTCTCAAAAAAACAAAACAAAACAAAACAAAAACTAGGCCCTTGCCACTAATCCTGAACACTGGGTACTGAAGGGAGTTGGGGTGCGAGGAGGATCTAACAGATTTCTAGAATTCCTTTGGGAGCTTGAGCTTGACAAGTGTTGCAAGACCCAAAGGCCATGACTGAGAGTGCCCAGGGCTGAGACATGAAGCAAAACCCAGGGTAAGTAGGCATCTCATTAGGCAAGTCTAATTTAGCATCTTTCACATCATTTTTTGTGTGATTTTTTAAAAAACTATGTTAGAGAATTACAGTGGTGCTGCTGCTGCTGCTGCTGTTGTTGTTGTTTTTCTTGGAAAGAGTATAAGATGTTGCCTTGGTTGAATTTGGAGGAAAAGGAAGAAAAAAATATGAGTGCAAGATCTGAGTGGTCACATTTTTTTTTCCTCTGGGTATTAAGAAATAAGGCAGGGCCAGGTGTGGTGGCTCATGCCTGTAATCCCAGCACTTTAGGAAGCCAAGATAGGCAGATCCCTTGAGCCCAGGGGTTTGAGACCAGCCTGAGCAACATGGCAAGACCCCATCTCTACAAAAAAATACAAAAATTAGGCAGGTGTGGAGGTGTATGCCTGCAGTCCCAGCTACTTAGGAGGCTGAGGTGGGAGGATCATTTGAACCCAGCAGCTGGAGACTGCAGTGAGTCATGATTGCACCCTTGCCCTTTAGCCTGGGTGACAGAGTGAGACTCTGCCTAAAAAAAAAAAAGAGAGAGAGAGAGAGAAAGACACAAGGCAGGACATTATGCACCTGGCATCCTTCAAAACCTTGTTACAGCAATAGCGGTGGGCAAGCATAGATGTCCTGACACTGAGGGCCTCAAAGTCAACATAAGGATGTGCATTTGGGAAGCCCAGGTAGTGAAAGGAAAAGGCAAATAAATCCTGTCCCCTCCTGCTCCCTGGCCAGGTCCACACAAAAGAGTCCATTAAACTAATTGGTGACAAAACTCCCAGCAGGGTTAGGTTTCTCCAACTTTCCCTAGAGGAGGATCTCAGATGGCCTCCTTCTGGCTCAGGGGAGCCAGGTCACAGTGACCCCTGGGGATGGGGGCCAGACCATGGCCTGGGAGCTGGAAAACAGCTCAGGCAAGTCATGCACCTTCTTTCTGAGTTTCCCCATCTGGGAACTGAAGGTCTTGGCCTAGAAACTCCTTTCAGCTCTAATTCTGTGTGTTTACACAAACTTTACAAAACAAAACAAAAAAACAAAAGCTCGCTCTAGGAAAACTGTTAACATTTATTAGATATCTACTACCATGTGCCAGCCACTTCACACTAACTCGTTGAATCCTCACAATCTAGGTATACTGGTATACAGGTATACTGTTTGCCCATTTTATAAATGAGGAAATAAGGTTCAGGAAATGCAACCAAAGTCATTACAAATAGGCAGTCATGTAGTTGGCCTTCACACTGAGGTCTGTCTGGGTCCGAAGTTCATTTCTTTCCACCACTCAGCCTCCCTATCTCCTTTATTTCTTTACCACTTTCAATTACAAGTCACTGACTCTGTCAAACATGCTAGGAAGGACAGTTGAAGCCATGCTGCACTCCCCTCAGCCTTCAGTCTCTGCTCTCCAACCTTTTTTTTCTTTTTTCTCGCTATCTCGCCCAGGCTGGAGTGCAGTGGTGTGATCTCAACTCACTGTAACCTCTGCCTCCTGGGTTCAAGTGGTTCTCCTGCGTCAGCCTCCGGAGTTGCTGTGACTATAGGCATGAGCCATCACACCTGGCTAATTTTTGTATTTTTAGTAGAGATGGGGTTTCACCATGTTGGCCAGGCTGGTCTTGAACTCCTGACTTCAGGTGATCCACCTGCCTCGGCCTCCCAAAGTGCTGGGATTACAGGTGTCCAAGCAACGTTGTTCTCTGGGCCATGCTGTATTTTGACTGCAAACATGGGTTGAACCCTTGCTTTGGGCCAGATGCTGTGCTGAGCAACTCCCATGCTCCTGCAGTATCATTACCACCCTATGAGATAGTCACCATGGTCAGCCCCACTGCACAGAGAATAGAACAGATCCAGCGAGCTCAGAAGCTGCACAAGTCAGATGGATTCCTTAGGCTCAGGGAACTTCCATCTGGGAAGTAAAGGTCTTGCCATATGCACTCATAGTGGGTAGTACGTTTTGTACGCTCATCTAGACCGATATCCCCCCTAATCCATGGCTCTGGGCAGCATCATGGAGTTTCTCTTTCATAATCCTGAAAGAGCAACCTGGGGTGGGGGAATTTTGTTCCCACACAACACGCTTGTGTATTGTTATAATTTATTAAATAACTTGTTGTATGACTTTATAATAAAAAGTTATTTATTTACTTGAGACAGGGTCTTGGTCTGTTGCTAAGGCTGCAGTGCAGTGCTGTGATCTTAGCTCACTGTAGTCTCAAACTCCTGGACTCAAGCGATCTTCCCTCCTCAGCATCCCAAGTAACTAGGACAACAGGCATGCACCACCACACCCAGCTAATTTTTAAATTTTTTATACAGATGGGGGTCTCACTATGTTGCCCAGGCTGGTCTAGAACTCCTGGGCTCAAGCCATCCACCCACCTCAGTCCCCCAGAGTGCTGGGATTACAGGTGTCAGCACCACGCCTGGCCTATAATGAGAAGGTTTTATTTTTATTTTTATTTTATTTTTGAGACGGAGTCTTACTGTGTCACCAAGACTGGAGTGCAATGGCACCATCTCGGCTCACTGCAACCTCTGCCTCCCAGGTTCAAGTGATTCTCCTGCCTCAGCCTCCTCAGTAGCTGGGATTACAGGTATCTGCCATCATGCCCAGCTAATTTTTGTATTTTTGTAGAGACGGGGTTTCACCATGTTGGCCAGGCTGGTCTTAAACTCCTGACTTCAGGTGATCTGCCCGCCTCAGCCTCCCAAGTGCTGGGATTACAGGCATGAGTCACAGAGCCCAGCTGAGAAGATTTTTTAATACTAAAAATAAGATATAATTTATTATAAAGACAAAGATAAGTTCTCATATCAAATAAAAGGAGAGAAAATTTCAGGGCCAGGTAAACATTTCAGATATTAGTCCCTCCTCTTCCTCCTGTGTTACAAAAAAATAGTTTGTTTTGTGAGAGGGGGAAAATCAGTAATTGGACCAAATAAAAAGTTTTTACAAATTCATTCACCCATTAAAAAATATATTGTTTTGCTTCCTGTACTAAGTTCAGTGGAGAATAGAAAAATGCATGAGCTTTCATCCCTACCCTCAAGGAATCTACCATCTCACCAGGGAGGTGACTAGAACACGATCATTTGAATAAATGCAGAAGTAAGGCTAGGCACAGTGGCTCACCTCTGTAATCCCAGCAGTTTAGGAGGCTGAGGCTGGAGAATGGTTTGAGTTTAAGAGTTCAAGACCAGCCTGAGCAACATAGTGAGACCACTGTCTCTCCAAAAAAAAAAAAAAAAAAAAAAATTAGCTGGACTTGGTGGTGCACACCTAGAGTCCCAGCTACTTGGGAGGCTGAGGTGGGAGGATCATCTGAGCCCAGGAGGTTGAGGCTGCAGTGAGCTGTGATAACACCACTGTGAGATCCTGTCTCAAAAAAAAAAAGCATGCATGGAAAAATTGAGACTCGGTGTAGGGGCACATCAGAAAGAGAAGGCAGTGCTTCAGTTGGATGCAGGAGATGGGAGGAGAAAGGGAGTGTGGAGAGGGGAGGAGAGGGGGCATGCATGCTGGAGGGGCACAGGGAAATGGAGGCTGGATAAGGGGATTGTTTTGGGGAGGTAAATCTGGACACATCAACTGGAGTCAGATTGGGTCTTTTTTTTTGAGACAGAGTCTTGCTCTGTCACCCAGGCTGGAGAGCAATGGCACCATCTTGGCTCACTGCAACCTTGGCTTCCCAGGTTCAAACAATTCACCTGCCTCAGCCTCCTGAGTAGCTGGGATTACAGACATGTGCCACCATGCCTGGATAATTTTTTCATTTTTAGTACAGATGGGGTTTCACCATATTGACCAGGCTGGTCTCGAAGTCCTAGCCTAAGGTGATCCGCTCACCTCGGCCTTCCAAAGTGCTGGGATTACAGGCATGAGCCACCACGCCCGGCCCAGATTGGGTCTTTAATGCCTAAGAAATGTGGACTAAACTGATGGCTGCTGTGTGTTTGTGGGTTTGTGGAGTCATGGTGCTAAGCAGCTAAGGAAGGCCACACAAGGGAGACAACTGGAAGAATGCAGAAGTGTTGGATGGCTGCCAGTCCCACTGCAGGGAAAGGCAACTGTAGAGGAAGAAAGAGAACAGGGTGAGGGGAGGCTGGGTGCCTGTGAAATGACTCCACTTCACTCCTCCTTGGGAAGCCTGCTCTCCTTTCCCTGGTCGCGGAGAGGCAGCTGCAAGATGCGAGTATTTACTGGAGAGATGAACAGAAATGCTTTACCTGTCCTATAAAGCTATTTCAGGACATGGATTCAGCAAAGATACAGCTTCCATCTTTTCATTTTAGTGAATTTCAAAGTCATATTTCCTTCTACTTTACTGGACATATTGGAGTGACACAAATCTGAGATTCATAGAATTTTAAAATGTTAGAGCTGGAGAAACTTCTATGTTTATAGGATATCTCTACAAACCCTTATTTATTTTTTATTTTATTTTTTTGAGACAGAGTCTTACTCTGTCACCCAGGCTGGAGTGCAGTGGTGTGATCTTGGCTCACTGCAACCTCCACCTCCCGGGTTCAAGTGATTCTCCTGCCTCAGCCTCCTGAGTAGCTGAGACTTCAGGTGTGTGCCACCATGTCTGGCTAATTTTTGTATTTTTAGTAGAGATAGAGTTTCACCATGTTGGCCAGGCTGGTCTCAAACTCCTGACCTCAGGGATCTGCCCACCTTGGTCTCCCAAAGTGCTGAGATTATAGGCGTGAGCCACCAAGCCCAGCCTACAAACCTTATTTAACATCTGACTTTCAACATTTGAATTTGAAGTCCTTTAAAATTGGGTAATGTTTCTTATAATCCTAGGAGGGAAAAGTAAGAGCTTTCTTTTCTCTTTGTTTTCTTCCTCCTTTTAATAAAAACAAATAGACAAAACTGTTTGTTAGATGGAACTTAAGAGAACTTTGTCAAGAGAGAACTTCAAGACGACCTGGAATATCTTTTTTTTTTTTTTTTTTTAGACAGAATTTCCTTCTGTTGCCCAGGCTGGAGTACAGTGGCTTGATCTTAGCTCACTGCAATCTTCTCCTCCCGGGCTCAAGCGATCCTCCCACCTCAGCCTCCCAAGTAGCTGGGACTACAGACACGCTTCTGAGCTCAAGCCATCCAACCGCCTCGGCCTCCCTAAATGCTGGGATTATAGGCATGGGCCAACCATGCCTGGCCAGCCTGGAATATTCTACGTTGACCTCACACACCACCCTTCCCAAAGTGGACTCAAATGCTAGAATCTGCCCTTACTGCAAAGAGAGAGAGGGCTTATCAGTCACTTTCATGAGTCACCCAGGCTGCTGCACATACTAACTATCCAATATGCAGCAACAAATCAGAAGCAGGCCAAGGTTCATGGCATACACACTTGAGCAATCCTCAGAGAGAGGCTGCCAGAAGCCACATGCATTCTACCCCCTCAGCGTTCCTCTCATCCGCCCTTCCTCATCAGCGAGGTGGCTTCCTTGGGGTCTTTCAGAGCTCAAGCGTGGGTGACATCCAGGAAGTGGGCTCTGCCCTTGAGCTCCCAGTGCAGGCCAGGAGCCTCCCTTCTCTAGTCCTGCCCCTTCCTTGGCACTCACACAAGGATTTTGTGACCTCCCTCTGCACCTCCTGAACACTAATTACAGGTGTGTGTCTACACACATGACTACCTCAGAAGCTACAGGACAGCCTCTGTGCACAGAATTCCTTAGGTAAGGGCGAGGGCACAATTGCACAAGCCTTGCCTCGGCCAAGTTTTCCACTAAAAACAAATTGTTACTTGGCAGCCAAAGCAATTAGGCCCAGTTCAGGAAATTATCTACCCCCGAATAGAGCACCAAAACAGTCTGGGACCACCAGCCTTCCCCACCGTCTTCACATGTGGTTCAATAGAACTGAGCAATGCATGTATTTGTTCACAACAATTTATGCAAGAGTTGGATTCAGGAATAAGCAGCTCAAAAATGTATTTATGGCTAACAAAATTAGATGGTTAGAGAAAGATGGGTGGTAGATGTGATGTTCTCAGAGTTAGTTAATTAGCATTACTAGTTTTCGAGCCCTACACTCTTCTTTTTTTTTTTTTTTTTTTTTGAGACAGAAGTCTCCCTCTGCCACCCATGCTGGAGTGCAGTGGCACGATCTTGGCTCACTGCAACCTCTGCCTCCTGGGTTGAACCGATTCTTATGCCTCAGCTTACCAAGTAGCTGGGACTACAGGCATGCACCACTACACCTGGCTAATTTTTGTATTTTTAGTAGAGATGGGGTTTCACCATGTTAGCCAGGCTGGTCTTGAAATCCTGACTTCAAGTGACCCACCAGCCTCAGCCTCCCAAAGTGCTGGATTATAGGCATGCGCCACCACACCCGGCCTTCTTATTATTATTTATAAGAAACCCCACCTTTACTAAGAGTACAAAAATTAGCTGGGCATGGTAGTGCACACCTGTAATCCCAGCTACAGGGAGGTTGAACTCGGGAGGCAGAGGCTGCAGTGAGCCAAGATTGCACCACTGTACTCCAGCCTGGGCAACAGAGTGAGACTCTGTGTAAAAACAACAACAACAAAAATTCTGAGAGGTGAGGGGACAAAAAGGGAGATGAAAATCAGATCCCAGAAGTACAAGCACATGCAGATGTGGAAGCGTGACAGTGCCGATACGAATCCCTGTGGAGAGTGCCCGTGGATGCATATGGGGAATAATAAGAGGTGAGTTCAGGGACAGTCCTGCAGACCATGCTACAGAGCTCCTGTTTTATCTTATGGGTGGGGAGCCATTCAAGAGTGTAAGCAGACAAGCAGGTTTGTGTCTGGGCAAGAGCATTCTGGATGCTAAATCCACAAGGGGTTGGAGAGGGGCACCATCAGCGTCAGGGAGACCAGACAGCCTGTAGCAGTGACCAGGTGAGGGATGATCTGGGCTTTGGTTGTAGCTTGGGTGTAGACAGAAGAAGGTAACCTAGAGGTACATTGTGGGGATAAAATCCATAGGACTAGCTATGGATTGCATATAGGAGGTGAGCAAAAAGGAAAAATTAAAATACTTAAGTGGGCCAGGTGCAGTGGCTTACACCTGTAATCCTAGCACTTTGGGAGGCCGAGTTGGGTGGATTGCTTGAGGTCAGGAGTTTGAGACCAGCCTGGCCAACATGGCGAAACCCCATCTCTATTAAAAATACAAAAATTAGCTGGGCACGTTGGCGCATGCCTGTAACCCCACCTTTTTGGGAGGCTGAGGCAGGAGAACTACTTGAACCCAGAAGGCAGAAGTTGCAGTGAGCTGAGATCATGCCACTGCACTTCAGCCTGGGTGACAGAGCAAGGCTCCGTCTCAAAAACAAATCAAAAAACCAAAAAAACAAAAAAAAAAACACTGAAGTGTCTTGCTTGGGCACTAGGTAGATGCCATTTGTGATGATGGTGCAATGGACTGCATGTTTGCATCCACCCCCCAAAATTCCCAATATGATGGTAATAGGAGGTGGGGCCTTTGAGAGGTAATTAGGTCGTGAGGGTGGATCCCCCCACGAATGAGATTAGTGTCATAAAAGAGACTCCAGAGAGCTCCCTTCAGCCCTCTTCCCACCTTGTGAGGACACGATGAGAAGTCGGCAGTCTGCAACCTGGATGAAGGACTTCACCAGAATCCTACATGCTTGGACCCTGATCTCAGACTTCTAGCCCCCAGAACTGTGAGAAATATATTGCTGCTGTTTATAAGCCACCCAGTCTAAGGTACTTAGCCATAATAGCCCAAACTAAGACAGATATAAAGACTGGGGAGAAGGGTGGAGGGTGTGCTCAGGATGAATTAGGAAAAATCCATCGTTAAGCCTGGAATGCTTACAGGAAACTTAAAATATGCCTGGGGCAAGCCTAGAGAACAATTTAGGAACACTCATGCTTGCCCAGGACCAGACACTGTATTATCCACCTCAAAACTCTGTGTCCTGCGTTTTCCTTTTAGATAGAAAACAAAACCAAAACCCCCCAAAATCCTTTGTGGTTCCCTTTTGCCTAAGCATGGGTTTTAACCTGGATGTGCCCCTGAATCACATTTGAGCTCTCTGGATGCATATCACTTCTTATCTTTTTTTTTTTTTTATACAAGGTCTTGCTCTGTCACCCAGGCTGGAGTGCTGAGGCGCTATCATGGCCAGGCTAGAGTGCAGTGGCGCGATCTCCGCTCACTGCAACCTCCGCCTCCTGGGTTCAAGTGATTCTTCTGCCTCAGCCCCCCAGTAGCTGGGATTACAGCCATGCACCAGTATGTCCAGCTAATTTTTGCATTTTTAGTAGAGGCAGGGTTTTACCATGTTGGCCAGGCTGGTCTCAAACTCCTGCCTTCAAGTGGTCTGCCTGCTTCAGTCTCCCAAAGTGCTGGGATTACAGGCAAGAGCCACTGCACCCGGCCAATTAAAAAATTTTTGTTTCCTAGAGATGGGGTCCCTATGTTGCCCATGCTGGTCATTTAACTCCTGGGCTCCAGTAATCCTCCTTCCTCAGCCTCCAAAGTACTGGGATTATAGATGTGGGACACTGTGCCTGGCCACACCTTTTATCTAAAGGGCTGGGCCCTCTTCTACATGTAGGACACAGAATCGGCCCTGGGTAGGCTGGTTGCACCTGGCAGTTTTTCAAGTACTGTTTATATATTTAAAATTTTCTGTTTGCAAAAGCAATGTATACACATTGTAAAAATTCAAATCATGTGGAAATGTAAACACACACACACACTCCAAAAAACAAAGAACAACAAAACAGAAACCAGGAGTCCCTCCTAAACCCCACTCGCCTGCCCCCACACCTCCCATCAAGGTTTGTTCTTTTTTTTTTTTTTTTCAGTTGAGACAGTCTCACTCTGTTGCCCAAGCTGGAGTGCAGTGGCGTGATCTCAGCTCACTGCAACCTCTGCTTCCCAGGTTCAAGCAATTCTCCTGCCTCAGACTCCCCAGTAGCTGGGATTATAGGCATGCACCACCACGCCCAGCTAATTTTTGTATTTTTAGTAGAGACGGGGTTTTGTCATGTTGGCCAGGCTGGTCTCGAACCCCTGACCTCAGGTGATCTGCCTGCCTCGGATTCCCAAAGTGCTGGGATTACAGGCATGAGCCACCGCGCCCGGCCTAAGATTTGTTCTTAATGTGATGGTGTAATTGGCCAGATCTGGATCTGAAATTGATGCATCCTTTCCGAATCATACTTGTGGGTTGCCAGCAAACAGCCTTGCATGGGAAACTCCCCTTCCTGAGTCACTTGGGGGAAAGCTGAGATGGCCTGAAATTCTAAGAAGGTGTAGGAACTGCAGTGTCAGGAGGGGAAGACTGCAAGACTGCCAACTTGCTGAAATGTGCACAGGGCCAGCCGCCAGGACCATCCCCTCAGTACCCCTGAGCCAGTTAGGAAGTCTGCAACTACTCTACTTACTTTCATTTTTAAAAATCAACACTTCAATTATTTTTATATAAGTAAAATTTTTTTTTAGACACAGAGTCTTGCTCTGTTGTCCAGGTGAATGCAGTGGTGTGATCATAGTTTACTGCAGCCTCAAACTCTTGGGCTCAAGCAAGTCTCCTGTCTGAGCCTCCTGAGTAGCTGGAATTACATTCATATGCCACCATGCCCGGCTAATTTTTTAAACTTTTGTAGAGATGAAGTCTGGCTATGTTGCCCAGGCTAGTCTCAAACTCCTGGGGTCAAGTGATCCTCCTGCCTTGGCCTTCCAAAGCTCTGGGATGACAGACATGAGTCAGTGTGTCCAGTTGTCAATTATTTTAAAATATACAATGGCTGGGCGCAGCAGCTCATGCCTGTAATCCCAGCACTTTGAGAGGCCAAGGTGGGTGGATTGCCTGAGGTCGGGAGTTCGAGACCAGCCTGGCCAACATGGAGAAACCCCACCTCTGCTAAAACTACCAAAAAAAAAAAAAAAAAAACAAAACTAGCTGGGCATGGTGGTGCAAGCCTGTAATCCCAGATACTCGGGAGGCGGAAGCAGGAGAATCACTTGAACCTGGGAGGTGGAGGTTGCGGTGAGCCGAGATTGTGCCACTGCACTCCAGCCTGGGCAACAAGAGTGAAACTTCATCTAAAAAATATATATATATACACAAACAATACATGCTCATAGAGTATTGTATATTTTGGGCTCTGTCGCCCAGGCTGGAGTGCATTGTCACGATCTTGGCTCACTGCAACCTCTGTCTCCCGGGTTCAAACGATTTTTCCGCCTCAGCCTCCCGAGTAGCTGGGATTACAGGCACCCTCATCGTGCCCAGCTAATTCTCATATTTTTGTAGAGACAGGGTTTCACTGTGTTGGCCAGGCTAGTCTTGAACTCCTGACCTCAGGTGATCTGCCCACCTCAGTCTCCCAAAGTGTTGGGATTACAGGCGTAAGCCACCGTGACCAGCCTAGAGGTGCTATCTTAGCTGAAATCTGAACAATGAGTAGGGTTAATCAGGCAAGATGGAGAGTGTATTAGGAACAGGAAACTATAAAGTGCAAAGACTGGAAGGCAGATAGAGGATGGCCCACTGAAAAAATGGAAAGAAATAGTATTTGCAAGAGTTGAAGGACGTATCAGCTAAGCCTTTATACTTTCTCAAGTCAGACTGCCTGGGTGCAAATTCTAACTGCTACTCACTGACTGTATGACCTCAGGCAAATTTCATAACCCCTCTGGGCTCAGCTCCCTCATCTATAAAATGGGCTGGGTTATTTAATCTCCTTCATAGAAAATATACATATATATATTTATTTTCTTTTTCTTTTTCTTTTTTTTTTATTTTTGAGACCGAGTCTCGCTCTGTCACCCAGGCTGGAGTGCAGTGGCGCAATCTTGGCTCACCGCAGCCTCCACCTCCTGGGTTCATGTGATTCTCCTGCTTCAGCATCTCGAGTAGCTGGGATTACAGGTGTGCGCTACCATGCCCAGCTAATTTTTGTATTTTTAGTAGAGACGGAGTTTCACCATGTTGACCAGACTGGTGTTGAACTCCTGACCTCAGGCAGTCCTCCCACCTCAGCCTCCCAAAGTGTTGGGATTACAGGAGTAAGCCACTGCACCCGGCTTTCATAGAATTTTAAATGAGACAGTGTAGGTGAAACTGCTTAGAATAGTGCCTGGCTCATGGTAAGCACAAAATAAGTCTTCGTTGTTTTTTCTTCAAGTTTTATTAAACTTGAACTGACGTGAAAGTCTAGGGTTGGGGGCACGAGGTGAAACTAGAAGGCAAAGCTGAAGAGGGAAGCACAGGGCGGTTCTTGAAGGGCCTTCTTTTTTTTTTTCAAAGAACAAAAATGTGATTGGGGTTATTTATTAGAAGAGCTCGCCAATTCATTTCATTTTTTTTTTTTTTTAGTATTTATTGATCATTCTTGGGTGTTTCTCGGAGAGGGAGATTTGGCAGGGTCATAGGACAATAGTGGAGGGAAGGTCAGCAGATAAACATGAGAACAAGGGCCTCTGGTTTTCCTAGGCAGAGGACCCTGCGGCCTTCCGCAGCGTTTGTGTCCCTGGGTACTTGAGATTAGGGAGTGGTGATGACTCTTAACGAGCATGCTACCTTCAAGCATCTGTTTAACAAAGCACATCTTGCACCGCCCTTAATCCATTTAACCAGGAGTGGACACAGCACATGTTTCAGAGAGCACGGGGTTGGGGGTGAGGTTATAGATTTAACAGCATCCCAAGGCAGAAGAATTTTTCTTAGTACAGAACAAAATGGAGTCTCCTATGTCTACTTCTTTCTACACAGACACAGTAACAATCTGATCTCTCTTTCTTTTCCCCACATTTCTCCCTTTTCTATTCGACAAAACCGCCATCGTCATCATGGCCCGTTCTCAATGAGCTGTTGGGTACACCTCCCAAAAGGGGTGGCGGCCGGGCAGAGGGGCCCCTCACTTCCCAGACGGGGCGGCTGCCGGGGGGAGGGGCTCCTCACTTCTCAGGGCGGCCGGGCAGAGACGCTCCTTACCTCCCAGACGGGGTGGCGGTCTGGCAGAGACACTCCTCAGTTCCCAGACGGGGTCGCAGCCGGGCAGAGGCACTCCTCACATCCCAGACAGGGCCGCGGGGCAGAGGCGCTCCCCACATCTCAGACGACGGGCGACCGGGCAGAGACGCTCCTCACTTCCCAGACGGGATGGCGGCCGGGAAGAGGCGATCCTCACTTCCCAGACTGGGCGGCCGGGCAGAGGGGCTCCTCACATCCCAGACGATGGGCGGCCAGGCAGAGACGCTCCTCACTTCCCAGACGGGGTGGCGGCCGGGCAGAGGCTGCAATCTCGGCGCTTTGGGAGGCCAAGGCAGGCGGCTGGGAGGTGGAGGTTGTAGCTAGCCGAGATCACGCCACTGCACTCCAGCCTGGGCAACATTGAGCACTGAGTGAGCGAGACTCCGCCTGCAATCCCGGCACCTCAGGAGGCCGAGGCGGGCAGATCACTCGCGGTCAGGAGCTGGAGACCAGCCCGGCCAACACGGCAAAACTCGGTCTCCACCAAAAAATACAAAAACCAGTCAGGCGTGGCGGCACGCGCCTGCAATCCCAGGCACTGGGCAGGCTGAGGCAGGAGAATCAGGCAGGGAGGCTGCAGTGAGCCGAGATGGCGGCAGTACAGTCCACCTTGGGCTCGGCATCAGAGGGAGACCGTGGAAAGTGGGAGACAGAGACGGGGAGGGAGAGGGAAACGGGGAGGGAGAGGGAGACGGGGAGGGAGAGGGAGACGGGGAGGGAGAGGGAGACGGGGAGGGAGAGGGAGACGGGGAGGGAGAGGGAGAGAGGGAGAGAGGGAGAGGGCAGGGCCTTCTAATTCATGGTAAGAGGTTGGGACTTTTCTCCTGCAGGGGAATAAATCAATTTCAGGGAACCAAAGAGAAACTAGGAGTGAGGAAAGGCCCATGAAAGTCCTTGTTGAAAGAGCAAGCTCTTGGTGGTAAGTGTTCACCAAGTGCCTATGGTAGACAGACAGGTACAGGCTGGGAGACCTGAGCTTGAATAACTGCTCTGCCAAGGCAGGTGGGGACAAGTGGCATCACTTCTCTGGGCCTGCACCCTCAACTGAGATGGATTTTTTTCGGGGACTGAATGAGAGGGGGAAAGCCAGATGCCTCCTTTCTGCGGTACCCAGCAGAAAGCATGGGTTTGATGTTGGCTGGTGCCTGTGCCCTCAGTCCACACATACATCTTGAGTGTAACAGCTTCAGAATTCTTATTCTACTGCCTTCTCAGCCCTCTTTTTTACTGATATCTGGTGATTATGCAGGATGAACCTCCCCACATTCACCTACCCTAGTTAGAACCATGTTCTGGAGGCTGGACTCCCAACTGCAACTCCGTGTAGCCTGAGCTCTGTCCGGTCGGTGAGTGGTCTGTACATCTCCAGCATCTTACCCCAAACATAGTGATTCTAACTTGATTCAGTGAAATATGCCAATTAGCACTTGTCTGGGAGAAAAGAGGTTCAAATCAAACAAGTTATGCTGGAGTGTGAGACCAGTCTGGGCAATGCTGCAAGACCCTGTCTCTACAAAAAAATAGAAAAACTTAGCAAGGTATGGTGTTGCACAGCTGTATTCCCAGCTGTTTGGGAGGCTTAGTTGAAAGGATCACTTGTGCTGCAGGAGTTAGAGGCTACAGTGAGCTAAAAAAGAATCTAGTTTGAGTCAGTTCAAGTGAGATCCCTGTCTCAAAAATAAATAAATAAAATAAAATAGGCCGGGTGCGGTGGCTCAAGCCTGTAATCCCAGCACTTTGGGAGGCCGAGGTGGGTGGCTCACCTTAGGTCAGGATTTTGAGACCAGCATGTTGATGCTGAAACCCTGCCTCTACTAAAAATACAAAAATTAGCCAGGAGTGGTGCTGGGTACCTATAATAATCTCAGCTACTTGGGATGCTGAGGCAGGACAATTGCTTGAACCCGGGAGGCAAAGTTTGCAGTGAGCCGAGATCATGCCACTTCACTCCAGCCTGGGCAAAAGAGCGAAACTCTGTCTCATAAAAAAATAAATAAATAAAAATAAAATAAAGCCAGAAACAATAAATCTATGATTTTTTGCTAGTCATAGTACTACCATTTTTACTTATGAGTTAAGTAATCCTGAAATAGTAATCGTGTTTTATTAGTTCATCTTCAGTGTCCGGGAAATAGTTAATTGAGTGGAGTAACACAGACATTTATTGAGGTCCTTCTCTGTGCCAGACCTTGGTCTATCCACTGAGGATACAAAGATAAGCAGGACTCAGAGAGTCAGTCTCAGTTACTGGAGTACAAGGTCTGTAGGGGAAGAGGACAAATTATTATATTTTATACTAAATACTAGAGTAGAGGTTATGAACAGTTCCAGGAGAGCCTGCAGGCAAAGCTGCTGGCGTACATCTGTATAGGTTGCACACTGCACAACTCCAGGGCACCACTAACATAGACCAGGGTTTGGCAAACTTGTTCTGTAAATGGCTGGATTTTATATATATATATATATATATATATATATATATATATATATATATAAAATATTATTTTATTTTTTTTTTTCCAGACGGAGTCTTGCTCTCTCACCCAGGCTGGAGTGCAGTGGCACCATCTTGGCTCACTGCAACCTCTGCCTCTTGGGTTCAAGCAATTCTCCTGCCTCAGCCTCTGGAGTGGCTGTGATTACAGGCGTGCGCCATCATGCCTGGCTAATTTTTGTATTTTTAGTAGATACAGGGTTTTACCATGTTGCCCAGGCTGGTCTCGAACCCCTGACCTCGAGATCCTCCTGCCTTGGCCTCCCAAAATGATGGGATTACAGGTGTGAGCTACTGCACCCAGCCAATAGTAAATATTTTATGCTTTGTGGGCCACCATCTCTGCTCTTGTAGCACGAAAGTAGCAATAGACAATATGTAAACAAATAAGCATGGCTGTATTCCACTTTTCATTTTACTTTTAAATTATTTACATCTGTTCAAAAATGAAAATCATTCTTAGTTCATGCAACACACAAAAACAGGTGGTGGGCTGGATTTGTGGATTTGGCCTATGGGCTGGACTTTGCTGATCCTGACATAGATGACCATGAGAATCACCTCCCTTGGAGTTGTACAGCAGGAGGGCCCTGTCTGGAGGTGATCTTAGACAGGCTTCACTCAGAAGTTTCTGTCTGAGCTAGGGTTTTTTTTTTTTTTTGAGACAGAGTCTCACTCTGCTGCCCAGTCTAAAATGCAGTGGTACAATCACAGCTCACTGCAGCCTCAGCCTCCTGGGCTCAAGTGATCCTCCCACCTCAGCCTCCCAAGTAGCTGGGATTACAGGCACACAGCACCATGCCCGGCTAATTTTTGTATTTTTCGTAGGGACGGGGTTTCACCATGTTGCCCAGGCTGGTCTCGAACTCCTGAGCTCAAGCCATCTTCCCACCTTGTCCTCCCAAAGTGCTGGGATTAAAGGCGTGAGCCACTGCACCCTGCCTGAGCTAGGTTTTAAAGGATAAGTAGGTACTGAGTAGGGACACTTCAGGGAAGGGATTATAAGAGAGAACAGCATGGGCAAAGGCACAGGATGGCTGCACTGGAGGGGACAGAGGGAAATGGGACCCAGAAAGATAGGGTGGAGACTGACTGTGAAGGGTCTTGAATGCCATACTTCAAAGTGCAGGCTCTGTCCTGTGGGCAATAGGGAGTCATTCAAGGTTTTAAACAGAAAGTGACATGGTCCAGGATTGCATCATAGGGAGTGAAATGGAAAATGGAAAGCCCAGTTAGGAGGCATGCAAATCAGTCAGAGAGGAGACGGTGAGTGCCAGGTGCAGTGAGTGCCAGGTGCAGTGGCTGGAGCCTGTAATTGCAACTACTCAGGAGGCTGAGGTGGGAGGATGGCTTGAGCCCAGGAGTTTGAGACCAGCCTGGCCAACATAGCAAGACCCTCTCTTTACAAAAAATAGTGCCATAGTGCCAGCTACTCAGGAGGTTGAAGGAGGAGGATGGCTTGAGTCCAGGAGTTTGAGGCTGCAGTGAGCTATGATTGTGCCACTGCACTCCAGCCTGGGCCACAGAGCAAGACCTTGTCTCTTGAAAAAAAAAAAAAAAAAAAGGAGATGGCTAGGACCTAAATAAGCAGGCACAGGGGAGTTAGAGAGAATTCAAAAGTAAACTGGAAAAAAAGGTCAACATCCTTAGCCATTAGGAATTATAACCACATAAGATACCACTTGACATCCACTGCAATGGCTATACTGAAAAAGATAATAAAAAGTGTCGGCAAGGATGTGGAGAAATTGGAACCCTCACCACTGCTGGTGAGAATGGGAAATGGTGCAGCTGCTTTGGGAAACAGTCTGACAGTTCCTCAAAGAAAGCTGCCATATGACCCAGCAATTACACTCCTGAGCATATACCAAGAAAACTGAAAATATATGTTCACGTGAAAACTTGAGCACGAATATTCATGGAAGCATTCATATGGCTATTCATAATAGTCATGAAGTAGTAATGACCTAAATGTCCACCAACCGATGCATGGAGAAATAAAATGTGGTCTATTTATACAATGGAATATTACTTATCAACAAAAAAGAATAGCTGGGCCTGGTGGCTCATGCCTGTAATCCCAGCACTTTGGGAGGCTGAGGCGGGTGGATCACTTGAGGTCAGGAATTCGAGACCAGCCTGGCCAACATGGTGAAACCCTGTCTCTACTAAACATACAAAAATTAGCCGGGTGTGGTGGCATGCGCCTGTAGTCCCAGCTACTAGGGAGGCTGAGGCAGGAGATCACTTGAACCCTGGAGGCAGAGGTTGCAGTGAGCCGTGATCACGCCACTGCACTCCAGACTGGGTTACAGAGAGAGATTCCATCTCAAAAAAAAAAAAAAGAAAGAAAGAAAAACATAAAACAAAAGAACAAAAAACAAGAATATATCCTGCAACATAAATGAACCTTGAAAACATGATAGGCCAGGTACAGTAGCTCACAGCTGTAATCTCGGCACTTTGGAGGGCATAGGTAGGAGGACTGAGACCAGCCTGGGCAACACAGGGGGACTCTGTCTCTATAAAACAAAACAAAACAAACAAAAAAAACCCCATTATGCTAACGAAAGAAGCCAGTCACAGAAGACCAAAGATATGATTCCATTTGTGGGAAATGTCCAGAATAAACAAATCTATATAAAGATAAGTGGTTTCCCAGGGCTGGGGAAGTGGGTGGGGTAATGAAGGATGATTGCCAAAGGTTATACAGTTTTTTGGGGGGTTAAATAAAATGTCCTAAAATTGGTTGTGTTGATGGTTGCACACCTGTGGAAGAAACGAAAAATGATTGAATTGTACATTTTAAATGTGTGAAATGTATAATATGTGAATTATATCTCAATAAAGCTATTTTAAAAGATTACATGAGGCTGGGCATGGTGGCTCATGCCTGTAATCCCATCACTTTGGGAGGCCGAGGCGGGCAGATCACGAGGTCAGGAGTTCAAGACCAGCCTGACCAACATGGTGAAACCCCTTCTCTACTAAAAATACAAAAATTAGCCTAGCATGGTGGCGTGCATCTGTAATTCCAGCTACTCAGGAGGTTGAGGCAGGAGAATCACTTGAACCCGGGAGGCGGAGGTTACCGTGAGCTGAGATCACGCCACTGTACTCCAGCCTGGGTGACAGAGCAAGACTCCATCTCAAAAAAAAAAAAGTTACATGAATGCAACTCAAGAAGCGTAATTATCTCTCTGCATCTCTAAATAAATGATCTGTCAAATGCAATTTAAACCACTCATCGTTGGTTTTAAAATACATGCAGTTTTTGTAATTTAGATTTCTGCATTTTGTTTAATTTAATGCAATGCATATGTGTTCATCTTAGCAATGATATTCCAAAATTCACTCATAAAAAAACTAGAACATTGTAGCCAATAGGGAATTATACATGCAGCAGATCAGATTCAGACTGTGTGGACCTTGCTCTGACTTAGTCCTCACATCTAGTCAGCCAGCCATGCAGACCTTTTCATTTTATTCTGTGTATGTGGGCTTTGAGGGGGGCGGGAATGGAGGGAGTATTATACAATAACAGCTTTATTGATATATAATTCACATACCATACAATTCACTCTTTTTAAGTGTAAAATTCAGGCTGGACACGGATGCTCATGGGTAATCCCAGCACTTTGGGAGGCCAAGGCGGGCAGCTTGCCTGAGCCCAGGAGTTCGAGACCAGCCTGGCAACATGGTGAAACTCCACATCCACAAATAATACAAAAATTAGCCAGGCATAGTGGCATGTGCTTATAGTCACAGCTACTCGGGAGGCTGAGAGGTGGGAGGATTGCTTGAGCCTGGTGGGTTGCAGCTGCAGTGAGCCATGATCGTGCCACTGTACTCCAGCCTGAGTGACAGAGTGTGACCCTGTCTCTAACAACAACAATAAAGTGTACAATTCAATTTTTTTTAGTATATTCATAGAATTGTGCAATGGTCATCACAAATTATTTTTAAAACATTTCGCCATTAAAAAGAAACCCCATATCCATTAGCTATCACCCTTCATTCCCAGATCCCCCAGCCCCCCACCCCTAGGCAACCATTAATCTACTTTCTGTCTGTATAGATTTGCCCATTCTGGACATTTCAAATAAGTGGAGTCAATATAATACATAGCCTTTCATGACTGGCTTCTTTTACTTAACATGTTTTCTTTTCTTTTTCTTTTTCTTATTTATTTATTTTTTTGAGACAGAGTCTTGCTCTATTGCCCAGGCTGGAGTGCAATAGCATGATCTTGGCTCACCACAACCTCCACCTCCTGTCTCAGCCTCCCAAGTAGCTGAGATTACAGGCATGTACCACCGTGCCTGGCTAATTCTGTAGTTTTAGTAGAGACAGGGTCTCTCCATGTTGGTCAGGCTGGTCTCAAACTCACAAACTCAGGTGATCTGCCCACTTCAGCCTCCCAAAGTGCTGGGATTACAGGCGTGAGCCACCATGCCCAGCCTAATCTTTGTATTTTTAGTAGAGATAGGGTTTCACCATGTTGGCTACGCTGGTCTCAAACTCCTGACCTCAGGTGATCTGCCCACCTTGGCCTCCCAAACTGCTAGAATGACAGGCATGGGCCACTGCATCTGGCCCTAACATAATGTTTTCAAAGTTCATAAATGTAGCATGTATTAGTTCTTTGTTCCTTTTTATTGGTGAATAATAATCCATTGTATGGTTATCTTGCATGTTATTTATCCATTTATTAGTTGACGGACATTTGGTTGTTTCTACTTTTTGGTTATTATGAATAAAGCTTCTGTGAACATGTAAAAATTTTTCTGTGGATATACATTTTCATTTTTGGGGGGTACATAACCAGGATTGAAATTGCTGGATCAAATATAACTGTTTTATAACAGCATAGTAGTATTACTTTAGATATTTGATAGAAATAGATTTCAGAGTCTGTTGACTCCAGTTGTCATATGGTGAATTTCTTTCAGTCTAGGGTACTCAGCCACGCAAATAACCACACTTTTAGATATGGATACACACATGGCGAAAGACTGCTTGACTACATAATGCACGAATGCAGCTCTCATTTTTAACCGGAGATAAGCACCTAATAGCATTATGATGCCTTAAAGGGGAACCTTGCCATGCAGTCATCAACCTGTACCTTTTAATTACAACTCATGACAATTACAATGTGGTATTTCCCCTTCCAAATCAAGATGAGAGAGGGTACAGATAACCATGTCCCTTTTTCTTTCTTCTTACATGCTTGTTTGTTTTTGACAAAGGAAACAAACAGAACTAATGATGTAGTAATTTCAGCAGGCCTGGCTCCCACGTTTGGGGAATTTGGTGCAGCCCTGTACCAGTAGTCCTGAGAATTTTCACTCAGCATTCTCATTGCTTTTTTTCTCTTAATTATGGTAAAATATATGCAATATAAAATATGTGATTTTGACTCTTTTTAAGTGCACCATTTAGTGGCATTAATGACATTCACAATATTGCAGAGCCATCACCACTATGTCTGAAATTTTTCCATTACCAAGAACAGAAACTCTGTACCCCTTAGGAAGAACCTCGGCTCAAGTGATCCTCCTGCCTTGGCCTTCTGAGTAGCTGGGATTACAGGCTTGCACCACCATGCCTTGCTACCCTGTATCTTTTTAACAAAAAGTTCTTACTTTCAAGTGTACCTGGGTTCATTTTGTACCAGTTTGAGACAGGGTCTCACCCTGTCACCCAAGCTGGAGTGACACCATCACAGTGGCTCACACCTGTAATCCCAGCACTTTGGGAAGCCGAGGCAGGTGGATCACTTGAGGTCAGGAGTTCGAGATCAGCCTGGCCAACATGACGAAACCTGGTCTCTACAAAAATACAAAAATTAGCTGGGTGTGGTAGCACCTGTAATCCCAGCTACTCGGGAGGCTGAGGTAGGAGAATTGCTTGAATCTAGGAGGCAGAGGTTTCAGTGAGCTGAGATCATGCTACTGCATTCCAGCCTGGGTGACAGAGTAAGACCCTGTCTCAAAAAAAAAAAAAATTAAAATTAAAAAATAAAAGTATTTTTTAAAAAGCTTTACATTTTCACGAAGTCCAATTTATCTATGTTTTTGTTGCTTTTACTTTTGGTGTCAGATCTTAGAGTCCATGGTCACCTCATCACTCTTTTTTTCCTTTAACACCTACAAAGCTTCCGGACCTCATGTCTCCTATGCAGGAGAGGCAGGACGTGTAGATGTCCTACAAAATAACCGTGGTGGAAGTGGCAAGTCAATTATCTTTCTAATACAGAAAATATTTAGAAAGCCACATATTTACACTGAATATGGGCTAAAACAGCATTTGTATTTTCTTTGACAAAGCTCATATTTAATGAAGTATGTTTATGTTGCTCTGAGAACCTAAGTTCATTTTCATCAATTATTTGTTTGGGTCTCTATCAAAGTGGACAATATGAAAGGTGTCTGCCTAGCCCAGAAACCATTGTTCCTCCTAGGAAACTGCCCCCACAATGTCCTCTCCCACCTTGGTGGCTCCCTGGAAGCCACATTTGTACCTCATGATCCCACTCCCTGGTCAGGACCCAGCCTGGCCAACCAATTCTGTCCTGAGAATCTGTCTTTGAGACTGAGAAATGACGTGTTCATTACTGCAGGGGACCATGGGACTGCCTCATCCTGCCATTTGATTTGAATTAAGTAGACTTCATTCCCTGCCTTGAGATCCATGTAAGAGATCCCTGTATTTATCTGTTTTCTTGAAACAGGGTCTTGCTCTGTTGCCCAAGCTGGAGCACAGTGGTGCGATCTCGGCTCACTGCAACTTCTGCCTCCTGGGCACAAGTTATTCTCCTGCCTTGGCCTTCTGAGTAGCTGGGATTACAAGCATGCACCACTGTGCCTGGCTACCCTGTATTTTTTAGTAAAAAGTTCTTATTTTCAAGTGTATCTGGGTTCATTTTGTACCAGTATGATTTTTTTTTTTTTTTTTTTTTGAGACAGGGTCTCACTCTGTCACCCAGGCTGGAGTGCAGGTCTGTCACTGTAGCCTTGAACTCCCAGGCTCAAGCCATCCTCCCAACCAACCTCAGCCTCCTGAGCAGCTGGGACTACAGCCACATGCCACCACGCCTGGCTAATTTTTGTATTATTTATAGAGATGGGGTTTTATCATGCTGCCCAGGCTGATCTCAAACTCCTGAGCTCAAGTGCTCCTCCTTCCTTGTCCTCCCTAACTGCTGGGATTACAAGTGTGAGCCACTGTGCCCAGCCTGATATTTTGAAATAATGTGTATGTTCCCATACTGGTGGGCTGGCTTCTCTCCCTGCAGGTACCCCATCTGCAACCAGAGTTGAGCTGTGAAACTGCAGTCAGAGAGGAGGGTATGGCTTAGTGCAAATGTGGAAGTCTCAGTCATACAGAAGAAAATGAAAAGCCTGTTCTTTCCTCTTCACAGGATTGTGAGAAGCAGGGATCTTGAGGTAGGTGAGATGGTTGGGCCCTTCATGTTTGTTTCTCTTTGGGGCTCTGCCTAGGTGAGAAGGGGATTCAGGCTCACCCAGCTGGGAGCAATGGAGCCTGAAGACATGAAGGCTCATGATTTGCTTCCCTGGACACTGTCTGGGGGAGGCTGCCAGCCCTGGGAGGCCTATCCTGTGGTTTGGCAACATTTTTAACAAGAGACTGAAGAGAACGTGGTGTCAAACACAGCTACAAAAATGAGTCTAGGGCAGAACCCCTTGGCTCTTCAAGGTGTGGCATTCAGGGACCTGGAGGTTTCCCCAGGTCCCAGCAAGGAGATGCAGAGAGCCTGAGAGAGCCTGTGGACCCTCAGAGGCCTGGCTGGGTGCTGAGGCCTCTATGGCCCAGAGCACGGATGGTGCCAGACGTACACTCACACTTCAGCATCGCCAGTCCCAGGGGCAGGGGCAGGGAGATGCTCAGCTTCAGAGACCAATGCACGTCCATAGGACCCTACCTAGATGGGAATGACCCTTCTGTCATCTCCAGGACTCAGTGACCCTCTGTACCAAGGCACCATCCTGGGGAAGAGAAGGGGTGGGCCTTAAAGTAGCTGAGAAATCATTGCCCTGGGCTCCTGTTTGCCAGACACAGACACAGATGGAGCAGACGCAGCTCTCCTTTCTCACCCTCACCTCTCTGCAATGTAAAGAGCTCATCGGACACTGAAAAACTAAAGAAGCCATGTTCGCTTTGCATTCTGGGTGTTCTGTGAACTCCAATTTAGACCAGACTATACTAAAAGCTCCAGAATCCAAAACCAACAGACATTGTTCTCAGGGGCCAGAAAAGTTAATCCAAAAGATACCAATGACTCCCTTGTTTCTCCTGCCTATCCTGCCTCCCTCCACCTCTCCCTCTCTCCTGTCTTTCCCTCATTCCTCAGTAGGTCTCAAATGCCCTATTGGAGGTCAGGCTCTGGAGATTCCAAGATGACCACACAATCCCTCCTCCGTGGAATTCACAGTTCTGAGACAAGACAGAGACCAAGCAGCTCCAAGCCGGGTAATTAACACCAACACTGAGGTGTCCACGGGGGCTCTGGGAGCAGAGAGGGGAGCCTCTTCTCTCTGCTTGGGCAGGTGTGAGGGCAAGCGTGTGAGTTTCACAAGAATGTGTGTACCTCTTGTATAGATGTGGGTGTCTGTGGTAGATGCAAACAGTTACCTACCCCTAAACGATTCTTTCCCTTCTTTTTTCCTAATGGAACCAGATTTTGTTTGAGGCTGCCTGTGTGCCATCTTAAGGGCTGATGCATGAATGATGAATGATTCTGTTTCCATTGCAGACTCTGTTTCCAGGCCCCCTTCCCTTGTAGCCATGGCTCATGATCCAGATTTTTTTTTTTTGTTTTTTTTTGAGATGGAGTCTCATTCTGTTGCCCAGGCTGGAGTGCAGTGGCACCATCTCAGCTCACTGCAACCGCCACCCCCTGGGTTCAAGCAATTCTCCTGCCTCAGCCTCCTGAGTAGCTGGTATTACAGGGGCCTGTCACCATGCCCAACTAATTTTTTGTATTTTTAGTAGAGACAGGGTTTCACCATGTTGGCCAGCTGGTCTCAAACTCCTGACTTCAGGTGATCCACCTGCCTCAGCCTCCCAAAGTGCTGGGATTACAAGCATGAGCCACTGTGCCTGGCCAATTTTTGTATTTTTAGTAGAAATGGGGTTTCACCATGTTGGCCAGGCTGGTCTTGAACTCCTTGGCCTCAAATGAACTGCCTGCCTAGGCCTCCCAAAGTGCTGGGATTACAGGCATGAGCCACCATGCTCAGCCTATTAAAAAGTTTTAGAGCAGGAATGGAAGGAAGTAAAGTACACTTGGAAGAGGGCCAAGTGGGTGACTTGAGAGATCAAATGCACTGTTTTGACCTTTGACTTGGGGTTTTATATGTTGGCATGTTTCTGGGGGTGTTGGTTCCCTTCTCCCTGATTCTTCCCTTGGGGTGGGCTGTCCGCAGCTGCAGTGGCCTGCCAGCACTTGGGAAAGGAGCATGCACAGTGTGTTTCCTGGAGCTGTGCACATGCTCACTTGAGACGTCTTCCCTTACCAATTGCGTGTTCCTATAAGGAACCAGTTAAACTCTAATTTTGCCTCTTAGTGTGCCTGTGTGAGCCCACTCACCCAGCTTCTGAGATCTTATTAGGAAGCTAATCACCAGCTTCAGGGTTTTTCTATCTGTTGGGAGACTACCTTTGCCTGGTGCTGGCTGTGACCAGTAATGATCTCTGTGAGACAGTGTAACAACTGCCTGACCATCACCTGACAGATGCCTGCCAGTCATGGCGGGAGATGGCCTCTTCTGCCTGCTCATGTCTAGCTACCTACTGTAACAGTTCTATTTACGAAACCAGTTCCATTTATGAAAATTCATCAAGCTGTTCTCATGATATGTGCATTTTTCTTTATGTTGTACTATAAGTGTAGCTGAGAAAAGAAGTATGGGAAGTGGAGGAAAAAGTGTGAAGAAAATGCTAATGGGTTCTGTCTTACAAAGTGAGGAGTGAAGAGAGTTTGTCAGGTTGATGGAGAAGATATAAAATCCGGAATATGTAAATGAACAATAGTAACCAATAGATGAAGTAAAAGTAATACTAGAAGTGTCAAACATGGAGGAAACTAGGGAGGTAAAGTGAGCGTTAAATTCTCATGTTTCATTGTATGAGTCAATAGATGTCTTCCAAGGTGGAATTAGCCACCTAAAGAATTCAAATCCAGGCCAGGTGCAGTGGCTCACACCTGTAATCCCAGCACTTTGGGAGGCTGAGGCAGGAGAATCACCTGAGGTTAGGAGGTCAAGACCAGCCTGGCCAACATGGCAAAACCCCGTGTCTACTAAAAATACAAAAATTAGCTGGGCATGGTGGCACACGCCTGTAATCCCAGCTACTTGGGAGGCTGAGGCAGGAGAATCGCTTGAACCTGGGAGGCAGAGGTTGCAGTGAGCCGAGATGGCACCACTGCACTTCAGCCTGGGCAATAGAGTGAGACTCCATCTCAAAAAAAAAAAAAAATTCAGATCCTAAGCTGGGTGCAGTGGCTCATGCCTGCAATCCCAGCACTTTGGGAGGCTGAGGCAGGAGGATCACTTGAGCCCAGGAGTTCAAGACCAGCTTGGGCAACATAGAGAGACCTCATCTCAAAAAAAAAAAAAAAAAAAAAAAGGTCTCAGATTCTCAGATTTCTAGTGGTGAAAAGACAGCTTCTGAGGTTGGGAGGCATGGGATGGAAGACTGTTGTCATCAGTAATACTGAGCTATTTAATTTATTACCATGTAGGCCAGGTGCAGTGGCTCACACCTGTAATCCTAGCACTTTGGGAGGCTGAGGCGGGCTGATTGCCTGAGCTTAGGAGTTTGAGACCAGGCTGGGCAACATGGCAAAACCCTGTCTCTACTAAAAATACAAAAGCGTAGCTGGACATGGTGGTGCACACCTGTAGTCGGGTGGCTGAGGCAGGAGAATCGCTTGAACCCAGGCGGCAGAGGTTGCAGTGAGCCGAGATCGCACCACTGCACTCCACCCAGCCTGGGCACAGAGCAAGACTCTGTCTCAGAATAATAATAATAATAATAATTTATTACCTTGTGCATCTATTATTTTAATAATACAGACCTTAAAAACAATGCAATTGACCAGGATGGAAGGAAACTAAAAAAAATAAAAATAAAAATAATACAAGACAATAAACAAGCACTACATTGTATGATATAGTCAAGCAGTGCTGAGAAGGGCCTTCTGATGTTTTGAGGCCAGAGCACCTCTTTGCCCTGGCTACCAAACCATGTCACCAAGACCCACAGAATGTCTAAAAGACCTTTTGGCTTTGAAATGTTTCTAGGACACAGGCTATAACCCACATTTTCCCTTAAACTATATTCCTAAAGTAGGCAATGGTATTTCTAAATCTCAGTTTTTCAGTACCATGGGGGAAGCACCAACAACTTTCAATGGTGCTAGGAGAGTCTTAAAGATGTCCCAACAGAATTATTTTTAATATATTTTATGATTTAAACAGTTTATACTCATCAGCATTTGTAGACATTATGAGGCAAGGGGAATACAGAGGAGTATAGGAACCTGCATAAAATTTGATAAACAGTAGGATGTTGTAATCTAAAAATTATTGGGGTATGAAATAAGATTTTTAGGAGGCCATTGGTTTGGACCGAGCTCCCGCACCAGGCTCAACAGACCAAACCAGAATGGAGTCACTCATGTGAAGTTCCACACCACCAAACTGAAAGTAAGTTGTTTATCTGACCTTCCAAGAAATCAGGACAGAGAGAGAGCGATAATAGCCAAATCCCCAAACAGTCTGGTTTTAGCTGGCATGATAAAAAAAAGTCCCCTCTGCTTTAACCTTTACAAGAAAAGTGGCTTTGAAATGACCTATTCACTTTCTGTTTTCTCTTTCTGCTTCCCTCAGCCCCTCTGTTTATAAAACCAAGTTCCGGGCCAAGTGTGGTGGCTCACGCCCGTAATCCCAGCACTTTGGGAGGCCGAGGTGGCCGGATTACCTGAGGTCACATGTTCAAGATCATCCTGGGCAATGTGGTGAAACCCCATCTCTACTAAAAATACAAAAATTAGCTGGGCGCGGTGGTGCATGCCTCTGATGCCAGCTACTCGGGAGTCTGAGGCAGGAGAATCGCTTGAACCCGGGAAGTGGAGGTTGCAGTGAGCTGAGATGGCGCCACTGCACTCCAGCCTAAGAGACAGAGCGAGACTCCATCTCAAAAAAAAAAAAATTAATTAATTAAAAAAATAAAATAAAACCAAGCTCCTCTGCTCAGCTTGTCAGAGCACTCATCTGTCTTATGAAATAAGTGTTGCCTGATTCTGGAATCACAAATAAAAGCCAATTAAGATCTTTAAACTAAACTTGTTGTAATTTTGTCTGTTGAAAGAGGTTTGCCATGGAATTAACAGAAGTCACCTTAAATTCAGGTCTTTTTCACACCTTGGACAAAACACACAGCTGAAGCAGGATGTCAGCTCACAAATGTTCATTTACTTCACTCCACAAAAATATACACTAGGCTGAGTCCTGGAGATTCAGCGCACACCTTCAAGGACCCTTTAGGAGAGTAGACAGATTTTGTGAATTAAAATGGCAATTAATAGGGCCTTCTCCCTATTAAATGTATTCATAACATTTTGCACCCAATTTAGGAGGCTCCTGGGCCACCCCTAAAGCCCATCCTTGGAAGGATTCATGAACTTTTTGCTCTAAGAGTCTAAGAACTTAGGACCACCGTGTTTCTTATCACTTCCATGGATCCTAGGGCAAGGGTGCTTCTTGGGAAGCCAGCAGCCAGGAGACTCCTCTTGCAAGAAGATCCTGGAACATCTCTTCTGTTCACAGAGATATTCCAAGTGGAACCAAAGACAAGTCGAGCACCTTTGTTTACAGCTGAAGAAACTGGAAACCCAGAAAGGGGAAGTTTCACACAAGGTCTACTTCCTCATCCACTTAGAGATCACAATAACAATAGTCACAATTGCTGCCTCAATGGAGTGCAGGGGAGTGGCAGTCACTCAAAGATCCTTCCAACACTCTGGCCTGGGCTTGATCATCCCTGTTCTCCAGAGTCAGAGAGGACGAGTGGCTTGTCAGGTCACACAGCAGGAAGTAGCCCAGCTTGGCACAGAACTCAGTTCTGTGGAACTTCAAAGCAGGATGCCAACAGTTAAGAGGGCTATAAAGGTGGCAGAGACACTGTCTTTGCCCTCATGAAGCTGGTAATCTTATTGGCTCTGGGGATGGGGCATTAATATGTAAAGAAGTTAACATAGGGGCAGTGGCTGATCCCTGTAATCCCAGCGCTTTGAGAGGCCAAAACAGGAGGATCACTTGAGGCCAGGAGTTCAAGACCAGTCTGGGCAACATAGCGAGGCCCTGTTCCCTACAAAAATAAACAAACAAATAAATAAAATAAAGAGTAAATAAAAAGTTAGCATATTTATTGAATGCTTATACCTGGCCTGGAGAGATGCTCCCCGGGATAGAGCCCTGAGTCCTGAATCCATGCTGCCGGATTTTGCATTCTCTTTGGCTCAGATGATAGTTGTTTTTGTTTTTTTGAGATGGAGTCTCACTCTGTTGCCCAGGCTGGAGTGCAGTGGCGCCATCTCGGCTCACTGCAACCTCCACCTCCCAGGTTCAAGTGCTTCTCATGCCTCAGACTCCCGAGTAGCTGGGATTACAGGCATGTGCCACCATGCCTGACTAATTTTTGCAGTTTTAGTAGAGACAGAGTTTTGCCATGTTGCCCAGGCTGGTCTCGAACTCCTGGCCTCAAGTGATCCACCCACCTCGGCCTCCCAAAGTGCTGGGATTACAGGTATGCGCCACCATGCCCGGCCTGAAATCACAGTTTTAATGCTGTGCACACTCAGGCTGCAGTTTGTAGAGTTCTGTCAGGCAGAGAGCAGGTGTCCTAGTTTCCTCAATTTTGCACCAACCAAGGGCCTCTGTGACTCCCACCTGGAGCCCTGCTTGTCTCCTCCAGCTTGCACATAAGAGGCAGCTGTGCTGAGTCTTTCTGCCTTGGTGGGGAGGTGAGAACTGCGCAGGGGGACAGGGAGCCTCTGCGGGGGTGGGAGGTCCTCTAATCAGCCTGCCATCAGTTATTGATCAGACCCCCGGGTCAGAACTTCTCCCTGGCCACGAGGCCTGGTTGACCTCTCCAGCCCGATCTGTTTCTCCACGGTCCTCCTTACCCCACTACCAATCCATATTTGCACCTGCCTGAACAGATACGCAGTTGCCGCCTTCCTTGCGTTGTCCACACAGCTCCCCTGCCTGGAAGGCCCTGGCCGTCCTGATCGCCGGGCAGTGAGTTCCTGTCCTTCCTTCACAGGCTGCTCACGCTCCAGTTCTGCGAGGCCCTCCCTGACCTCCAGCCTAACTTTGAGCCCTGCTGTTTTCAATGCCTCTGTTTCTGTCATTTCACTTGTCTTTCTCCTTCTTAGGGAGCCATATTCTTTCCTATGTCCCTGTCCTTTGCATGAGGCATAGTGTCCAGGACACACTCAAAAATACCAAAAAATGAAGGCACGCTCCTTCCCTTCTCTCCCTCTACACCCGGGCCTCATTTAATTATGCACAGACTCTGGGAGTTGGCAAGTATTCACTTCAATTCCTCACTTTACAGATGAGGAAACCAAGACCCAGAGAGAGGAAGTGACTTCCCCAAGGTCACAGGCTGTTGATAGAGTCCAGACTGAACCCAGGTTTCTTTCCTCCCTGTCTTGCACCCTATTCCCTTCCCCATGCCTCTCAGAGTAGCCTTTCTCTTGGGGAAATGATGATTTTATTTAGCCACAAGGACCCTGTGATTGGATTAGGTTGTCCTCAAGACAACAGAGGGGGCCTCCAAGAAAGACATCTTTAATGGTGGAGGAGGAAGGAAGTGTAGAATAAGAATTGCTACAAACTTTGGTTTCCTCCTGTGTAAAACTGGGAGCCTGACCCCTGTCCTGCAGCAGTGTTCTGAGGATATGTGTTGATGTAAGAGCCGAGGTTCTCATTCATGAAAAGCTTATATCACATGCTTCTCTTGCTGGCGGAATATCGCTTCTTCAGTCAAGAGCTTTTATAATCTGGCCCAAATTACCTTTCCAGACTCATCTTATCCTATTCTAGCCCAACAGCTCACACTCCAGCCACATCTGGCTCCTCCCCTGTCCTAACCATTTCCTACCCTTTCCTCCTCTGTACCTATTTCCTCAGCCTGGACTAGCCTTTCCTCTCAATCCAACTATTGCATCCCCGGTCCATTTCTGGGTCCAGTTCAAAGACCACCTCCTCTGAGAAGTCTTCCCTGATAGCCCTCCTTTCTGTGTCTCTGACGGTTTGCTCACTCTTCTCCTTAGGCATGGCTTGGTCATTTCCATTTGGATAAATGTTCCTCTTCCTTTTACCCTGTGGGTTTCTTGAGAGCAGAGATCCTGTGCTGTCAATATCTGTGTTTCCTGCAGCTCTTAGGCAGCTCTAGTACAGAGCAGTTGCCCCATCCTGTCTGTGGTAAGCAAGAAATAAAGGCTTCCTGGGACAGAGTCAATGTGAAGAAAGATAACACCAGGCAGAGCCTTCAGGTGAAGCAGGAACATGGCTTCCAAGAACACTAATCATTGGTTTTGCAGAGCAAACCCCTAGCTGGCTCCTTTGTGTGCCTATTTTGGCCCAACTTTCACGTCAGCACGTTTCCACCATCCCCAAGCTGGAACTTCCCTCTGCCTCTCCGTGACTGACCCTTGCCTCACCAGATGTTTATTTTGCCTCCCAGGCTGAGGAGTTTAGACACTGCTCTTGCAATAGGGGCCCCAGGCAGCTGTGTGACCTTGGCATGTTACTTTGCATCTCTGAGCCTTGGTGCACCTCCTCTGCAAAACAGCAATTTAAAATAGCACCTGACTCCTGGGTTGCTGTGTTAATTAGATGAGCCAAGACATGGGAGGTGCCTAGCCCAGTGCCTGACACGAAGTAAATACTCAATTAAAGATGGAAAAAACAAAAATAAACTCACTTAGTATGTGTTTCCCTCTGTGTTGCCAAAACCTGTTCCTGGACCCTTGCCACCCATCTTGCTGTTTGGCGAGTCTTGCTTGGGGCAGTTTCCAGCTGCCCCCTGCCGGGAGCACCCCTGATGGAAACCTGGGACCCAGGAAGGAGGAGGTGCTGACACGACTGTGAATCCACGGTCACCAAGCTGCCCCTTGCCCAGACTGTGGGTAAAACCTACATAAGTAACAGATCTACAAAGTATTAATTTTTTTTGTTTTGTTTTTTTGAGATGGAGTCTCACTCTGTCGCCCAGGCTGGAGTGCAGTCGTGTGATCTCTGCTCACTGCAACCTCCACCTCCTGGGTTTAAGCGATTCTCCTGCTTCAGCCTCCTGAGTAGCTGAGATTACAGGCACATGCCACCACGCCAGGCTAATTTTTGCATTTTTAGTAGAGACACAGTTTCACTATGTTGGCCAGGCTGGTCTCAAACTCCTGACCTCAAGTGATCCACCTGCCTCGGCCCCCCAAAGTGCTGGGATTACAGGCCGTAGCCACCGCGCCCGGCTTTTTTACTTTTTAAAGATCTAATGTCACAAATGGGAAGAATCCTGCCTTCTGGGAGGCCCTCATGTGTGCCTGGCCCGGAATCAGTCCCATCCAGCAAGGGCATTGATGAAAATTCTCAGGACATCTAACACAAAGTGGTGCTTCCTGGCACTTGTGGCTGCACCAGTACGAGGCTGATCTGCTGCTTGGCTCACCTCCCCAGAGCAGAGCTCCTTTCTGGCCCTCTCTAATCATGGCCCATTTCCAAGAAGAAAATGACAACAAAGTCCTAGGCAAAGCATTGGAGTCCTGGCCTTGGCTTTAACCTCCTGGGACTGATTGCATCCCTCTCTGGCTCTCCCACCTGGAGGGCAATTCCCGCCTGCAGTGGAAAGCAGTAGCTGTGTGCAAGTCTTAAAGTTCTCAGTGGCATATTTAGAAATAACAGAGGGAATTAGGTTTCATAAAACCATCTATTTAAGTGGCTCCAAATTAAGCCCCATTGTGATCTCTCTCTGTCTCTCTCTCTCTCTCTCTCTCTGGTTCCTTATATCCTGATTGTTCATGAGAGGCCCCATAGGACATGTGAGAACACCCCCTTTTTTTTTTTGAGACAGTCTCACTCTGTCGCCCAGGCTGGAGGGCAATGGCACAATCTCGGCTCACTGCAACCTCCACCTTCCAGGTTCAAGCAATTCTTATGCCTCAGCCTCCGGAGTAGCTGGGATTATAGGCGTGTGCCACCACGTCCAGCTAATTTTTTGTATTAGAAACCTTTTTTTTTTTTTTTTTTTTCTGATAAACCAGCAGAAAGGCATTAGTCCTGGTAACTAATCAAGTCAGGAATTGCCGAGAGGAGGGAGAAGGGGAGGTGCAGGGCCAAGGCTGGGACTATTAACACATTTGGATTTTTGGAGGAATAGTTTATTACTCCTCCTCCTCCAGCTCCTTCTATATTCAAGGGTTTTCAAGCGGGAAAAGTTGAGGTCTTGGCCTTGGGTGACTTTCATAGCCACATGACCTTAGCAATGGATTGGTTGATGCAGAACTTCTCATTGATGACTTTGTAAACCCTTGGTTAGCTCACTGCTGTCTTGCTGCTTCTCTGTGTCAGAATTAAGAAACTACTCTAGGTCTTTCAACAGTGGGAGTTTAACACAAGGAATTGCTTACATAGATAATGGAAGGATGAAAGGCTGAACGGGATAGTGAGGAACACAGCTTAGCACCAGCAGGAAGCTTCTTACTCCAAGGTTGAGGAGATGAAGCCCAGAAGCCAGTGTTGGTGGCAGCAGCTAGAACCATGGCAGGGCTGCCCGTGAGAGCTCGCCCCATGGAGGTGAGGGTTGTCTGGCAGGAGTCAGAGCCACAGAAGGGCTTGGAACCATAGATGATACACAGCCACTGTGGAAGATGCAGAGCAAGAGGGGGGAAATGGTTGATCCCCACATCTCACCCTACCGTACTCTGGTCTTGTACCATTTTCTCCCAACACACAAAGCTATGGAGAGCCACTTGACAAGGGAGCCTGGGAAACACAGCTTCCTGCAATATAGAGCAGAACATTGGAAAGGCAGGGAATAAGCTGGGAGCAAACAGTGGGCCATCTGTGTAACACAAGGCTGCTGGATGAAATGGCTGGGAAGTAAGAAAGCACTGCAGAGAGGAGCTGAGGGGGCCATGGCAGGCTGGATCCCATTGAAAGCCTTACAGCAGTGTTTCCCAAAGTGTGGGATGCACTGGGCCACCTGAGCTGGCAAAAAGACCAGGCAGAGCATGAAGGAACAGTGTATCAGTAAGAAAGCTAGTCTATTTTCAATTCTCTTTCCCATCATCTGACGACATTAAGGAGAAAGTCTCTATTTGGTGCTAACCTGTCTTTAACATCACTCTAACATTTTCTAATTTCTTTTTTCTTTCTTTTTTTTTTTGAGACAGAGCTCTGTTGCCCAGGCTGGAGTGCAGTGGTGTGATGTAGGCTCACTGCAACCTGCAACCTCCATCTCCTGGGTTCAAGCAATTCTCCTGCCTCAGCCTCCTAAGTAGCTGGGACTACAGGCATGCACCACCACTCCCAGCTAATTTTTGTATTTTTAGTAGAGACGGGGTTTCACGCTAGCCAGGCTGGTCTCAAACTCCTGACCTCAAGTGATCCACCAGCCTCGACCTCCCAAAGTGCTGAGATTACAGGTGTGAGCCACCGTGCCTGGCCACGTTTTCTCATTTCTTTTTAACTCCAAAAGATAGCAAACCAGACAGGTGTGGTGGTTCACGCTTGTAATCTCAGCGCTTTGGGAGGCCTATGCGGGAGGATTGCTTGAGTCCAGGAGTTCAAGACCAGCCTGAGTATCATAGTGATGACCCCCATCTCTACAAAGAATAAAAAATTAGCTGGGCATAGTGATGTGTGCTTGTAGTCTTAGCTACTTGGGAGGCTGAGGCAGGAGGATCCCTTGAGCCTGGGAGTTTGAGGTTGCAGTGAGCCATGACTGTACCACTGCACATTCCAGCCTGGATGACAGAGTGACACCCTGTCTAAAGCAAAAAGAGAGGAAAACTTAGGTTAAAGCCTTTGGCTGGTACTGGTATAATAGATGCTGCTGGTCCTGCCTAATCCCCGTCACCTAGTTGATACATTCACCTCCCAGCTGCTGTGAATGTTGGCAGCTAGCACTTTACAGCCACACCCTTCTTTTGGAAATTGCCTCACCTGGAAATAGGTGGGAGATTATACCATCATCCCGAGAGGAAGTATGCGGCAACGACTGATTGATGCCAGGCACAAAAGCCCAGCCCTCATGCCTTGAGGTGGTTCAACTCTGGTCCCATTCCTGTTCCAGAGCTTCAGCTGGCCCCACGCCTTTGCTTAGCCTCTTTCTGTTTCCCTCCCTCCTTCACCAGGAGTCCCCCCTGTAAATCACTTGCACAAGAATCCCCACCTTATACTCAAGCCCTGGCTTGACTTCTAGAGAATCTAAGATAGCAGGCAACAGGAGCTAGCTGGAATTGTGTAACTTTAAAAATTATTCTTTTTAATATTTTTGCCTGTGTTGATTTATGATAAGGTATAAAGGTTTTCCATTTATAGTAGTGCTAAGTTTTCTGTAAGTGTAATATTATTTTTAATTTATATATATATATAATTAAATTATAAAGACCATGGGCAACATAGTGAGACCCATCTCTACAAAAATTAGCAGGGCGTAGTGGCATATACCTGTAGTCCTAGCTACTTGGGAGGCTAAGGCAGGAGGATCCCTTGAGCCTGGGAGGTCGAGGCTGCAGTGAGCTAGGACTACACCACTGCACTCCAGCCTAGGCAACAAAGTAAGACCCTGTCTCAAAAAAAAAAAAAAAAAAGGCAGGGGTTGGTAGAAAAAATAAAAAATAAAAAATAATTATCTGGGCATGGCGGCATATGCCTATACTACACTACTCAGGAGGCTGAGCTGGGAGGATCCCTTGAGTCTCAGGAATTCGAGGCTGAAATGAGCTATGATTGCACCACTGCACTCCAGCCTGGGAAACAGAGAAAGTCCCTTTCTCTAATAATATATATGTTATTTTTATTTTTATATTTTAATTTATATATAAATATATATAGGTCGAGTTCTGTGGCTCACGCCTGTAATCCCAGCATTTTGGGAGGCCGAGGCGGGCAGATCACCTATATTAGGAGTTTGAGACCAACTTGGCCAACATGGTGAAACCCTGTCTCTACTAAAAATACAAAAATTAGCTGAGCGTAGTGGTGCATGCCTGTAATCCCAGCTACTCGGGAAGCTGAGGCAGGAGAATCGCTTGAACCCGGGAGGCGGAGGTTGCAGTGAGCCGAGATCTCACCACTGCACTCCAGCCTGGGTGACAGAGCGAGACTCTGGCTAAATATATATAAAATATTTTTATAATTTTTATACTACTTATTTTTTATATTTTATAATATTTATTTTTATTCTATTTTTATAATAGTTGTATGTATTTTTATAATATTTAATATATACATATATAATTTTATATATGTAATAAAATAAAAAAAATAACTTTTTTTTTTGAGATGGAATCTCACTCTGTCGCCCAGGCTGGAGTGCAGTGTCGCGATCTCACTGCAGCCTCCGCCTCCCGATGTTGCTCACTGCAACCTCCGCCTCCCAAGTTCAAGCAATTCTTGTGCCTCAACCTTCTGAGTAGCTGGGATTACAGGCACATGCCACATCTGGCTAATTTTTGTATTTTTAGTAGAGATGGGGTTTCACCATGTTGGCCAAGTTGGTCTCAAACTCCTAGCTTCAAGTGATCCACCCGTCTCAGTCTCCCAAAGTGCCAGGATTACAGGTGAGTGCACCCGGCAGAAATGGACTATTAATACTTTCAAAAACTTGGATGGACCTCAAAAGCATTATGCTAAGAAACTCACAAAACTAGGTGCTGTGTGATTCTTCTTCTGTGAAACTTTAAAAAGGCAAAATTACAAGGACAGAAGGAAGATCAGCATTGCCAGGGGCTGGGAGGGGAGGAGAGGGACTGCAAAAGGGCATGGAGGACCTTCTTGGGTAACGGAAATATTCTATATATTGTAATTGTAGTGGAGGCTATAGACTACATACATTTATCAAAATGTATCAAACTATACACTTGAAATGGTAAATTTTAATGTACATAAATTATACCTTATAAAGCTGATTTTTTATTTTTTTTTGAGATGGAGTCTTGCTCTGTTGCCCAAGCTGGTGTGCAGTGGCATAATCTCAGCTCACTGCAACCTCTGCCTCCCGGGTTCAGGTGATTCTCCTGCCTCAGCCTCCTGAGTAGCTGGGACTACAGGCGCATGCCACCATGCCCGGCTAATTTTTGTATTTTTAGTAGAGACGGGGATTCACTATGTTGGCCAGGCTGGTCTGGAACTCCTGGCCTCGTGATCCACCCGCCTCGGCCTCCCATAGTGCTGGGATTACAGGCATGAGCCACTGTACCCGGCCATAAAGCTGGTTTTTTAAAAATAGAGGCAGAGCATGGTGGCTCACACCTGTACCCCCTGCTGCTTAGAAGACTGAGGTTGGAGGATCACTTGAGCCCAGGAATTTGAGGCTGCTGTGAGCCATTGTTGCGCCACTGCACTCCAGCCTGGGTGACAGAGGGAGACCCTATCTTCAAAAATAAAAAAATAAAAAAAAAATAAAATGAAATAATAGTACGGTTGCATGTGGATATAGGAGAAATTGCGATGATGGTAGAGGGAAGAGCCCAAGTGGGAAGAATATTTCAGAGGGAGGTGCCAAGCCTCTACCGAGTAGGTAAAGTGGACTCCTGGAGTCCGCTCTAGGAATTTGGCAAGTTTGGTGGCTCTGGGCCGGTTGGGGTGAGTGGGGAGGAAGTAGATTGTGGCTCCTTAACACAGCCTCAGGCCTGATGCTTACGACAGATGCAGACCTCTATGGAAAGTGGTGGGCAGAAGCCCAGCATGCCTCTCTGTCCTTCCCCCAGGGACCGGTTGAGGAGAAAGCAAGGACCCCCTGCCTCTGCATAGCAACACCTTTCCTGGTCTTTGGGTCCTTTTTTTTTCAAAGAGACAGGGTCTCCTTCTCTCACCCAGGCTGGAGTGCAGTGGTACACTAATAGCTCACTTTAGCCTCAACCTCCTGGGCTCAAGTGATCTTCCTGCCTTGGCCTCCCAAAGTGCTGGGATTACAGGCATGAGGAGCCACCACACCCAGCCAAATTTCTTTCTTTTCTTTCTCTTTTTTTTTTTTTTTAAAGCAAATATCCCTGGAAAAGAGGAAGAATGAAGAAAAAAAAGGGTATTGAGGAAGCTGGCAAAGAAAGAGCTTTCCCCAGCCTCCCTTTGAGGCAAGGTGGGGAGCAAGAAGAGTGCTTGGTGACAGAGGTGAGCTCCAAGAGACACTTCAGAGGACAGAATGGGCTCTGGAAGCCCCCAAGGGTACTTGGCCAGGAGCCTTTCCTCTCAGCCTTGGTCTTTCGGCCTCCAGGTCTCTCTCAGTCTCCCAACTTTGTCTCTGACTCTTTCTGATGGGGGATCACGCTGAGCCAAGGTGAGATGCTGACATAAAGTCCACACGGGAGCCTGCTCTGAGAGTCCCCTCAATGTTGACTTAGTATGAAGTCAGCTTGTCCAAACATCACCATGGACAGTACTTCATTAGATTAAATGGCTTCTTTTTGCAAAGAAGAACCTGTACTAATATTTGCTTTGCATCTTGTAAAATCATATGGAAATAGGATAATGATGTTGAAAATAGAAAAAGAGTGAATTCCCAGAGAGAGTGTGGCTGAGATAGCTGTACTTTTCCAAGCAGCCCCTCCTCCCCCGTCCGCAGTCTCTCACTCTGAGCAGCCCCAGCCTCAGCCAAAGGTGACTGTCAGGCTCTGGAGTTTATTCAGATTCTCACATGGAGAGTTTTTTAAATTTAGACTCAAACCACCTTTCCCTTGGTGGGTCAGGGGTCTGTTTTTGTTGTTGTTTAAAAATTTGCTAAGAAATTCAAGAAAAGGGAGTAAACAGTTGTATGATTGTAAAAAAAATCTATCACCAGTAAATGTTAATGAAAACAATTCTTTTTTCTTTTCTTTTTCTGTTTTCTTTTCTTCTTGTCTACTTTTTTTTTTTTTTAGAGACAGGGTCTTGCTCTGTTGCCCAGGCTGGAGTACAGTGGTGGGTCACATAGCTCACTGTAACCCTCAAACTCCTGGGCTCAAGTGATCCTTGAACTTCAGCCTCCCAAGAGGCTGAGACTACATGCAGGTACAACCATGCCCAGCTAATTTTTTTAATTTTTCATAGAAATGGGAATCTCACTATGTTGCCCAGGCTGGCCTGGAACTCCTGATCTCAAGCAATCCTCCTGCCTTGGCCTCCCAAAGTCCCGGGATTACAGGCATGAGCCACTGTGCCTGGCTTTTTTTGATCATTTCCTTAGTGAAATGCATATTGTTAATAATGTGATTCACTAATTTGTCAAACATTTGCAGAGTCCTATGCACTGCATTCCCTGCACTATGACAGACACCAGGGTTGTACTAATTCATGTTTGCATCCATTTGTTTTTCAACAAATATTATTGAGTTCTTTCTGTGAGCCAAGCACTGAGTGAGGCTTCGAAGGGCAGGAAGGAATGTGAAATAGCTTAAGTTCCCTTACAATTTTGCCTTACAGGAGGCAATGAAGGATTCATCTATTCAATTGCTCCTTCCTGTATTAACTGACTCTACGTTTACTCCTGAACATCCACTACTGGGCACTAAGATGCGGGGTGAGTGTAGCCCTGTCCTTTCGGAGTTCAAGGCTGGACACACCCCAGAATCCCTTCCCAACTCTGTCGCCATTAAGTCACTCAACCAGACATCCACTAGACAGAATGAGGGGCACACATAAATATGAAACAATGGCCAGCTGACCAGTGAGGTGTCAGTGGCTGGCCCAGGCTCTGGACCAGGGGACCTCAGGGAAGGCCAGCACCCTTCTTGGTGTCAGCCAGTACTTCCCCTTTGCTCACCTTCATTGTGTTTGCAATGTTATTTAGCAGCAGTGGCAGTGTGTCTTGTTCAGATCAGTGTCTGGCACATAGTAGGTGCCCAGAAATACTTGTGGCCTGACTTCAGCCAGCTTCCCAGAGCAACTGAGTTTCTGGAGGAGGAGGCCTTTGGGGCGGGATTTTGGGGGAAGACCAGGGGGCCTTGGTGTGCTGGCATGCAGAGGCACCAATATTTAGAAAAGTGTCACCCACATAGGCTTGACACCATGGTGTATGCCTGTAATCCCAGCACTTTAGGAGGCTGAGGTGGGAGGATCACTTGAGGCCAGGAGTTCAAGACCAGTCAGGGTAACACAGTGAGATCCTGTCTCTACAAAAAATTTACCAAAAATAGGGCTGGGCACAGTGGCTCACACCTATAATCCCAGCACTTTGGGAGGCCCAGGAGGGTGGATCACTTGAGATCAGGAGTTCAAGACCAGCCTGGCTAACATAGCAAAACCCCGTCTCTACTAAAAATACAAAAATTAGCCAGGCGTGGTGGCGGGGACCTGTAATCCCAGGTACTCAGGAGGCTGAGGCAGGGAGAATAGCTTGAACCTGGGAGGCGGAGGTTGCAGTGAGCCAAGATCACGCCATTGCACTCCAGCCTGGGTGACAGAGTGAGACTCTGTCTCAAACAAACAAACAAACAAACAAAAAACAATTACAAAAAAGAATTAGCCAAATGTAGTGGTGTGCACCTGTAGTTCCAGCTACTCAGGAGGCTGAGGTGAGAGGATTGTTTGGGCCCAGGAGGTGAAGGATGGGTCTTGTATAGTACTTGCATAGTACTCTGTAAATGTTTGACAAATTAGTGAATCACATTATTAACAACATGCATTTCACTAAGGAAATGATTAAAAAAAAGCCAGGTACAGTGGCTCACGAAAACAAGGCAAAATGATAACATTTCAACTATAAATAGCAGAGCAAGCAGTTCCTCTGTCATCCTGCAAAACAATGAGGTTGCAGTGATCCCAGATCGTGCCACTGGACTCCAGCCTGGGCCACAGAGCAAGACCCTGGCTCAATAAATTTAATTTAATTTAAACAAAAAATAAAATCTTGAACCCTGTGATGCCAGGACTCCCAAGAGCCACAGTCACCTAAGAATTCCAGCCAACATCTATTGAAGGCTGACTGTGTGCCAGGCACGGGTCTAAGCACTTTACATGGATTCATCCAATCCTCACAGTGGCTCAAGCCTGTAATCCCGGGACTTTGGGAGGCCAAAGCAGGAGCTATGATTGTGCCTCTGCACTCCAGCCTGCAGGACAGAGCAAGATCCTGTCTCTTTAAAAGAAAAAAAAAAGTGCCACGTATGTAATAAATGCTCCAAAGAAACATTAGAGGTGACGTTGATGATGGTGAGGTGATTAGTCATGAGTGACCAAGAAGCCAAAGGCAGAGGCTGGAGCCAGTTCCTGCGGATGCGTCCAACTCTGGAATCCTTGGAGATGTTTCTTTTTTCTTTCCTTTTTTTCCTTTTTTTGAGAGAGGGTCACCCAGGCTGGAGTGCAGTGGCACAATCACAGCTCATTGTAGCCTCAAGCTCTCTGAGGGATGTTTTTGAAATCCATGGATAATGATGTTTCTCTGCCTCTCCCTTGTCAGAGAAGCCTGGGGCCCAGGAGCTGGCAGGTCCCTATACCCCCTCCTGGAAGTCCACACTGCAGGCTTGTCCAGGAGCTTGCCTGGGTGGGACTTCGCTGGGCTAGGCACAGCAGGCCTCCCAGTCAGACTCCAGGGGACCAGAGCTGAAGAATCAGCCCCCACCAGCACACTCCCAGTTCCTCCTCTGCTGTTGGACACGGCTCTCAAGTTACTTCCCTGTGTGTGTGGTGGGGGAGTGAAGGGGACTCTATTTATCCTTCAAGCAACATGAAGGAAGAGGCTCATTGTTTTGCAGGATGACAGAGGAATTGCTTGCTCTGCTATTTATAGTTTGAAATGTTATCATTTTGCCTTGTTTTCGTGGCCTGAAGTCCCCAGCGCTTCCTGTCTAGCAGTCCTCATTCTCTCCCTTTGCACAGTCTGCCTTTAGTTTAAAATCTTGGGGCTGGGCGCGGTGGCTCACGCCTGTGCTCCCAGCACTTTGGGAGGCCGAGGCGGGTGGATTGCTTGGGCTCAGGAGTTTGAGACCAGCCTGGGCAAAATAGTGAAACCCCGTCTCTACTAAAAATACAAAAATTAGCTGGGTATGGTGGGAGCCGGGCCAGCTATCTGGGAGGATGAGGTGGGAGGATGGCTTGAGCCTGGGAGGCGGAGGTGCAGTGATCCCAGATCGTGCCACTGGACTCCAGCCTGGGCCACAGAGCAAGACCCTGGCTCAATAAATTTAATTTAAACAAAAAATAAAATCTTGAACCCTGTGATGCCAGGACTCCCAAGAGCCACAGTCACCTAAGAATTCCAGCCAACATCTATTGAAGGCTGACTGTGTGCCAGGCACGGGTCTAAGCACTTTACAAGGATTCATCCAATCATCACAGCAATGCTTTGAGGCAGATGCCACTATCATCCCCACTTTACAGAGGAGAAAACTGAGGCACGGGGTTGGTAAATTACCTCTCCAAAGTTGTCAGGTGGTAAGCAGGAAGAACAGATCCCAATCTCTGAACCACAAACACCTATATCTCGGAGAAAGGCAGCTCCTGTTTCTGGAACTTGGATTGGAAGAAAAGTAAAGACCAGTCCAGCACCGTGGCACATGCCTGTAATCCCAACACTTTGGGAGGCCAAGGCGGGAGGATCGTTTGAACAAAGGGGTTCAAGACCAGCCTGGGCAACATAGGGAGAACCCGTCTCTAAAAAATATAGAATTAAATTAGCCAGGCATGGTGGTGTGTGCCTGGGGTCCCAGCTATTTGGGAGGCTGAGGTGGGAGGATCACTTGAGTCTGGGAGGTCAAGGCTGCAGTGAGCAGTTGATCGCACCACTGCACTCCAGCCTGGGCAACAGAGTAAGACCCTGTCTCAAAAAAAACCTACCAAACAAACAAACAACAAAAAACTAGACCTTAAACACTGCTTCAATTTTAGCTCCAATTACAAGCAAGAGAGTTTTTTCTGTTTGAATCTTCCATCATCCCAGGGTACAGAAGCTAGATAGTGGCCAAAGAAATGCAGTCTCTGAGCCCTGCAGTGACAGCTGAAGGAATAGTGACTGACAGCAACTGACCCGTGACCATTTCCTGATTTCCAGCTTCCCCAACCCATTGGTCAGCTTTCCATCCCATGGAGGAGCAGCTTGGGGCCAAAAAGGCCACCTGCAGAGAGCACCAATGCCTTGTGCCAGAGACCACGCTAGGGAGGGGCTGCAGCAGAGGATTAGAGGTGCTTTGGTTTGCTTGCTTGTTTTATTTTGGTTTAATAATTAGGGAGGTATCCAGACCCAACCATGGTTCTTTTTACCGCATGTAGGCAGCGAAGCCCAGAGTCGCTTGATGCCTCAAAGGAGGTGATTAAAGTGGAAGAGAAAATATTCTTTTCTTGGCTTTTCAGTTTCAAATGCCTATGCCTTTAGGCAAATAGAAAGGACTAATCTAGGCTGGGCACAGTGGCTCACGCTTTTAATCCCAGCATTTTGGCAGGCCAAGGTGGGAGGATCACTTGAAGCCAGGAGGATCCCTTGAGACCAACCTAGGCATAGTGAGACCCAGTCTCTACAAGAAATTTAAAAATTTGCTGGGTGTGGTGGCCCGTGCCTGTAGTCCCAGCTACTTGGGAGGCCAGGGTGGGAGGATCACTTGAGCCTAGGAGGTTGAGGCTGCAGTGAGCTATGATGGTTCCACTACACTCCAGTCTGGATGAGAGAGGGAGACCCGGTCTCAATAATAATAATAATAATAATAATAATAATAATAATAATAATAATAAAAAAAAAAATTAAAAAGGACTAATGAACTCACCTAAAGATGGGGGGTGCATAATGAAGAAAACCAGCACCCTTCCCCAGGTGGGGGAATACAGATGTTGATGGGTCCTGAGTGGGGATCCTTGACCCTCGTGCCTTGTCTAAGCTTCAGATGGGAGGCAAAACATCCATCCAGACTGTGGAGCCGATGACCAGAGAGCACCCAGTACCATTTAATGGGAAAGGCCCTGGGCAGGCACCAGACACAGAGAAAGAGGAATGAGCTGGAGCCAAGGAGGCCTCCCCAGTGAAACGCTGCCAGGCGCCCAACACCAGCAGAGACTCTAGACCTGGGGCACGGAGGAGCAGGTGTCCCAGCAGCAAGCTGTGAGGACAGGTGGGACCCCAGGCCTTGATCGCAAGCCCTCGATGACTTCCTCGATAGCAAGCCCTGAGGAAAGGGGCAGGCCCCCAACATTGCCTGAGATGACATTTCTGCCACCTAGCATAACAGGGGCTCAGAATAAAATTGAGTTATAAAAAAAAAAGTAAGTCCCATTTTACTCTAATGAGGCATCCTTTAAAGACCCCAAGTGTGCAGCCTGGAGCTTGGCTTGCTGCATCGTGTGGAAACAGTATACACCGTTCTCCTTATGGGGCACGGGCAGCACCACTCAGCAAACCTGTTGCTTTTGTGCCTTCATGAAAGTCTTTCAGGAGTAGTCTACACAGCAGGTCTCTCATCACTCTGGGGAGCCCAGTGGCTCAGAAGCCCCCTGTAGTCCGGGGAAGTCCTGCTAAAGTACATCCAGCACAAACAAGCTTCCAAGCACAAACAAGCTTCCAACTCACCCACCTCCCTGTGTTCAGCTTGGAATAGCAAATACCAAAAAGTAAACATTTGAAACTGATGGCCTCAATGTACAGTCTGGAGTTCATGGGTCTAAGTTTCCCACTGGCGTTCCCCTCAAGGTCCACCATTACCTGGGCTCCACTGCCTGCTAGGCTTCATGACCCCTCTCCAGGGAGGCAGCATCCCAAACACAGCTGGGCGGGCATGTCCTTCCTTCCTCTGGCCCCATCCTTCACCATCCCACTGCATGCCATCCACACTGCCCGGTAAGCAGCCCTGGGGACCTCAAGACTTCACTCAAACACCACCTCCTTTGTGAAGTTTTCCCAGGTAGTGCTAACCACACCCTTCTTCTGTGACCTCACCGTGACAGGTACAGATGGCTACCGGTGCCCTGGCACTGCCTTGGGAATGAGTGTGTTTTAATGTCTTTGTCTTCCACTGCAAGACTTTTGGGGTTCAGGATAAGAGAGAGAGAACAGGGGGCATCAAAGAGGGTTGCTAACTACTTTGCTATGTAAAAGGATGTTTGTGAAACAATACCCCAGCTCCTCTACCTACCATCACCATTATTTCATAAAAGCATGGTCATATTAATACAAAAAATAATAGGAAAATCATGGCCTCAGAATGAAGGATGCTCCTTCACAGAAAGAAGTCTTTACAGCTTCCACATTTATACACACACGTGTTGGCCCAGGTTTCTCATTTGCCCTCAAGTCACAGAGTGGTCCTAGAATATAAGCTCTGCGGGGTGCCTGGGGGCCTGTGAGATCACAGCTCTGGCCATTGGGGATCCCTGGCAACAAGAACCTGAGGGATGCCCCTCTGATGCTGCCTGAGGCGCTCCCCATCTGGTCCCAGTGTGGGATGGTGAGTGAGACTGGGGGCCATGGGTGCCGATGATGTCGCTGGGAAACTCCCAATTTGTGTGTCGATTTAAGCTTAACAAGGGTGGTTCTCAGCTGGTGAATCCCATTTGGTTGAGAAGCCTCAGACTAAAGAGGTTCATAGGCAGGGCTTACTGGATTTGACACAGCTTCCGCAGCCCAACACAAGGTCTGTGTAGGAGGAACTCTCCTGAACCCCACTCCACAACCAGGGAGGAGCCCGCTGGGTGGCGTGCACCTGTAACCCCAGCAACTCCCTAGGCCGGGGCAAGAGGATCTCTTGAGCCCAGGAGTTCCAAACCAGCCTGGGAAACACACTGAGGACTCATCTCTACAAAAAAATTAATAAAATTAGCCAGGCATGGTGGTGTGTGCTTGTAAACCCAGCAACTTGGGAGGCTGAGAGGGAGGATTGCTTAAGCTTAGGAGGTTAAGGCTGCAGTGAGCTATGGTCACACCACTGCACTCCAGCCTGGGCAGCAGAGCAAGACCATATCTCTAAAAAAGAAAGAAAGAAAACTAGTATATGACAATCAGGCAAGGTGCTCAACCCACAATCCCAACACCATCCTACCTTTTTAGCCCCTCCCACAATTTTATGTCATTGTCAATGTTTCCTTTTTATAACAATTACTTTAAAACCTCCCTTACTGTTACTGTATGCATAACATAACTGACCTACATGTATTATGTATATGGAAGAAATGCAATTTATAAAAACATAACATAGGCCAGGCCCAGTGGCTCATGTGTGTAATCCTGGCACTTTAGGAGGCCAAGGCACTTGAGGTCAGGAGTTCAAGACCAGCTACCATGGCCAACATGGTGAAACCCTGTCTCTATTAAAAATGCAAACGTTAGCTGAGCATGGTAGCACGCACCTGTAGTCCCAGCTACTCGGGAGTCTGAGGCACGAGAATCACTTGAACCCAGGAGGTGGAGGTTGCAGTGAGCCAAGATCATGCCACTGCACTCCAGCCTGGGTGACACAGTGAGACTCCATCTCAATAATAATAATAATAATAATAATAATAATAATAATAACAACAACAACAACAACATAACTTAAAATAATATGCTTTTAAAAGACTACATATTGGGTACAGTGTATACCACTCAGGTGATGGGTGCACCAAAATCTCAGAAATCACCACTAAAGAACTTATCTATGTAACCAAAAACCACCTGTACCTCAGAAACTATTGAAATAAAAATTTAAAAATAGATATGTATGCTTTTAAATATGTAAATGCCTTGGCCCAACTACACTAGTAGAATTAATAAAATAGGTGCTTGCAGTTCTGTATAGAATCATCATAAACATGTGTGTTATTTAGTAATGTGATGTTTTAGTTTTTCATTTTTTAATTGACAATTATATATATATTGATTGTGTATGTGTTGTTTTGAAATAGGTATACATTACATATTTCAAACATAATCACTAATCAAGTGAATTGACATATTAACCTCACATGCTTTTCATTTTTGTGTAATGTGATGTTTTGGTGAGTCAAATACCATGAGCTATGTTGCCACTAGTGGTTTGATATTCTGAAATCTCTTGGTAAAGTACTGAGCCAAACAGAACGTATCTTTTCTTGATTTACATAGGAATTGCAATACTAGAAAATGCAGTATAGGTTAAAACTGAAAAAATACTTGGTGTTTATATGTACACATATACACTGTATGTAAAATGGATTATTAAAGAGAGAATTATTCATGGGTTTAAACTACAAGGCTGTTTGCAGAAGCAGTAGAAAGCCTGGCCATGACAAACCAAAATCGGCCCCTCTCCCACCCAGACCTCCCAGTGAGAACCACTGATGTGGGCTGCAGAGGCACAGAAAGAAAGTGATCCACCCAAGGCCACGCAACTTGTCAGCTCCCACGCCTGGACTGGGCCTGTGACTTCTGACCCCAACTCAGGGCTCCCACCTGCACCAGGACATTTCAGACACTGCTGTTTGGAGGTCAAGGCTCCCTAGAGGTCCCTTTAGGGTGACCGCAGAAGCCCAGGGAAGCATCATGCCCTTTTAACCAGAGCCATTCCATGTTTATATATTTTGTTTTAAAAAATGTGTAAAATAATTGCTAATAATTTGGGGGCATTTGCCATGTACCAGACACCTCTGGAGATATTACACTGAGTTTCCACAACCACCCTGTGGGGCAAGCTTTAGGAGCCCTTTTTACAGATAAGGAAATGGAGGCTGAGGGGCCTAAGGCCACATAGCCCCAAGTCTCTCTGATCTGAGTCTGAGCCCCTTCCATTCTGCAGGCTGTCTCCCCACACCCTGTTTAGAGGTTGGGCTTCCTTGTCAGTTTTATTTGAAAAAAAAAAAAAGCTATTGGAATGGGAAAAGATGTTTGTGACTGGACGTGGTGGCTCACGCCTATAATTTCAGCACTTTAGGGGGTGGAGGCGGGAGGATCGCTTGAACTCAGAAGTCTGAGACCAGCCTGGGCAACATGGTAAAACCCCACCTCTGCAACAGCAACAAAAAAGCTGTGTGTGGTGACATGCGCCTGTAGTCGCAGCTACTTGGGAGGCTGAGATGGAGGATCACTTGAGCCCACAGTGGAGGCTGCAGTGAGCTGAGACCATACCACCACACTCCAGCCCGGGCAACAGACCTGTCTCAAAAAACAAAAACAAACAGACAAAAAAAGGTTTTGCTGTGAAACTGCGGCCCCATGGAGGCCACTTCAGCAGCCCTGGGTCATTCAGTTGGGGGTATTTGGACACACTTGGTCTTCCCAATCTCCTAGGAGAGGCCAGTGTTGAAGTAGCCCCCTCTACAGAGCTGCAGGCCAGAACCCACTTTTGTTTATAAAAAGCACTCAACCAATCAGTCGTTGCAGAAAAGATAGCAAAAAGAATGAGATCAGGCCTGGCGCAGTGGCTGATGCCTGAAATCCCAGCACTTTGGGAGGCCGAGACTGGTGGATCACTTGAGGTCAGGAGTTTGAGACCAGCCTGGCCAACATGGTGAAACCCCGTCTCTACTAAAATTACAAAAATTAGCCAGGCATGGTGGCACGTGCCTGTAATCCCAGCTACTCGGGAGGCTGAGGCAGGAGAATCACTTGAACCCGGGAGGGGGAGGTTGAAGTGAGCCCAGATTTTGCCATTGCACTCCAGCCTGGGTGACAGAGCGAGACTCTGCCTCAAAAAAAAAAAAAAAAAGGAAAAGAAAAGAAAAGAAAAGAATGAGATCAAAATCATCCATAATCTCCCCTCTTGATGAGGTGGCTATTAACAGACAGTGATTAACTTTCCAGACTATAAATGAACAATGGATTTATTCATATAGTTCATTTATCTATTTATGGAGATTACATTTAATAAAATGTATATCATGGAAAACATTCTATTTTATAATTTTATGTAACTTGATAATGTATATTTACATATTGCTAACAGGATGGGATAAGAGCACACTCTAGACACAATTTGATGAACCTTATTTGGCCAAGTGGAGGATGGGTGTGTCTTCTCCTTTCCCAGATGCCAAAATCCCAGTTCTTTTATTTATAATGACAATGACTGGTGTTGAACTCCTCCTTACAACTCACTAAGTCCTCTCCAGTTATTCTCTCTTTTATTTTTTTTGAGACGGAGTCTTGCTCTGTTGCCCAGGTTGGAGTGCAGTGGCACAATCTCGGCTCACTACAACCTCTGCTTTCCGGGTTCAAGTGATTCTCCTGACTCAGCCTCCTGAGTAGCTGGGATTACAGGCACCTGCCACTATGCCCAGCTAATTATTGTATTTTTAATGGAGACAGGATTTCGCCATGTTGCCCAGGCAGGTCTCAAACTCCTGACCTCAGGTGAGCCACCTGCCTCAGCCTCCCAGCTGGGATTACAGGTGTGAACCACCGTGCCAGCCCCATTCTCTCTTTTAATCCTAACACTCACTCTGGGAGGTCAGTCTGTGTTGCCTAATTATCCTCATTTTATTGAGAAGGAAATTCAAGTTCAAAGAGGCTCCTTGACTTGCCAGCTTGATCCCGTGTCCTCCCAACCAGCCATCGCCTCCTCTTTATAGTTTGTCGGGTGCAGCCTGCATGCTCCAGGCAAGTGACTTCTCAGCACAGCCGCTGGCCTCCGGCTGAGACCTCTGGCCTCTGTGCAGGGCCAGGGATGTGGGCAGAGTCGCAGGCGGCTGCCAGGAGCCAGACTCTGCCCAGCGCCCTGGGGATCCCCTCTTGCCAGTGCCTGAAATGCCTGCTTCGTCCCTTAGCAACTGCTGGTGGCATCAACAGTAAAGGGCTGTGATCCTGTTTCAGAGCTTCTGAGGTCTTCCAAAGGTGTTTGCTCTTTCTAATCCCAATTAGATACTCCTGAGGCCAATACCAACCTTGTAGGGCACAGGCAGGGGCTGGACCACTCAGCACCCTCCCTACTCCCCAGGCCTTGGCAGGCCCTGCCCTTGCAGCTGGCCCTGAGCTCAGGGCACCCAGAGGGTAGTCTGCTCCTCCCAGGCCTTCTCCTAGGGTGTCAGGGTATGAGGTGTCAGATCTGGGGCACTCCTGACATTCTAATCCACCCGGGATTCCGGCAGATGCCAAGTCTCTGGTATCAGGGGAAATGACCTCAGAGCTTTGGATGTGGCTGGCAGGCCACTGTCCAGACTTAAAGGTCTCCCAGCAGGCACCTGTCATCTGAGCTGGGAGGTCTCTTGTCCCTCCCCTGCCTCAGACCTTCCAGAAGACAGCTGAGGCTCCTGGGAGAGAAGGTAGACTTCTAGGACAAGATGAGACCTTGGAATTTCAAAGCCCCTTTTATGAATGCTTGGTTCTCTAAAGTCCAGGCCGGGCGTGGTGGCTCATGCCTCTAATCCTAGCACTTTGGGAGGCCAAGGTGGGCAGATCACTTGAGGTCAGGAGTTTGAGACCAGCCCGGCCAACATGGTGAAACCCTGTCTCCACAAAAAACACAAAAATTACCCAGGCATGGTGGTGGGTGCCTGTAATCCCAGCTACTCAGGAGTGTGAGGCAGGAGAATCGCTTGAACCTCTGAGGTGGAGGCTGCAGTGAGCTGAGATCACGTCACTTCACTCTAGCTTGGGCAACAGAGTGAGACCCTGTCTCAAAAAATAGATATCTATATCTCTATACATAGATGTATGTAATAAAGGCTGAAAACACAGCTTTCCTCTTGGGCCAGTGGAGGAGAAGTGAACTGCCGTGTACTGCATGGGCTTGGGGGCCCTGAGGAAGACCCTCTCTTGCTCCCAGGTATTTATCACTACACTGCACAGTGGATGGAAAGTGAAATTAGGACCACTCTTCACGCTGCCACTCGCCGTGGCCTTCACCTCCTTCCCTTCCCTCAAACCTGTGAGGAGTGCGGAACTGCTCCATCACGTCCATTTTCACACATGAGGAATCCCAGGTTTGGAAAGGTTATTTGTGATTCATCCCAAGCCAGGGACCAAAACTGGTCAGGGCAGAGCTCAATCCCAAAGGCAGGTTTTCCGTTTCCACCATAACCCAAAGCATTCAAGCCATTCTCCAGCCATGCTCCTTTCATAAAGGAGTCACACGCACGTAAGCGTGTTCATTTGGAAATTCTTTGATGGAGCTATTTATGTGCCCATTCATCACCAATATTTATTTTTTTAATTAATTACTATTTTTTTTTTTTTTTGAGACAGAGTCTTGCTGCGATGCCCAGGCTGGAGTGCTGTGGTGCGATCTCGGCTCACTGCAACCTCCGCCTCCCTGATTCGTGATCCTCTTACCTCAGCCTCCTGAGTAGCTGGGATTACAGGCACCCGCCACCATGTCTGGCTAATTTTTGTATTTTTCAGTAGAGACGGGGTTTCACCATATTGGCCAGGCTGGTCTGGAACTCCTGACTTCAAGTGATCCGCCCGCCTTGGCCTCCCAAAGTGCTGGGATTATAAGCATGAGCCACCAGGTACAGCCCATCACCAGTATTTATTAAGCACTTTCTTTTTTATTTTTATATTTTGACCTTTACAAAATGATGTGGGGTGTGTGTGTGTGTGTGTGTGTGTGTGTGTGTGTGTGTTTTAAGAGACAGGATCTTGCTTTGTTGCCCAAGTGGAAGTGCAGTGGTGTGGTCACAGCTCACTGCAGTCTTGACTTCCTGGTCTCAAGCGATCCTCCCATTATAGTTCTCAGTCTCCCAAAGTAGCTGGGACCACAGATGCACACCACCATGTACAGCTAATTTTATTTTGTAAATTTTTTATAGAGACAGGGTCTCACTATGTTGCCCAGGCTGTTGCTGAACTCCTGGGCTCAAGCAATCCTCCGCCTCAGCCTCCCAAAGTGCTGGGAATACAGGCGTGAGCCACTGTGCCCAGTTTATTAAGCACGTTCTGTGAGCCCAGCTCTTGGCTGGGGACTGTGGGGACCTCCAAGGTGAAAACGGTCTAGTTCCTGCTTGAGAAGGAGAAGGAGGTGTGGATTAAGGAGAAAAGGAAGACAGGTCCTGAAGACAGACCTGCAGGGAAAACGATGGGCTGGAGGAGGGGATGGCCAGCACATCCCAGGGGCACTGTCTGTGGGCTGGGGCTCCAGGGGGCTTCCTGGAGGAGGACTGGGGGAAAAAGGGGCTCTGTTTGGAAGCTGTGATGACCCTTGAGAGTCTTGATGGACGCAACAGCCAAGAGCCCCCAGCTCCCAGTTGGCAGAGGTGCAGGCTGGGGCTGAGGCTGTGCTCAGAGTCCCCTGGTGCCCAGAAGGTGTGTGGAGACAGAGCCTGGAGGAAGCTGCAGTGCACACATCCCCTGCTTGGTGGAGAGGAGAACCCATCCTGGGCGTCCCTGGCTCAGCTCTGAAGACCAGAGCACAGTTGGTGCCCCGTTCAGGGCCCCAGCCAAGCCCCCCGGGGAGGGATAGCCCTTCAGAAGCCCTTTCCTTCCCTGCAGGCACATGTGGGTGCTTTTCCCAAAAGCCGGGGTAGAACCACCTCTCTCTTTGGAGAAAGTTCTTCCATGGTAACTGCTAACACAGCAGGGCTCAGGGATCAGCGGACCCTCGACAAAAGTGAAGTAAGGTCACAGAGTACAGCAGGGTTAAGCCCCCTGTGGACCAGGCTGGCCCTGCCACTTACCAGCTTTGGGGATTTTGGGCAAATCACTTAATGCTCTGAATTTCAGTTTCTCCTCTGTAAAGTACAGTTGTGTCTGCCTTATAGGGTGGTTGTGAGTTTTTCTTTTTTAAATCTTTCTTTTTTAAATTTTTTTCAGACGGGGTCTTGCTCCATCACTCAGGCTGGAGGGCAGTGGTGCCGTTATGGCTCACTGTACCCTCAAATTCCTGGGCTCAAGCAATCCTCCTCTCTTAGCCTCCCAAAGGGCTGAGATTACAGGTGTGCACCACCACACCTGGCTAATTTTTAAAAATCTTTTGTAGATATAGGGTCTTGCTATATTGCCCAGGTTGCCCTCAAACTCCTAGCCTCAAGTGATCTTCCTGCCTCAGCCTCCAAAAGGTTTGGGATTACAGGTGTGAACCACTACACACAGCCAGCCACTTGGCCTAATATTTCAACTTCAAATAACTTTTTTTTTTTTCAGTGGAGTCTCCCTCTGTTGCCCAGGCTAGAGTGCAGTGGTTCAATCTGGGCACACTGTAACCTCTGTCTCCCGGGTTCAAGTGATTCTTCTGCCTCAGCCTCCTGTGTAGCTGGGACCACAGGCGCCTGCCACCATGCTCAGCTAATTTTTGTATTTTTAGTAGAGGCAGGGTTTCACCATGTTGGTCAGGCTGGTCTCGAACTTCTGACCTCAGGTGATTGCCTGCATCGCCCTCCCAAAGTGCTGGGATTACAGGTGTGAGCCATTGTGCCTGGCCCCAGATAACTTATTCAAATGAAAGGATAAATCATCAAATGAGAATGATGTATGTGCTTGAATAGTCACTGGAACATTTTTATAAAAGCAAAAAGCTAGAAACAACCTAAATGTCCTTTAAAAGGGGATTGTTAAGTAAAATACTGTAAAGTTATAAAATAGATTATTACATAGCTGTTAAAGGAGATACGGTGGATTTAAACATGCTGATGATAAGGGGAAAAGTCCATGAAAAAATTCAAAAAACAAGTCGGGGTATGTGATCTTATTTTTGAGTAACAGAGTCTTCTGGCTGAGCCCTAACTTGGATTTTGATTTTGACTCTATACAACTGGTTTTCTGGAATTTGTAGGAGTTGAAATGTTTGACAGACTATTTTGTAAATATGCACGAGGTTTCTGCTGAAAACTCTAGCACAGTGTTGAGAAGATGGTGGAGATTTGTAAGCAGGGCTAGGACCCCAGCCTGTGTAAGAAAGGGACAAAGGTAAGATTTTTTTTGGTTATTTGTGCATCTATAAGTGTATTTTTAGATTTACCAAAGACTGGTGTGTATAAGCTACATTCATTAAAAAAAAGCTTATTTAGGCCGGGTGCAGTGGCTCACACCTGTAATCTCAGCACTTTGGAAGGCCAAGGTGAGAGGATTGCTTGAGTCCAGGGGTTCAAAAGCAGCCTGGGCAACTTAGTGAGACCCCATCTGTACAAAAAAAACAAAAACAAAAACAAGCAACAAAAAACCCCACGCTTATTTATTGAACATAAACATAGAGAAGGCATAACTTGATGAGTTTTCTCAAAGCGAGCACCCTCATGTGATGCCCAGTCAGATGCACAAATTTGTGGGAGCCCAGAAGCTGGTCTCTTGCACCCTCAGCCACTTTTCTTCTCAGGGGACCACTCTTCTGACTTCCGACACCAGAAATGAGTTTGATTTTGTTTGAACTTTACATCAGTGGAACCATAAAGCATGGCCTCTTTTATGTTTAGCTTCTTTCACTCAACATTATGAAATGCAGCTGGGTGTACTAGCTGTCCCTCATATTCCTTTCTGCATAGTATTTTATTGTACGAATATACACACATTGTTGATCTATTTTTCTGTTTATGACTATTTGGATTGTTTTCATCTTTGTCTATGAAAAACGATGTCACTGTAGATATTCTCACACATGCCTTTTCGTGTGTAAATGTGCCAGTTTTATTAGGTATATACCTAGCTGGTTAAAGGGTTTATTTACATTTAGCCTTTTGTTTTTTTTCTTTTTTGAGACAGAATCTCACTCTGTCGCCCAGGCTGGAGTGCAGTGGCACAATCCTGGCTCATTGCAACCTCTGCCTCCTGGGTTCAAGCGATTCTCCTGCCTCAGCCTGCAGAGTAGCTGGGACTACAGGCACCCGCCACCACGCCCAGCTAATTTTTGTATTTTTAGTAGGACGGGGTTTCACCATGTTAGCCAGGCTGGTCTCAAACTCCTGACCTCAAGTGATCCACCCATCTTGGCCTCCCAAAGTGCTAGGATTACAGGCGTGAGCCACTGTGCCTGGCCACTTACATTTGGCTTTGATAGTGCCAAACCATTTTCCAAAGTTGTACCAGATTACATTTCTACCAATGGTGTTTGGGAGTTTCAGTTCCACCACATATTTGCCAGCAAGTGACGTGTCATGTCAATTTTGAGTATACTGGTGGGTGGATATCTCACTGTGGTTTTAACTTGTGATTCACTGATGACTAATGAGGATTAACACTTTTTAAACAAGTTTCTTGGCCATTTGTCTGGAACATCCTTTGTGTTCTAGACATTTGCTTTTTTTCTGTTGAGTTGTTAATCTTTTTCTTATGAATTTGCAGTTCTTTATGCATTTTGGATATTAGATCTTTGTCAGTTATATGTATTGCAAAAATATTTTTAAAAATATTTATTTATCTATTTGTAGAGAAAGGGTCTTGCTATGCTGTCCAGGCTGGTCTTAAACTCCTGGGCTCAAGCGATCCCTCTGCCTTGGCCTCTGAAAGTGTTGGGATGATAGGCATGAGCCACCATACCCAGATGCAAGAAATCTTTTCCCATTCCAATAGCTTTCCTTTTTACTCTCTTAATAGTTTGTTTGATAAACAGATACTCTTTAATATAGTCCAATTTATCTACTTTTCTTTTATGATTTGTGCTTCTTCGTGTCCTGCTTAATACATTTTGCCTAAAATAAGGACATAAATATATTTTTCTACGCCAGTTTCTAAAAGCTTTATTGTTTCACCTTTCACATTCAGCGCCTATCTGGATTTGATTTTTGTGTATGGTATGAGATAAGAGTCAAGATTCACTCTTTTTCCTCCTATATGGTTATTCAGCTGACCCAGCACCACTAATAGAAAAGACCCACCTCTTCCCCGCTGTGCTAACGTGTTATTTTTTGTCTTGTCTGTATATGTGTGTGCTGTTTCTGGACACTCTGTTATTTCACATTGGCCTGTTTGCCTGTCTTTGCATTAATACTGGGCTATTTTAGTTATTGCCCAGTAGTACCCCCTTGTCTACAGTTCCTCTTTCCATGGTTTATGTTACTCAAGGTACAGAACAATGATATATTTTGAGAAGGAGAGACCACATTCGCATAACTTTCATTCCTATATATTGTTATAATTGTTCTATTTTATTATTAGTTTTTGTTGTTAATCTCTTAATGGGACCAATTTGTAAGTCAATTTTATTATAGGTATATAACAGAAAAAAAAAACCATAGTATATATAGGTTTTGCTATTATCTGTGATTTCAGGCATCCACCAGGGGTCTTGAAACATAACCCTCACAGATAAGAAGAAACTACTATGGTCCAAATCCTTCAACTTTGTTTTTATTTTTCAAGACTTTCCTAACTATTCTTGGCCCTTTGTATTTTCACATAAATTCCAGAATTGGTTTGTCCATTTCAACCTCCCTCATTCCCTTTCCCCTATACCCCTGCCACCACAAAAATCCGCTGGGATTTTAATTGTGATTGCTTTGAATCTATAGATCAAGTTAGGGAGAAGTGATATCTTAACAATACTATTTCTTTTCTTTCTTTTTTCTGAAACAGAGTCTCATTCTGTTGCCCAGGCTGGAGTGCAGTGGTACAACCCTGTCTCACTGCAACCTCTACCTGCTGGGTTCAAGCGATTCTCCTACCTCAGCCTCCTGAGTAGTCGGGATTGCAGGTGCCCGCCACTACGCCCGACTAATTTTTGTATTTTTGGTAGAGATGGGGTTTCACCATGTTGGCCAGACTAGTATTAAACTCCTGGCCTCAGGTGATCTACCCGCTTCAGCTTCCCAAACTGCTGGGATTACAGGTGTGAGCCACTGCCCCTAGCCAATACTGAGTATTTCGATCCTGAACATATCCTGAAATTATATCCTTTCATTTTTTACGATCTTTTATAATCCTCCATAAAGTTGTATAATTTTTTGTGTAGAGGCTCTGTACAGTTTTGTTTCGTTCATCCCTGTATATTTATGTCCTTGATGCTACTGTATATGATATTTAATTTTTTTCAATTTCTAATTAGATAGAAATACAATGAATTTTTAAAAATTTTGACTTTGTATCTACTGACTTGTTAAATTCATTTATTAATGGTAGCAGGTTTTTTTTTGGAGACAGCGTCTCACTCTGTCACCGAGGCTGGAGTGCAGTGGTGTGATCTCTGCTCACTGCAACCTCTGCCTCCTGGGTTCAAGCCATTCTCGTGTCTCAGCCTCCCGAGTAGCTGGGATTATAGGCACACACCACCATGCCTGGATAATTTTTGTATTTTTAGTAGAGACGGGGTTTCACCATGTTGGCCAGGCTGGTCTTGAACTCCTGACCTCAAATGATTCGCCCACCTCAGCCTCCTAAAGTGCTGGGATTACAGGCATGGGCCACTGTACCCAGTCATGGTAGCAGTTTATCTGTAGATTTGTTTAGACTTTCCAGGTCTATAATAATGTCATTTGTGTATTATAGCAATTTTAATTTCTCCCTTACTGATTCTTTTTTAAAATTTTTATTTTCATTTATTTATTTATTTATTATTTTATTTATTTAAAATATTTTTGAGGCAGAGTCTCACTTTGTCACCCAGGCTGGAGTGTAGTGGCGCCATCTTGGCTCACTGCAGCCTTGACCTCCCAGGTTCAAGAGATCCTCCTGCCTCAGCTCCCCAAGTAGCTGAGACTACAGAGGCATGCTATCACACCTGGCTAACTTACTGATTCTCAGACATTTTATTTATCCTCTCCCTCCCCCTGTACATCTTCTCTTCCTCCTCCTCCTTTCTTTTTCTTCCTCTTTTTCTTGTTTGTAATTGTTTCACTGGCTAAGACCTCTACTACCATGTTAAAAAGAAGTGGTGACAATGGTCATCATTGTTCTAAACTCAGTGGAATGCTTTCAATATTTCACCATTAAGTATGATGTTTGCTGTAGAATTTTAAAATTTGAAGTGAAATTCACCTAGCATAACATTTAGGGCACTTGGTTATTCACAACACTGTGCAGTCACTACCTCTGTCTGGTCCAAAACATTTCTGTCATTCCAAAATAAACTCTGTTCCTATTCAGCAATTACTCCCCATTCCCCCAAACCTCCCACCTCTGGCCACCACCAATCTGCATTCTGTTTCTATGGATTTACGTGTTCTGGATATTTCATATAAGTAAACTCATACATCTCTGGTCTTTTGTGTCTGACTTCTCTTACTTAGCATACTGTTTTCAAGATTCACTCATGTCGTAGCACAAATCAGTACTTCATTCCTTTTTATGGCAGAATAATATTCCACCGTGTGTATGTACCACATTTGTTTATCCATTCAGATGTTGCTGGACATTGGATTGGTTTTGTCTTTTGGCACTGCAAATAGTGTCGCTATGAACACTCATGTACAGCAGTTTCTCCCTCCCGTCATCTATGGTTTTGTTTTCCATTGTTTCAATCACCCACCGTCCAAAAATATTAAATTAAAAATTCCAGAAATAAACAATTCATAAGTTTTGTTTTTTTGAGAGACAGAGTCTTACTTTGTCATCCAGGCTGGAGTGCAGTGGCATGATAGCTGACTGCAACCTCTGCCTCCCAGGTTCAAGTGATTCTTGTGCCTCAGCCTCCAGAGTAGCTGGGATTACAGGCGTCTGCCACCATGCCCAGCTAATTTTTTTTAAATATATTTTTAGTAGAGACGGGGTTTTACCATGTTGGTCAGGCTGGTCTCGAACTCTCGACCTCAGGGCATCCGCCCGCCTCAGCCTCCCAGTGTGCTGGGATTACAGGCATGAGCCACTAGGCTCAACCAACAATTCATAATTTTTAAATTGTGTGCTGTTCTGAGTAGGATAATGAAATCTTGTGCTGTCTGGCTCTGTCCCATCCGGGATATGAATCATTCCTTTGTTCAGCTTATCCACGCTATATTACTACCTGCCCATTAGTTATCAACATCATCTTGTTTGCTCCTGACATCCAACCATCAACATCATCACGGCTTGATTATCCAGGATCGCCCAAATCATATGATCCTCCTCACACATAGTCAGAAGGTCAATAGCAGCCTAATGATACATCGCAATGCCTGTCATTCACCTCTCCTCATTTCATCACGTAGGCATTTTAGCCTTTCACATCATAAGAAGTAGAAGGGTGAGCACAACACAGTAAGATATTATGGGGGTGGAGGGAGAAGTCAAAAAAAAAACCTGTAGTGTGTATGGGATTTGGTACAATCCGAGGTTTGAGGCATCCACTGGAAACCTTGGAAAGTATCCCCTGCAGATAAGGGCAGACTACTGTATGAGGATTTTTTTTTTGAGCTCATTTTAAATTCTTTTAGGTGTGTATCTAGAGGTGGACTTGCTGGGTCATATGATAATTCTATGTTTAACTTTTTGAGGAACCACCAAACTGTTAAAAAACAACCTGAACCATTTTACATTCCTACCAGAAATACATGAGGGTTTGAATTTCTCCACATTCTCACCAACACTTGCTATCTTCCACTTTAAAAAATTTTAGCCATCCTCTTGAATAGATTCTTTATCAAATTAAGAAAGTTTTCTTCTGGGACAGCATTACTTTGTAATATTCTTGACAAAACTGCATAATCTCAATCTAGCTATGGGAAAACATCAGAGAAATTTGCACTGAGATATTTCACAAAACAAAGTACTCTTCAAAAAGTGTTTAGGTCATAAAGACAAAGAAAGACTGAGGAACTGTTCCAGATTGGAGGAAAGTAAGTAGACATGACAATTAAATGCTAGATGGGATCTTGGACTGGATCCTGGGTCAGAAAGGAACATTAATGGAAAATCTAGCAAACTTTTAAGAAGGTGGCTGGGCATGGTGACTCATGCCTGTAATCCCAGAACTTTGGGAGGCCAAGCCAGGCAGATCACCTGAGGTCTGGAGTTTGAGATTAGCCTCGCCAACATAGTGAAGCCCGTCTCTACCAAAATACAAAAAATTAGCTGGGCGTGGTGGCACATGCCTGTAGTCCCAGCTACTTGGGAAGCTGAGGCAGGAGAATCGCTTGAACCCAAAAGGCAGAGGTTGCAGTGAGCTGAGATTGTGCCACTGCACTCCAGCCTGGATGACAGAATGAGACTCTGTCTCAAAAAAATATATGTATATAATATTTATATATTATATATAATTTTAAATATATAATAAAATTATAAATATATTTATAAATTTACAAATATACAAACAAGGTGTTCTTTTACATTTGCTGAGGAGTGCTTTACTTCCAACTATGTGGTCAATTTTGGAATAAGTGCATGTGGTGCTGAGAAGAATGTATATTCTGTTGATTTGGGGTGGAGGATTCTGTAGATGTCTATTAGGTTCACTTGGTGCAGAGCTGAGTTCAATTCCTGGATATCCTTGTTAACTTTCTGTCTCGTTGATCTGTCTAATGTTGACAGTGGAGTGTTAAAATCTCCCACTATTATTGTGTGGGAGTCTAAGTCTCTTTGTAGATCTCTAAGGACTTGCTTTATGAATCTGGATGCTCCTGTATTGGGCGCACATATATTTAAGAGAGTTATCTCTTCATGTTGAATTGATCCCTTTACCGTTATGTAATGGCCTTCTTTGTCTCTTTTGATCTTTGTTGGTTTAAAGTGTGTTTTATCAGAGACTAGGATTGCAACCCCTGCCTTTTTTTGTTTTCCATTTGCTTGGTAGATCTTCCTCCATCCCTTTATTTTGAGCCTATGAGTGTGTGTGCACGTGAGATGGGTCTCCTGAATACAGCACACTGATGGGTCTTGACTCTTTATCCAATTTGCCAGTCTGTGTCTTTTAATTGGATCATTTAGCCCATTTACATTTAAGGTTAATATTATTATGTGTGAATTTCATCCTGTCATTATGATGTTCACTGGTTATTTTGCTCATTAGTTGATGCAGTTTCTTCCTAGCGTCAATGGTCTTTACAATTTGGCATGTTTTTACAGTGTCTGGTACAAGTTGTTCCTTTCCATGTTTAGTGCTTCCTTCAGGAGCTCTTTTAGGGAAGGCCTGGTGGTGACAAAATCTCTCAGCATTTGCTTGTCTGTAAAGGATTTTATTTCTCCTTCACTTATGAAGCTTAGTTTGGCTGGATATAAAATTATGGGTTGAAAATTCTGTTCTTTAAGAATGTTGAATATTGTCCCCACTCTCTTCTGACTTGTAGAGTTTCTGCCGAGAGATCCACTGTTAGTCTGATGGGTTTCCCTTTGTGGGTAACCCGACCTTTCTCTCTGGCTGCCCTTAACATTTTTTACTTCATTTCAACTTTGGTGAATCTGACAATTATGTGCCTTGGAGTTGCTCTTCTCGAGGAGTATCTTTGTGGCATTCTCTGTATTTCCTGAATTTGAATGTTGGCCTGCCTTGCTAGGTTGGGGAAGTTCTCCTGGATTATATCCCGAATAGTGTTTCCCAACTTGGTTCCATTCTCCCCATCACTTTCAGGTACACCAATCAGACGTAGATTTGGTCTTTTCACATAGTCCCATATTTCTTGGAGGCTTTATTCATTTCTTTTTACTCTTTTTTCTCTAAACTTCTCTTCTCACTTCATTTCATTCATTTGATCTTCCATCACTGATATCCTTTCTTCCAGCTGATGGAATTGGCTACTGAAGCTTGTGCATTTGTCACGTATTTCTCGTGCCATGGTTTTCAGCTCCATCAGGTCATTTGAGGACTTCTCTACACTGGTTATTCTAGTTAGCCATTCGTCTAATCTTTTTTCAAGGGTTTTAGCTTCTTTGCGTTGGGTTCGAATTTCCTCCTTTAGCTTGGAGAAATTTGATCGTCTGAAGCCTTCTTCTCTCAACTCGTCAAAGTCATTCTCTGTCCAGCTTTGTTCCATTGCTGGCGAGGAGCTGCATTCCTTTGGAGGGGGGAGAGGTGCTCTGATTTTTAGAATTTTCAGCTTTTCTGCTCTGTTTTTTCCCCATCTTTGTGGTTTTATCTACCTTTGGTCTTTGATGATGGTGACATACAGATGGGGTTTTGGTGTGGATGTCCTTTCTGTTTGTTAGTTTTCCTTCTAACAGTCAGGACCCCTCAGCTGCAGGTCTGTTGGTGTTTGCTGGAGGTCCACTCCAGACCCTGCTTGCCTGGGTATCAGCAGCAGAGGCTGCAGAACAGTGAATGTTGCTGAACAGCAAATCTTGCTGCCTGATCATTCCTCTGGAAGCTTCGTCTCAGAGGGGTACCCGTCTGTGTGAGGTGTCAGTCTGCCCCTACTGGGGGGTGTCTCCCAGTTAGGCTACTCGGGGGTCAGGGACCCACTTGAGGAGGCAGTCTGTTCATTCTCAGATCTCAAACTCTGTGCTGGGAGAACCACTACTCTCTTGAAAGCTCAGTTGGAAATGCAGAAATCACCCATCTTCTGTGTCGCTCCACTGGGAGCTGTAGACTGGAGCTGTTTCTATTCGGCCATCTTGGAACACCCCCGGTTTTTTTATATTTTTTGAGACAGAGTTTCACTCTTGTCACCCAGGCTGGAGTGCAATGGTGTGATCTCGGTTCACTGCAACCTCTGCCTCCCGGGTTCAAGCAATTTTCCTGCTTCAACCTCCTGAGTAGCTAGAATTACAGGTGCGTGCCACCATGCCTGGATAATTTTTTGTATTTTTAGTAGAGATGGGGTTTCACTATGTTGGCTAGGCTGATCTCGAACTCCTGACTTTGTGATCCGACCCACCTCGGCCTACCAAAGTGGTGGGATTACAGGCGTGAGCCACCATGCCCAGACTTAATTTACTATTTTCTTTTTTTTTTTTTTTTTTTTTTTTTGAGACGGAGTCTCGCTCTGTCGCCCAGGCTGGAGTGCAGTGGCGGGATCTCGGCTCACTGCAAGCTCCGCCTCCCGGGTTCACGCCATTCTCCTGCCTCAGCCTCCCAAGTAGCTGGGACTACAGGCGCCCGCCACTACGCCCGGCTAATTTTTTGTATTTTTAGTAGAGACGGGGTTTCACCGTTTTAGCCGGGATGGTCTCGATCTCCTGACCTCGTGATCCGCCCGCCTCGGCCTCCCAAAGTGCTGGGATTACAGGCGTGAGCCACCGCGCCCGGCCTTAATTTACTATTTTCTAACTATTATCTGGAAATATGGATAACTGATTTTTCGTACTTTTCTTCTTACATATGTATTTGAAGCTATAAAATTTTCTCTAAACATGCCTAAGCAGCAGCCCAGAAGTATTGACATGCCATTTTTATATTATAATTCTCTTCAACAAGTTTTCTAATTTTTGTTGTAATTTTTTTTGACCCATGGGTCATTGTGAAGTGTATTGCTTAATGTGTAAACTTTTGGGGAGTTTTTCTGGTTTTCTTTCTGTAATTCATATTTATCTTATTTCTATTGTAGTCAGAGATACATGCTCTATGTGATTTTAATCCTCTGAAATTTGTTGAGACTTGCTTTATGGCCAAGCATACATTCACTTTTTAAATTTTTCCATGTGCATTTGAAAAGAATATATATAATTTAGTTGAGTTCAGTGTTCTTTTTATTTTTTATTTTTTGAGACAGAATCTTGCTCTGTCAGCCAGGCTGGAGTGCAGTGGCATGATCTCAGCTCACTGGAACCTCTGCCTCCTAGCTTCAAGCGATTCTCCTGCCTCAGCCTCCTGAGTAGCTGGGGTTACAGGTGCGCACCACCATGCCTGGCTATTTTTTGTATTTTTAGTAGAGATGAGATTTTGCCATGTTGGCCAGGCTGGTCTCAAACTCCTGGCCTCAAGTGACCCGCCTACCTCGGCCTCCCAAAGTGCTGGGATTGCAGGCATGAGCCACCCCACCTGGCCAAGATCATCTTTTGTAACCAGATAGTTTTCAAAATCTAGATTGACAATCTTTATCTTCTAATTTACATATTTTGTCCATTTATACTCAACATAGCTATGATATATTGAGATTTTATTCTCTTTTCTCTATAGCTAAATGATTTAATGTTGATTTTTATTTTTTTCTTCTTTTCTCTTGGATTAATCAATATTTTCAATAAATTTTCCTCCCATTTTTAGCTTAGTAGTTATACCTTATTTTGTTCTTCTTTAACGGGTTGCCCTAGAGATTATAACATGTATCTTTGACTTATTGGAATCTCATATAGATTAGTACTTTTATATTTTCAAGGTCCTTAGAACATTTTAACTCCATTTACTTCATCCTTCTCTTTATGCTACTATTGTCCTATAGCTTATGTTTGGGGTTCTGTTGTTAGGTGCATGTATGCTTGTAATTGTTATATTTTCCCGATGGATTAAACTTTTGCATCATTATAAAATGCTATTGTTTGTCTCTAGTACAAATTTTTGCCTTAAAGCTTATTTCTTTTGATATTAGTATAGCCATACTAGCTGTGCTTTGGCTGATGTTTGCATGGTATACCTTTTTCTATTCCTTTATTTATTTATTTATTTATTTATTTATTTATTTTTGAGACAGAGTCTCACTCTGTCACCCAGGCTGGAGTGCAGTGGCACCATCTTGGCTCACTGCAACCTCCACTTCCCAGGTTTAAGTGATTCTCATGTCTCAGCCTCCTGAGTAGCTGGAATTACAGGTGTGTGCCACCATGCCCCCTAATTTTTGTACTTTTAGTAGAGATGGGGTTTCACAATGTTGGCCAGGCTGGTCTTGAACTCCTAACGTCAAGTGATCCACCCACCTCTGCCTCCCAAAGTGCTAGGATTATAGGTGTGAGCCACCGCACCCAGCCTATCCCTTTACTTTTAACTTATTGCATCTTTGAATCTAAAGAGTGCTCTTGTATACAGCATAGAGTTGAATCATTTTTTAAAAAATCCATTATGCCCATTCTGCCTTTTGATCACAGTATTTAAATCTATTTATATTTAATGTAATTACTAATAAGGTAAGATTGACACCTACTGTTTTGTTATTTATTTTTAATATATTTTATGTCTTTTTGTTCCACTATTTTGCAGTTACTGCTGCCTTTGCATTGAAAAGATTTTTATAGTGTACTATTTTAATTCCTTTGTTCTTTTCTTTACTATTTTGTTTTGTTTTTAACATATTTCTTAGTGGTAGCCCTGAAGATTACAATTAGCATCTTAATTTAAAAACAATCTAGTTTGGATCACTAACAACTTTATATCACTCTTACACGAAAACATTGCTTTGGTATGGCTTCATTTCCTCCCCACTCCTTTGTGCTAGTATTGTCATACATGTTACATCTTTATACATTACAAGCCAATTAACATAGTTTTATAATTATTGATTTATAATTTATAATTTATATATACATATAAATTTATATATATAAATATATATAAATTTATATATATAAATATATATAAATTTATACAATATATAAATAAATATATAATTTATAATTATGTGGTTGTCTTCTAAATTGGATAGAAAAAAAGGGTTACAAACAAAAATACATGTATACTCTCTTTTATATTTACTTATGTAGTCACTTTAATTGGTGCTGTTTTTGTATTTTTTTTTTTTTGACAGTCTCACTTGTCACCCAAGCTGGAGTGCAGTGGTACGATCGTGGCTCACTGCAACCTCCACCTCCTGGGTTCAAGCGATTCTCCTGCCTCAACCTCCCGAGTAGCTGGGATTACAGGTGTGCACCACCATGACTGGCTAATTTTTGTATTTTTAGTAGAGACAGGGCTTCACCATGTTGGCCAGGCTGGTCTTGAACTCCTGATCTCAGGTGATCCACCTGCCTCAGCCTCCCAAAGTGCTGGGATGACAGATGTGAGGCTCTGCGCCAGGCCTGTAGTTATCTTTTTTGTAATGTCATTATCTAATTTTGGTATTAGGGCAATGCTACTCTCATAGAATGAGTTAGAAATGATTCCCTCCGCTTCTGTCTTCTAAAGGAGATTGTAGAGATCAGTCTAATTTCTTCCTTAAATGTTTGGTAGAATTCACCAGTAAATACATGTGGGCCTGGTGTTTTCTGTTTTGGAATTTATTAATTATTAATTCAACTTGTTCAATAGGTATAGACCTATGCAGATTGTCTGTTTCTTCCTATGTGAATTTAGGCAGGTTGTGTCCTTCAGTGAATTGATCCAATTCATCTAGGTTATAAAATTTGTGGGAATAGGGTTGTTCATAGTATTTCCTTATTATCTTTTAAAAATTCACAGGAGCTGTAGTGACATCCCCTTTACATTTCTGATATTAGTGATTTGTATCCTCTTTTTTTCCTAGTCTGTTTTATGTTTTATTAATCTTGCAAAAAACCACCTCTTGGTTTCATTGATTTTTCTCTATTGAGTTCCTGTTTGCAATGTCATTGGTTTCTGCTTCAGTTTTTATTATTTCTTTTTTTCCTGCTTAGTGTGAATTTAATTTGCTCTTATATTTCTAGTTTCTGAAGGTAGAAGTTTAGATTATTGATTTTAGCTCTTACTTCTTTTCTTTTCTTTTCTTTTTTTTTTTTTTGACAGGATCTTACTCTGTCACCTAAACAGGAGTGCAGTGGTGAGATCAGGGCTCGCTGCTGCCTCAACCTCCCACACTCAAGTGATTCTTCTGCCTCAGCCTCCCAAGTAGCTAAGATTACAGATGTGTGCCACCACACCTGGCTAATTTTTTTTTTTTTTGTAGAGATAAAGTCTCACTATATTGTCCAAGCTGGTCTTGAACTTATGGGGTAAGCAATCCTCCTGTCTCGGCCTCCCAAAGTCCTGGGATTCCAGGCATGAGCCACTGTGCCTGGCCTATTTTCTAATACATGCATCTGATGCTATACATTTCCCCCTAAGCACAGCTTTTGTTGCATCCCACAAATTTTGATAAGTTGTCTTTTTATTTTCACTGTGTTCCCAATATTTTTAAATTTATCTGAGATACATTCTTTGACCCATGTATTGTTTTGAACTGAATGTGTAATACATTTGTAGAAATAGAAGGAATGCAACAAATATCAGAATTTCATAATATACATTAGACATTTACGTAAAAGTTATTTTCCAAAGAGGTTTCCCCTATGTTCCTGTCTTTCCTATCTTCCTCAGAGGGTAAATAATAATTACGGCTCTCCTGGATAAGCTGGTCCATTGTGTTGGAGAGTAATTATATGTTTATGTTTCATATCATAAAAACTCTATCCTTCATTTCACAGCACAGTCTTATGGCACTGTTTCACAGTAAAAGTGTTCTCCACTCAAATTAGAAGAGCCCAAAGAAATTAAAGCAAACAGCAGTGAAATTCGTGTGAATAAATGCTGGAGTACCAACATTTTTTAAATATTGACTTAGTAGCAGGGTGTCTACCGGCACAAACCTTCCATTTATTCGTCTTATTAAAATTGTAATAATAGAAATGAAAGCTATTTTAAGGAAAAAGGAACTCAGGAAGGAGGTCATTAAATATAACTAAATACATTGAAAATATAAATACCATGCATTTCCTGATTAGTATCAGGTAAATATTGAAATATTCTATCCCAAATTCTGGTCTCAGAGAAAAAGGTCAGAGACAATGACAAACAACGTGTTTCATATTATCAGGTTCATTTTTAAAACAATGAGATCCTTTGGGAAAATTGCTTTAGTCTTTCTTTTTATCAGAGATTTCTGTTGGTCCTTTTGTTGGTAATCCATTTATGTCTGCATTATTATAGTCTCTTTGGCTTTTATTTTTATCATTGGATTATTGTATAGTTTTTCTAAGACATATATGACCAACAAAAGGGGAAATCAGAGGGTATATGTGTGACCCAGGATGTTTTTGTGTTGTTTTGTTTTTTCGAGATGGAGTTTCACTTTGTCACCCAGGCTGGAGTGCAGTGGCACCATCCCAGCTCACTGCAACCTCTGCCTCCCGGGTTCAAGCAATTCTCCTGCCTCAGCCTCCTGAGTAGCTGGGGGATTACAGGCGCCACACCTCCACACTCAGCTAATTTTGTATTTTTAGTAGAGAGGAGGTTTCACCATGTTGCCAGGCTGGTCTTGAACTCCTGACCTCAGGTGATCTGCCCACCTTGGCCTCCCAAAGTGCTGGGATTACAGGCGTGAGCCACTGGGCCCGGCCGGAAGTTTTTGCAGCTTCAGAGCAGAACTGGAATGAAGACACAAGGAATGTACATCATTTTCCCAGGCCTGAGGTCCTAACCATGAGATGGGATGTATCCTCAGAGCACAGGTGGGCAGCCAGGAGCCCAGGAGGGCAGAAAGGAAAACTGCATGGGGCTAGGGCTCCATGAGGCAGTGGGCTGGAGCCTGCCAGGCAGCTTGGAAGCACTGAAATCACCCTGGGAACATGCAGCCTAGAGCCCATCCCCAGCCCAAACCCTGGCTGCCTGCGGGGGCCACCCCAGCTCCACTCACCCACAACCACCCCGTATGGTTTTTTGTTTTTTGTTTTTGAGGCGGAGCCTCTCTCTGTCACCCAGGCTGGAGTGCAGGGGCGCGATCTCAGCTTACTGCAGCCTCCACCTCCCGGGTTCAAGTGATTGTCATGCCTCAGCCTCTCAAGTAGCTGAGATTACAGGCACAGGCCACCACACAGGCTAATTTTTGTATTTTTAGTAGAGACGGGGTTTCTCCATGCTGGCCAGGCTGATCTTGAACTCCTGACCTCAAGTGATCTGCCCACCTCAGCCTCCCAAAGTGATGGGATTATAGGCATGAGCTACCTCGCCCGGCCACATGTGTTATTTTGAAGTGTATTGTTTAATCTCCAAGTATTTTCAGATTTTCCAGCTATTTTTCTGTTACTGACTTTTAGTTTAATTCCACTGTAGTCTGAGGACAGAAATATGATTTCCATAGTTTTAAATGTTGGCCAGGCACAGTGGCTCACGCCTGTAATCCCTGCATTTTGGGAAGCTAAGTTGGGAGGATGGCTTCAGCTCAGGAGTTCGAGACCAGCCTGGCCAACATGGTGAAACCCGCATCTCTACCAAAAATATAAAAGATTAGCTGGGCATGGTGGTGTATACCTGTGGTCTCAGCTACTCAGGAGACTGAGGTGGGAGGATTGCTTGAGCCTGGGAGGCGGAGGCTGCAGTGAGCTGAGATGACACCACTGCACTCCAGCCTGTGTGACAGAGTAAGACTCCATCCCAAAAAAAAAAAAAAAAAAAGTTAAGGTGGTTTTAAAAATTTTTATTTTTATTTTTACTTTTTTATACTTTAAGTTCTAGGGTACATGTGCACAATGTGCAGGTTTGTTACATATGTATACAAGTGCCATGTTGGTGTGCTGCACCCATTAACTCGTCATTTACATTAGGTATATCTCCTAACTCTATCCCTCCCCCATCCCCCCACCCCACAACAGGCTCTGGTGTGTGATGTTCCCCTTCCTGTGTCCAAGTGTTCTCATTGTTCAATTCCCGCCTATGAGGGAGAACATGCGGTGTTTGGTTTATTGTCCTTGCAATAGTTTGCTGAGAATGATGGTTTCCAGCTTCATCCATGTCCCTACAAAGGACATGAACTCATCATTTTTTATGGCTGCATAGTATTCCATGGTGTATATGTGCCACATTTTCTTAATCCAGTCTACCATTCATGGACATTTGGGTTGGTTCCAAGTCTTTGCTATTGTGAATAGTGCCGCAATGAACATACATGTCCATGTGTCTTTATAGCAGCATGATTTATAATCCTTTGGGTATATACCCAGCAATGGGATGCCTGGGTCAAATGGTATTTCTAGTTCTGGATCCTTGAGGAATCGCCACACTGTCTTCCACAATGGTTGAACTAATTTACAGTCCCACCAACAGTGTAAAAGTGTTCCTATTTCTCCACATCCTCTCCAGCACCTGTTGTTTCCTGACTTTTTAATGATTGCCATTCTAACTGGTGTGAGATGGTATCTCATTGTGGTTTTGATTTGCATTTCTCTGATGGCCACTGATGATAAGCATTTTTTTCATGTGTCTGTTGGCTGCATAAATGTCTTCTTTTGAGAAGTGTCTGTTCATATCCTTTGCCCACTTTTAGATGGGGTTGTTTGTTTTTTTCTTGTAAATTAGTTTGAGTTCTTTGTAGATTCTGGATATTAGCCCTTTGTCAGATGAGTAGATTGCAAAAATGTTCTCCCATTCTGTAGGTTGCCTGTTCATTCTGATGGTAGTTTCTTTTGCTGTACAGAAGCTCTTTAGTTTAATTGATCCCATTTGTTAATTTTGGCTTTTGTTGCCATTGCTTTTGGTGTTTTACACATGAAGTCCTTGCCCATGCCTATGTCCTGAATGGTATTGCCTAGGTTTTCTTCTAGGGTTTTTATGGTTTTAGGTCTAACATTTAAGTCTTTGATCCATCTTGAATTAATTTTTGTATAAGGTATAAGGAAGGGATCCTGTTTCAGCTTTCTGCATATGACTAGCCAGTTTTCCCAGCACCATTTATTAAATAGGGAATCCAGCTGATAAGCAACTTCAGCAAAGTCTCAGGATACAAAATCAATGTGCAAAAATCACAAGCATTCTTATACACCAGTAACAGACAAACAGAAAGCCAAATCATGAGTGAACTCCCATTCACAATTGCTTCAAAGAGAATAAAATACCTAGGAATCCAACTTACAAGGGATGTGAAGGACCTCTTCAAGGAGAACTACAAATCACTGCTCAATGAAATAAAAGAGGACACAAACAAATGGAAGAACATTCCATGCTCATGGATAGGAAGAATCAAAAGCGTGAAAATGGCCATACTGCCCAAGGTAATTTATAGATTAAATGCCATCCCCATCAAGCTACCAATGACTTTCTTCACAGAATTGGAAAAAACTACTTTAAAGTTCATATGGAACCAAAAAAAAGAGCCCGCATTGGCAAGTCAATCCTAAGCAAAAAGAACAAAGCTGGAGGCATCACACTACCTGACTTCAAACTATACTACAAGGCTACAGTAACCAAAACAGCATGGTACTGGTACCAAAACAGAGATATAGGCCAATGGAACAGAACAGAGCCCTCAGAAATAATACCAACCATCTGATCTTTGACAAACCTGACAAAAACAAAACATTTTTATTTTTAATTTTTTAAAATTATTATTACTATTTTACTATTTTTAAAAATTTTTCCTGTTCACTTAGAGGGAATGGAAGGTGGTTTTCTTTTTTAATAGCCCAGAAGTTGTCTATCTTGGTGAATGTTCCACATGAGCTTGAGAAGAGAAGAATGTGTATTCTACTGTTGCTGAATGAAGCTGTCTATAAGTAGCCATCGTACCTCATTGATTGGTGGTGGTGGTGAGTTTACCTAAGTCCTTACTGCTTTTTTGGCTGCTGGATCTGTCCCATTATGAAAAGGGAGGTTGGAGTCTCTAACTATAATAGTGGATTTATGTATTTCTCCTTGTGGTTCTATCAGTTTTTGCCTCATGTACCACTGTGACCAGCTATACCATTGACTTTCAAACTGATTATTTATATAATTGATTATTATCTACTATATTTGTTACTGTTTTCTATTTGTTGTTCTCGTTCTTCATTCCTAATTTTGCCTTTCACTCTTTTTCTGCCTTTTGTGGTTTTAATTAGGCATTTTGTATGATTCTGTTTTCTGTCCTTTCTTGGCATATCAGTTATACTTCTTTTTTACTTTTTTTTTTTTTTTGAGACAGTCTCACTCTGTTGCCCTGGCTGGAGTGCAGTGGTGTGATCTTGGCTTACTGCAACCTCTGCCTCCTGGGCTCAAGGGATTCTCCTGCCTCAGCTTCCTGAGTAGCTGGGATTACAGGCACGCACCACCATGCCTGGCTAATTTTGAATTTTTAGTAGAGATGGGGTTTCACCATGTTGGCCAGAGTGGTCTCAAACTCCTGACCTCAAGTGATCCGCCTGCCTTGGCCTCCTGAAGTGCTGGGAATACAGGTATGAATGGTCTGAACTCAGGAGTTCATGACCAGTCTGGCCAACATGGTGAAACCCCATCTCTACCAAAAAAACACCATCTCATTCTTTTTTTATGGCTGCATAATATTCCATGGTGTATCTGTACCACATTTTTCTTATCCAGTCAGCTGGCCACTTTTTAAACTTTTTTTAATGGTTGCCCTAGAGTTTGCAATATACATTTATAATTAAATATAGTCCTCTTTCAAATAACACTGTGTCTTTTCAAGGGTTGTGCAAATACCTTACAATAAAACATTCCTAATTTGTCTCTCCTGTTTCTTGTATCATTGTTCTATTCATTTCATTGTATACATAAGCATACACACACATACACACACACACACAAGTGTAATCATACATAACTGAATACATTGTTGTTATTTTGAACAAACGGTTATCTGTTAGATAAATTAAGATTAAGAAAAATGAAAGTTTTTCTTTTACCTCCACTTATTCATTCTCTGGTCCTCTTCCTTTCTTTATATGAATCTGAGTTTCCGACCTACATTATTTTTGTTCTCTTTGAAGAAGTTATGTTAACATTTCTTGCAAGACAGTTCTAATGGCAACAAATTCTCTTCCAAATTTCTTTCCTCCTCCGCCTCCCAAAGCACAAGGAGATTTTTCTCAGAAATTCACTGTGAGAACTGCAAGGTAAATCTCACAAAAACATGGGGGCCCCATCAATGACAGATTGGATAAAGAAAATGTGGTACAGATACACCATGGAATATTATACAGCCATAAAAAAGAATGAGATGGTGTCTTTGGGGGAACATGGGTACAGCTGGAAGCCATTAGCCTTAGCAAACTAACACAGGAACAGAAAACCAAATACTGAATGTTCTCACTTAGAAGTGGAAGCTGAATGATGAGAACATGTGGACATAAAGAAGGGAACAGCAGACACTTGGGCCTACCTGAGGATGTAGAACGGGAGGAGGGAGAGAATCAGAGAAAAGAATTATTGGGTACTAGGCTTAGTACTTGGGTGATGAAATAATCTACACAACAAACTCCTCTGACATGAGTTTACCTATATAACAAACCTGCACATGTACCCTTGAACATAAAAGTTTAAATAATTAAAAAATATATTAAACAATACATAAATAAATGATTTCAGACACTCAAAAAAAATGTGGGGGCCTTCTGACGCCTAGGGCCTCCTGATATTTTATCTACTGGACTTGTCCACATTGAGCTTCCAGCAATTCGTCAGTTACAGATTAGGTTTCCCTACCTCAGTTCTGGTTCCCACCGAGGTTTCAGCCTGTGGGTTTCTGCTCCAGTAAATTGTGATTCTCTGAGAGGCTTCTAGTTTTCAAGGCTACCGTGGATCTGGGAAAGGGTATGGAAACAGAAAAGGCTAAAATGCACAAAACTCACTCTTCTTTCTGAGATGCAACTTTGCTTCTTGACTAGAATCTCCTTCGTTGTTGAAACCTGGTGGTTAATTTCCAAAGCCTAGAAAAGATTTTTTTTTGTCCTTTGTTGCCAATGTCCTTATGGCTTTCATGGAAAACTGAATTTTTGGAAGTCCTTACTGCACCATTTTAGAATTACTTCTCTCTATCCTGCATTTTAATTCTACATATACTTTAAACACCAAGAAACATTATTATTTTATACAGTCAGTATCTATTTACAATTAATCATATACTTACCTTTCTGCTGTTTGTCATTCTTTCTTGCATTCTTGTACCTTTGTGTTCAATAATTTCCCTTCTGTTGAAGAGCCTCCTTTAGTATTTCTTTAATTATTTTATTACCATTTTTATTTGAGACGGGTCTCACCCTTTTGCCCAAGCTGGAGTACAGTGGTACGATCTTGGCTCACTGCAACCTCTGTCTCCCAGGTTCAAAGGATTCTGGTGCCTCAGCCTCCCGAGTAGCTGGGATTACAGGCATGAGCCACCAAACCCAGCTAATTTTTTTTTTTTTTTTGTATTTTTAGTAGAGACAGGGTTTCAACATGTTGGCCAGGCTGGTCTCAAACTCCTGACCTCAAGTGATTCACCCACCTGGCCTCCCAAAGTGCTGGGATTACAGGCATAATAAGCCACTGCACCCAGCCCAGTATTTCTTTTATTCCTATCTACTAGAAATAAGTTCTCTCAATTTTTGCTTCTTTGAAATATTTTCATTTCTTTGTTTTTTTTTTTTTTTTTTTTTTTGAGACAGAGTCTGGTTCTGCTGCCCAGGCTGGAGTGCAGTGGTGTGATCTCGGCTCACCACAACCTCCACCTTCCAGGCTCAAGCAATTCTCATGCCTCAGCCTCCTGAGTAGCTGAGATTACAGGCATGCACCACCACGCCTGGCTAATTTTTGTATTTTTAGTAGAGATGGGTTTTCGCCATGTTGGCCAGGCTGGTCTCAAACTCCTGGCCTTAAGTGATCCGCCTGCCTCGGCCTCCCAAGGTGCTGAAATTACAGGTGTGAGCCACCATGCCTGGCCTCATTTTACCTTCATTTCTGAAAGAACTTTTAATTGAGAATAGAATTCTAGGTGGGCTATTGTTTTGCTTGAGTTTGTAGGAGCCAAGGAAAGCTTCTGTGTCCTCCAGAGGTTCACTGAAAATGAACTAGCAGGTTAATAGGGAAAGAAGGTGTACAAAATTTTTGTAGCATGCACAAACATGGAAGCCATACACAAAGTGTAAGATGTGAAGAGGGGACAGGCCTAAATACTCTCTTATTAGGGGAGAGATGTATGGAGCGGGGAGGCAGATATTATTTTGTAAATGATTCTCTTTGGAAGCTGGTTGGGACATGACTGGAAAGTGAAGGGCAGAACTGCACAGGAACACAGGTTGTCCTACTATACAAATAAAGTCTCCTAAATAATTTCTTAGAGTTGCTATCAAAAGAATTGATGAACTATGGGTGCAGTGGCTCACACCTATAATTCCAGCACTTTGGGAGGCCAAGTTGCGTGAATTACCTGAGTCAGGAGTTTGAGACCGGCCTGGCCAACGTGGTGAAACCCCGTCTTTACTAAAAACTACAAAAATTAGCCAGGAGTGGTGGCGGGCACCTGTAATCCCAGCTACTCGGGAGGCTGAGGCCTGAGAATCCCTTGAGCCTGGGAGGTGGAGGATGCAGTGAGCCGAGATCGCACCATTGCACTCCAGCCTGGGCAACAAAAGTGAAACTCTGTCTCAAAAAAAAAAAAAAAAAAAAGAATTGATGAAAAGTTTGTCTGGCCATGGTGATGAGTTCCAGCCTCTTCTCTTCGCCTGTGGTTAATCTTTCCTGATGATTTAATGAGATTCCTAGGGAAGGGACCTTGATTGTATTTCATTTGGAAAGGAGCTTTCTTAGTTAGATAAGGAAATTCCAGAGAGAGTGCCTCCAAGTGCCTTGGGAAAGAGGATCGGAGAGACAGGAATGTCGGGGTAGGGGGGTGGTGGGGGAGGTGAAAAAGAGCCCTTGTTTCTGAGGCTTATTTCTGAGGCTTTTCAATTTTCAAAGCACTCAGCATGCCGGAGTGCCATATTTTGGGGAATCGTTTTCTGAGCCACCACAAGCTCCACAAATATTCCATTGGATTATTCTCTAGGCTTCCAAACTTTCTGCTGAATAACTGTTAGTTAATTATTATTCTTTTGAAAATGATATGTCCTTTTATTCTGTGGTCGCTTTTATGAAGTTTTATTTGTCTTTCATTTTCTGCAGTTTTAGTATGACTAGTTGTGTCAGATTTTTTAGTATTCATTCTTGTTGACATTCATGGGGTTTCTTGGGTCTGTGACTTGATATCTTTTATCACTTGGCAGTAGGCTCGTCAAACATTGCCCATTTCCTATTCTTTTTCTCTCCTGAAATCCCAATTACATGTATGTTTGACCTTTTCACCATGTCCCATGTGTTACCTAAGTTTTTTACTGAATGCTGGGCATTGTGTATACAAAATTATGGAGATAATTTGAGGCTCTCATGATGTTACTTTTCTCCAGGAGGATTACTTTTGATTCTGGCAAGCAGTTCGAATAAATACAGATTACCCTAATCCAGTCTGAGCCTGATTTGGTTTGAAATCAAATTTTAGTCTTTAGAAGGATCAGGTTATTTTCATTTTAACTTTATTCCTAGGGTGTAGGTCTTCTGGGATCCTAATTGAAGCTATGGGGTCTTTATTCCTTCACAGTGAACCCTGAACTTCAAGTTTTGTCTCGTTAGTGATGCGAGACTGCTGAGAATACTGCTCAGCTTTCAAGCTGCCAGGCTCAATGCTACATATGCATCAGCTAAGACCCCAAGGGGAGTGCTTCTGAGCCTCTTAGCTTAGCCCCATGGCGCTTATGAATTGGCTAATGGTTCAATGGGGAGCCAGGCATCATGCCAGCCTCACTTCAATGCACCTCCTTTTTCTCAGAGATTTTGGTTTTTTAGGTAACTGTTATCTGCAAATAAGCAAACAAAAACAAGTAAATAAACTTTTTATTTTGGAATAAAAGTTGCAAAATAGGATAGAGGTCCCATACATCCTTCATCCAGTTTTCCCTCATTGTTAACATCTTGCCTTGCTAGCTGTGTTACATTTAGGAAAAATGAAGTTAACATTGACACAGTGCTATTAGCTGAACTGTAGACTTCATTCAGATTTCACCAGGTTTTTCATGATGTCCTTTTTCTGTTCCAATGTAAAATCCAGGGTATCACATTATGTTTATCTGCCATATCTCCTTAGTATCTTATGGTCTGTAACAGTTGTTATCAGTCTTTTTGTTTTGTTGTTTATGACCTTGAGAGTTTTGAGAAGTACTGGTTAGGTATTTTGTAGAATGTCCCTCAGTTTGGGCTTGCCCGATGTTTTCTCATGATTAGACAGGATCACGGGTTTGGGAGAAAAATGACAGAGATGCTAAGTACTCTATGGATTGCATCATGTCAGGGAGTACATGATGTAAACATGACTTTTTACTAATGGTTTCAACTTTGATCACTTAGTTGTGAAAGCTGATTACACAAGTTGGGTCATTCTTGTCATACACAACTAAATCAGAGTTGAGGGGCTGTGGGAAAAAGCACTTGAGGCACATAGCATTGCTCCAAGAATTGAATTATCTGAAAGCCCAGCTGCTAAAACTACCTGTAACCTGAAGACCAATTTTACCTAGGAGCTGCTGAAATGACCTGCTGTGACTATAAGACTAGTTTTACCCATGGTGTCACTCTCTAGTGCTTGCCAGCTACCCAGAGCTTCTCTAGTGCCAGTGAGCTTTCTTTCAAAACAGTACATACATTTATATATTATATATATATAATATATATAATATATAATATAATATATATAATATATAATATATTATATATACATAATATATAATATATTATACATTATATATAATGTATAATATATAATATATATTATATATATATTTTTTTGAGACGGAGTTTTGTTCTTGTTGCCCAGGCTGGAGTGCAATGGTGCGTTCTCAGCTCACTAGAACCTCCACCTCCCTGGTTCAAGCGATTCTCTCACCTCAGCCTCCCAAGTAGCTGGGATTACAGGCACCCGCCACCACACCTGGCTAATTTTTGTATTTTTAGTAGAGACAGGGTTTCACCATGTTGGCCAGGCTGGTCTCACACTCCTGAGCTCAGGTAATCCCAAAGTGCTGGGATTACAGGCGTGAGCCACCTCGCCCGGCCAACATTTATCTTTTTAATAAAACCCCCAACCTTTTCTTTGTTCTGCAGACAAACCAGAAACCATCCAGTCTATGTGTATGCCCTGAAATGCAATTCTTGCTTCCCAAAATAAAAAGTTAAATTTAGAGATTTGTCTCTACATTTTATTTTGACTTTGACATAGTCAAAGCAGTGTCTGCCAGATTTCTCCAGTAAAGTTACGTTTTCCCCTTTCTGCACTGTATACTTTGGAAGTGGGTCTCTGAGAACAGCCCACACACAAGGATATTTAAGCTCCACCCACTGTAAAGACAAGTATCTACTTATCTAATTTGGAATTTTTTCTGTATGGAAAATTTGTTGCTCAAATAGTCTTTTACTTTTGTTTTCATGAAATCAGTATTTGTAGTTGTTCAGTGCAAGCATTGGTCTAATACAAGCTAGTTTGCTGTGACTAGAAACAGAAGTCTGCTGCATTTATTCTTAAGACATATTTTGTTTAGAGAAAGCTAGTCAAAGCAATTATCTCTGGCATCTGTGGCAAATGAGATTATATGTGTCTGTGTGTATGTGGTGGGTTTTCACTTTCTGTAGTTGTATATATTTGCATATTTTATAACAAGCGCATATTTTATTTTACAATCAGCAAAACAATGATGGTTTATCAATTTTATAAAAATAACAGAACAAAACAGTGGTCTTTACCTTTACTTCTTAGGGGAGAGGAAAAAAAGTCTCTTTCCTCTACCCATCTTAGGTTTTCCAGCTGGGGCCCTGTAAATTAGATTGGCAAAAGGCAGATTAACAAGAGAGAAACAAACAGAAGTTTATTAATGTGGGCATTGCACATACCCACGGGAGCACCCAGTGATGAGTAACTCCAAGGGATGGTTACAAAGTGGGGTTAAAGAGCATCTTAACAAAAAGAAAATAAAGTTTTAGAAAGTGACAAGACAAAGGAAAAGGACTTTGAGCTTCTAGTAAAATGTGCACAGGCAAATACATGGGAAAAACTAATGTAGGATAAGGGCTAGTTAATGAGGTTTACTATGTCGATTCCTCTGGTGCCCTGTAGGCTAAGGGTCTAGCATTGTTTCCAGTGATTAATTTCTGTCCTTTGCGGTAGAGAGGGGAGGGAGGATATCTTAACAAACTTTTGTCCTGTTTTTAGGCAAATAGAGGGAGGGCAGAGAGCTTTTCTGATCTTTTTCTTTTTTTTTTTTTGAGGCAGAGTCTTACTCTGTTGCCCAGGCTGGAGTGCAGTGGTGTGATCTCAGCTCACTGCAACCTCTGCCGCTGGGGTTATGCGATTCTCATGCCTCAGCCTCCCCAGCATTTGGGACTACATGCGTGCACTACCACGTCCGGTTACTTTTTTTTTTTTTTTTTTTTTTTTTCAGTAGAGACCAGGTTTCGCCATGTTGGCCAGGCTGGTCTTGAACTCCTGGCCTCAAGTGATCTGCCTGCCTCGGCCTCCCAAAGTGCTGGGATTACAGGTGTGAGTCATCATGCCCAGCCAGGGAGCTTTTCTTTTTTTTTTTTTTTTTTTAGTATTTATTGATCATTCTTGGGTGTTTCTCGGAGAGGGGGATTTGGCAGGGTCATAGGACAATAGTGGAGGGAAGGTCAGCAGATAAACATGTGAACAAGGGTCTCTGGTTTTCCTAGGCAGAGGACCCTGCGGCCTTCCGCAGTATTTGTGTCCCTGGGTACTTGAGATTAGCGAGTGGTGATGACTTTTAAGGAGCATGCTGCCTTCAAGCATCTGTTTAACAAAGCACATCTTGCACTGCCCTTAATCCATTTAACCGTGAGTGGACACAGCACATGTTTCAGAGAGCACGGGGTTGGGGGTAAGGTTATAGATTAACAGCATCCCAAAGCAGAACAATTTTTCTTAGTACAGAACAAAATGGAGTCTCCTATGTCTACTTCTTTCTACACAGACACAGTAACAATCTGATCTCTCTTTCTTTTCCCCACATTTCCCCCTTTTCTATTCGACAAAACCACCATCGTCATCATGGCCCTTTCTCAATGAGCTGTTGGGTACACCTCCCAGACGGGGTGGCCGCCGGGCAGAGGGGCTCCTCACTTCCCAGACAGGGCGGCGGGCAGAGGGGCCCCCCACCTCCCAGATGGGGCGGCGGCCGGGCGGAGGCGCCCCCCACCTCCCGGACGGGGCGGCTGGCCGGGCGGGGGCTGCCCCCCACCTCCTGGATGGGGCGGCTGGCCAGGCAGGGGCTGCCCCCCACCCCTCCTGGACGGGGCAGCTGCCGGGCGGAGATGCTCCTCACTTCCCGGACGGGGCAGCTGCCGGGTGGAGGGGCTCCTCACTTCTCAGACGGGGCGGCCGGGCAGAGGCGCTCCTCACCTCCCAGATGGGGTGGTGGTCAGGCAGAGACACTCCTCAGTTCCCAGACGGGGTCGTGGCCGGGCAGAGGCGCTCCTCACATCCCAGACGGGGCGGCGGGGGAGAGGCACTCCCCACATCTCAGACGATGGGAGGCTGGGCAGAGACGCTCCTCACTTCCCAGACGGGGTGGCGGCCTGGCAGAGGCTGCAGTCTGGGCACTTTGGGAGGCCAAGGCAAGCGGCTGGGAGGTGGAGGTTGTAGCTAGCCGAGATCATGCCACTGCACTCCAGCCTGGGCAACATTGAGCACTGAGTGAGCGAGACTGCATCTGCAATCCTGGCACCTCGGGAGGCCGAGGCGGGCAGATCACTCGCGGTCAGGAGCTGGAGACCAGCCCGGCCAACACAGCGAAACCCTGTCTCCACCAAAAAATACAAAAACCAGTCAGGCGTGGTGGCGCGCGCCTGCAATCCCAGGAACTCGGCAGGCTGAGGCAGGAGAATCAGGCAGGGAGGTTGCAGTGAGCCGAGATGGCGGCAGTACAGTCCAGCCTCGGCTCGGCATCAGAGGGAGACCGTGGAGAGAGAGGGAGAGGGAGAGGGAGACTGTGGAGAGAGAGGGAGACTGTGGAGGGACGGAGAGGGGGAAGGGGAGAGGGGGAGGGGGGGAGGGGGAGAGGCGGAGGGGGAGAGGGGGAGGGGGAGAGGGGGAGGGGGAGAGCAGGGAGCTTTTCTTATATCTGCTTCTTCTCAGTTATCTTGAGCTCAAAATCATCTTTATGATGAAGTGGCATATTTTGGGGTGACATATTCTGCTACCTTTCAGCTCCCATGATCTATGTCTGTGTCTCTCAGTGAAGGGAAAAAATGAAGTTCACTGTTTAGATTATTTAGCTCAGAGTCACATCTTTTTCCCATAAACTCTGCTATTTGGATGTTTGGGGCACAAGGAACTGTGCTCTTGGGTCAGTGTGCATAGTACCCAAAAACCTGGGGTCTAGAGTTCAGATTCTGCATCTACCACTTATGACTGGCTGAGTAACCTTGACCAACATACTTACCTTTTTGTGCCTCTGTTTATCTGCCTCTGGGGTTATTGTGAGGAATAAATGAGATAATGAATGTAAAACATTTTGCATAGTACCTCTGCCGCAAAGTGCTCATTTCATGTTAACGATGATTATCATTAGGAATCAAATATAGGCTTGGAGGGGAGTCAGTCCTGAGCTTTATGGTCCTAGACCTTCCTCTGGACTGAATCCCCCTTTGGAGCCCTGCCTGCTTTCATGGGTTGTTCAGATCTAATTTTCTTTATAAATTTGGTTGCTAAGAAAGAGTGCAATTTTCCATATTGACTAAGTATTTAAAAATATGTATGTAAAATCACGGAGTTAGGAACAAGCCCAAGCCCCGGGGGTTTGCTTTTCACCCTTTGTTCTTTAACAGTGAGTTTTTTTCTTTTTAAAATCAAATAAACAAGCCAGCCGACACTCTTCAGTCTCACCATGATCTCTCACAGTCTAGAATAAGGTCTGGTGCCCCAAGGGCCTGGAGCTGAGCCCAGTACCTGGAGGGTGTCAGGCTGAGGTGATCAAGGATGCTGACACATCTGACACCAGCAGGTGCTGGGACAGGTGAAGCCCATGTGTGGATGAACATAAGGTATCAGGGGACCCTTCGAACACTACATTTATGGTGGAAAAGCACTGAACACCCTCTGCAACATGATTAGCTGATTAATTCACCGGGAGCTTGTTTTGTTCCTATTATGGAGACTAATCATGTGTTGTTTGAATGTGTTAGATGTTCCAGCTCCAATAAAGACATTAGTGACCATGAATAAATAAAATGTGTTTGCATTTCTAAGTAGTGGGTTGGAATTTTATAATTTTCTATTTCCCTAGAAGCATCTCATTATCCTGAAGCATCTCCTGCTAGATTCTAGACACAGGGTTTCAACCAAAAGAACAAATTTTCAGGCTGCAAAATGAAAAGAAGACTGAATGTTAACAGAATGTTGTCAACAAACCTGGGCTTTCATGGCCTTGGTCTGTAATGACTGTGGACAAATTGGTTGTATTCTAGGCATTGTGTTGAGTTTTCTTTTTCTTTTTTAATTTTTTTTGAGATGGAGTTTAGCTCTAGTCTCCCAGGCTGGAATGCAGTGGTGCGATCTTGGCTCACTGCAGCCTCCACCTCCTGGGTTCAGGTGATTCTCCTGCCTCAGCCTCCCGAGTAGCTGGGATTACAGGCATGCACCACCATGCCCGGCTAATTTTTGTATTTTTAGTAGCGACAGGGTTTCACCATGTTGGCCAGGCTGGTCTCAACTCCTGACCTCAGGTGATCTACCCGCCTCAGCCTCCCAAAGTGCTGGGATTACAGGCATGAGCCACCGCACTTGACCTGTGTTGAGTTTTAGACACATGACCTCATTTCCTCCTCCCCTCAAATCTGGCCAGTCACAGTGGCTCACCCAGCACTTTGGGAGGCCAAGGCCGGTAGATCACCTGAGGTCAGGAGTTTGAGACCAGCCTGACCAACATGGTGAAACCCCGTCTCTACTAAAAATACAAAAATTAGCTAGATGTGGTGGCAGGTGTTTGTAATCCCAGCTCTGTTGCCCAGGCTAGAGTGCAGTGACATGATCTCAGCTCACTGCAACCTCCACCTCCCAGTTTCAAGCGATTCTCCTGTCTCAGCCTCCCGAGTAGCTGGGATTACAGGCGCCTGCCACCACGCCTGGCTAATTTTTGTATTTTCAGTGGAGATGGGGTTTCACCATATTGATCAGGCTGGTCTCAAACTCCTGATCTCAGATGATCCACCCACCTTGGCCTCCCAAAGTGTTGGGATTACAGGCGTGAGCCACCACGCCCGGCCTTTCCCCAATATTTCTTAAGGGATTTTTTTTTTTTTTGAGATAGCGCCTTGCTCTGTCGTCCAGGCTGAAGCAGTGGTGTGATCATAGCCCACTGTTGCCTCTGCCTTCTCAGCTCAAGCTATCCTCCCACCTCAGCCTCCCAGGTAGCTGGGACTACAGTCACACACCCCCACACCCAGCTAATTTTTGTATTTTTGGTAGAAATGAGGTCTCACCATGTTGCCAAGGCTGGTCTTGAACTCCTGGGCTCAAGCAATCCTTCCATCTTGGCCTCCCAAAGTGCTGGGATTACAGGCATGAATCTTTCCCCAATATTTCTTTAGTCTAAGAGCAAGACCTACTTTCCTCATAATAAAGGCAGGTGGATGTGTCATCTTGGGTATTAACGCTGACAGATAGTAAGCTTGTGTATACACTAGGAGTTTAGTTCTATTACAGACATCTCTTGCTTAACACATGGATCAAGCACTACTTTCCAATCAAAAACTATCTGAACAAGCAGAAACTGCAGAAATTCTGAGTGTCTAATGAACCAGTGTGAGCAGATTGAATGGCCTGCAGGGCAAAATTAATCAGTTTGGAACTTTGCTTGTTGGGCAAAATCTTAGCAGAAAACTCTCCCACTACTTCAGTTCAATCACTAGATAGCATTTTCTCTAGTAAATAATACTGGAAATTCACATGGGCTTATAACCATCTTATAGAACATATTGTGTTAACATTCCCTTTTTAGGACTTGATAATTTTTTAAAGACTTGGCTTCTTCAATAAAAGGCTGAGATTATGGGTTCTTCTTCTTCTTCTTCTTCTTCTTCTTCTTCTTCTTCTTCTTCTTCTTCTTCCTCTTCTCCTTCTTCATCTTCTTCTTTTCTTCTTCTTCTTTTTTTTAGAGTGTGCACCACCACACCTGGCTAGTTTTTTATTTTTTGTAGAGACAGGGTCTCACTATGTTGCCCAGGGTGGTCTTGAACTCCTGGGCTCAAGCTGTCCTCCTGCCTCAGCCTCCTGAGTAGTTGAGGCTATAGGTGCACACCACCACACCGGCTAAATAAATTTTTTTTTTTTTATGTGGATACTGGGTCTTGCTCTGTTGCCCAGGCTGGAGCACAGTGGCACAACCACAGCTCACTGCAGCCTTGACCTCTCAGGCTTAAGTGATCCTCCTACCTCAGCCTCCTGAGTAGCTGGGACTACAGGCATGCACCACCACCCCTGGCTAATTTTTATTTTATTTATTTATTTAGTAGAGATGGGGTCTCGTTCTCTTGCCAGGGCTAGTTCCAAATTCCTGGGCTCAGCTGATCTTCCTTCCCTGGCCTCCTAAAGTGCTAGGATTACAGCTGTGAGTCACTGCCCAGCCGGATTTTCCTTCTCAACTCATTTCATGGTCACCCTTTTAGGTGGGAGTTTTCCCTACATGCTGGCCTCCTTCTGTGTTCCTACAGAAATCCCAAATCTTTGAAAACATCCTTGCTTCCTCACCACAAGTAGTTTCAGGCTTTTGTTGCTTGTCTTACTTGTAAGAATCCCACCCCACCTCATCAGGGAAGCTCTAAACTTTGCACATGAGGGTGCATGTTATGTTATGTTTACCACCTCTGTAGGATGACTCCAGAGAGACCACTCTGTTTTATATCATTGAGAGTCCAAGACTTTCATAAAGCCCTTTCCCATCATCCTTCAAGTAAGAGCTTTTCAATTTTTGCTTCTATTCCTTCTGAGTTATCAGCTTTCCTCTTCTCTTTCAGATGCAATGTACCGTCGTATATGTCACACCAGACTAATGTGTATGTTCAAGTACGAGGCTCTACAATGATTCTGTAACATCAACTATTAAACACCAATGGCCTAACTTTTTGGACCCTTGAATTAATTTCCCTACTTTACTCAATATATTTAAAATGACTTCCAACCTCATGCAATGGTGTGACATAGAACATGACATTTTCTCCTAGATCTCTATACTTTTCCATGATAAAACTACGTTGTTGAAATGTCCCATAAAGGAACACTTCAAATACACATACATATCACTACAAATATTGTGAAATAAAGCCCATCTTACAGAAGTGAAAACAAACAAATGAAGAAAATTTCCTTGACCTCATATTCCTTTCTACCTCTCATTTCTTTGTTTTCCTTTACATCTCAAAAGAGATATCTATACTATGCTCAGCAAGTCCTCCCATTCTCTCTTAAATATTCTCCAACACAGCATTTGTCTCTACCTGTTCACCAGAACTGCTCCAAGGTTACCAGTGACCATCCTATGGCCACATTGAATGACCACTCTCAGCTCTTGTCTCACTTTGCCTTCAGGAGCATTTGACAGTTGACTCCTCTCTTTCTTGCAAAGCTTTTCTTCGCTCAGCTTCCAGAACCCCATACTCTTGAGGTTTCCTATCTCTCTCGCTGCCCCTTCTCAGTCTCCTTTGTTTATTCCTCCTCAAAGCCCCAAGTCTTAAACTTTGGGGTGCCCCAGGGCTCAGTCTTTGGGATGTTTCTCTTCTCTATCTCTACTCCTTTGGTGATCTCAATTAATTTGCTTAAAAAAAAAAAAGACACAAGGTCTTGCTTTGTTGCTCATGCTGGAATGTAGCGGCACAATCATAGCTCATTGTAGCCTCAAGCTCCCGGGCTCAGGCAGGCACAGTGGGCTCACGCCTGTAATCCCAGCACTTTGGAAGGCTGAGGCAGGCGGATCACCTGAGGTCAGGAGTTCGAGACCAGCCTGGCCAACATGGTGAAACCCTGCCTCTACTAAAAATACAAACTTAGCCGGGTGTGGTGGTGCACACCTGTAATCCCAGCTACTCAGGAGGCTGAGGCAAGAGAATCACTTGAACCTGGGAGGTGGAGGTTTCAGTGAGCCGAGATCGTGCCATTGCACTCCAGTCTGGGGAAAAGAGGGAGAGTTTGTCTAAAAAAGAAAAAACCAAAAACCAAAAAACAAAACACACACACACACACACAAAACAAAACAAAACAAAACACCTCCTATGCTCAAGCAATTCTCTTGCTTCAGCCTCCCAAGTAGCTGGGACTACAAGTGCACACCACTGTGCCTGGCTGATTTTTCTTAGTTTTTGTTTGTAGAGATGGGGTCTTGCTACGTTGCCCAGGCTGGTGTCAAATTCCTGCCCTCAAACAATCCTCCCACCTTGGCCTCCCAAATACTGGGATTATAGGTGTGAGTCCCTGAGCCTGTTCTCAATTAATTTCAGGACTTTAAATACCAACAATACACCAATTACCCCTAGATTTATACCTCCAACTCAGACCTGTCTGTTGACCTCCAGACATATCTGAACTCCCGATCAATAATCCTAAGTTGGATATTCAGCTGATACCTCAGCATTAACAAGCACCCAAAGGAGACTCTTGATCTTCTTCGCCAAACCTGTTTCTCATTCAGCCTTCCTCTGAATAATGATAGTCAGCATTTACACAGTGCTTACTCCATGCTTTGCACTGTTCTAAGTGCTTTATGATAGTAACACATTCAAAACTCATGACAACTTTCTGAGGTGGCTGTTATTACTATCTCCATGTCCTAGGTTAGGAAACTGAGGCATCAAAAGGTTAAATGACAAGAAGTTAAGGACACAGGCATCATGTGGCAAAGCCCCTTTAGAATATAAGCTCCATGACAGCAGGAATGCTGTGTGATTTTTTTTTTTTTTTTTGAGACGGTCTCTCTCTGTTGTTCAGGCTGGGTGCAGTGGCACCATCTCAGCTCACTGCAGCCTCAACCTCCCCAGCTCAAGTGATCCTCCCACCTCAGCCTCCCGAGTAGCTGGAACCACAGGCGTGCACCACCATGCCCGGGTAATTTTTGTATTTTTTTGTAGAGATGGGGTTTCACGATGTTGCCCAGGCTGGTCTCAAAGTCCTGAGCTCAACTGATCCACCTACCTTGACTTCCCAAAGTGCTGGGATTACAGGCATGAGCCACTGCACCCAGCCACTGTGTGTCTTATTTGTTGCTGTAACCCCAGGTTCTAGTGGCTGGCACACAGTAGGTGATTAGTAAGTGGTTACTGATCAATAAATGAATGAATGATTGTACACATTTTAAGTTACATATGAATTATTACAATGAAGTATTACAGTTATTACTGGTGCATCCAGTAAGCTGGAACACTTTTGCCCAGAGTGAACCACGTGGCTTTTCAGGGCAGGCCATGGGTATATAGCCAGCAGTAAATGCAGAGGCTGCCTTCTCTTGATAGTGACCCATGATCACTGGGGATCTGGATACCCTGTTCCTTCTCACCCCTCTCCCTGTTTTGGGCCCTTAGGGATGGCTCAGGTTGACCAGGCAGTTGATATCACATCTGTAGTGCTGCTGTGCCCACCCCACTTTTTCAGCAGCACAATAATAACTGTTTTTGGGTTTTTTTGGGGGGTCACTGACAGTATGCCTGAAACTCTGCTAAGTGCTCCATATGGCTTAACTGAATTCTCTCATTAACCCTAAGTGATAGCACCCCCCCAACACACATTTTATTTTAAAACAAGAGTCTTGCTCTGTCCCCCAGGCTGGAGCGCAGTGGCACAGTCTCGGCTCACTGCACCTCTACCTCCTGGGTTCAAGGGATTCTCATGCCTCAGCCTCCCGAGTAGCTAGGATTACAGGCACGAGCCACCATACCATGCTTGGTTAACTTTTGTATTTTTAGTAGAGATGGGGTTTCACCCTGTTGGCCGGGCTGGTCTCAAACTCCTGACTTCAAGTGATCCACCTGCCTCAGCTTCCCAAAGTGCTGGGATTACAGGTGTGAGCCACTGCGCCTGGTGGTGACAGGCCTTCTTATTAACACCATTTTTCAGCTGAGGAAACTGAGGCTGAGATGTGTTAAGTAACTTGTCCAAGATCACACAGCTAAGTAGCAGATTATAAAGGACTTGGTCCATCCCGAGGCTGTCACTGACTGGTGCAGCCAAACTATTTCTCGTGATCTGAGTGGACAGAAAGGGAGGAGAATGTGCTGGGGAAGCCAGTTCCCACATTCACATCTCAACATCAGGAACCCAGTGATAGTTTTAGCCCCAGTGGTGGGAGATGCTGCTGCTCTACAACTACAGTCTCCAGGTCCCATTTGCTTTTCTGTACTGACCAAATGGGCATTTTGTTTTGAGTGGGCACTGGGGATTACCCCTTCTTTTTCAGAGTTCTTGAACTTCTTAGACTCCTAGGGTTGGGTAATCACTTTGGGTTGGTAGTTTAGAGGACACTGGAAACTTATTGGGATTTGCATCCAGTCAGGTGTGTGTACCCTGGGTAACACCATTACCAGGTAGCTCAAATGACCTCTCTAGCTCATTCCATCCCTCCTTCCTAAAATCTGCCCACTGTACTGCAAGGTTAGCCACTGCCAGGACTGCTCACTGGGCAATTATCATTTTTACCATTTCAACCTCATTTGCAACCAGCCACTAAGCAGCCATTGTGGTTTAAACAACAATCCCCTTTGGACACAGACATAGTAATCAAAGCCTTTCACACCAAATGCTGGGAAAGTCTGTGATTTTGTTAACTAAGAATGCACTGTTTTCTGTTCTCCATGTCTATGATTTTCACATTCCTGAGCACTGGCCAAGGGGGTTGTCCAAAATCATGTCAAACAGCAAGACCATTGTTTACCTTTTTTTCCTTGGCAGTTTCAGCACTGACTTGCTCTTTTTGTTTTGCTTTGTTTAGAACAAGTAACAGGCAGTAAAGGAGCAAAATAGCAGGTCCCAATAGGGGTGACAAAATAATATCTTTTTCAGAGTTGAAAACAAGTGTTCAGACAGAATTTTACATGAATGGTCACAGCAGCACTATTCACAGTGGCCAAAAGGTGAAAACAACTCAACTGTCCATTAACACATAAACAGATAAATTGTGGTATAAACACACAACGGGATATTATCCTCTCATAAAAAGAAATGATGTACTGATACAGGCTACAAAATTTATGAGTCTTGAAAAAATTATGCTAAGTGAAAAAAAATGGGCCAGACACAAAAGGCCAATATAGTATGATTCTATATAAAATATCTAGACTAGGCAAATCCACAGAGACAGAAGGCAGATGAATGGTTGCCAGAGCTTAGGGAAGGTGGAATGGGGAGTGATTGCTTAATATGTATGGGGTTTCCTTCTAAAGTAGTGAAAATGTTCTAGAACTAGGCGGTAGTAATGGTTGCACAATATTATAAATGTACTAAGTGTCACTGATGGTAAATATTGTTATGTGTATTTTCTGTGTGTGTCAGACTGGTAATGTGCTGATGTCATAACAAGGCTTGAGGGAGTCACATCTCACACATGCACATGAAAACCCAACGATCATGCTTAGGAACTCCAAAAAGATCGTGTTATGTGGATTTTATCACAATTAAAAAAACTTTCATAGGAAGAAAGAAAAAATTTTTTTTCAGAGATCTTTGGGCATTAACTCAAATTAATATTACCAAAACTCCCAAAAGAGAAAATTAACCAATTAAGACATTGGTTACATAGGAGTATACATTTGTCAAAACCCCTTGAATTGTACTTGAGATCTGTCTTTCACTCTATGTACATTTTACCTCACTAAAAATTTGACCAATCAAAAGTAACAGAAAATACAACTATACTACGTGCAAAAATAATCTATGAAGAGGTGATATTATATTACCTATAAGATTGAATTATACAGCTTCTGGGTATCCAGGCAGTCATCGACAATGCTCTGTGGAGCTCTGGGAAGCCTATCGTAAAGTTATTTAAACTACCACCGAATTCTAGAAGGAATTGCAATGTGGAGTTGCAGTCAGGGTAGACGTTCATGTCCCAGAGGTCACAGCATGTTCCTGTTGCAGCCGCACCCAGATGTTCACAATGGTGGAGACCTTGCTTCCCAGTAACACCAAGTCTGAATGTAATTTCACTTAATGTTCTTTGGCTATACAGCAGTCAATAATGAGAAGTATCCACTGCAAATAAAATTATTTACAGTTGTCACGTGGGGCTAGCTCATCCATCACTATATCCCTACTTCACCAGTGCGTAATATATAAAATCACATTGTATCTGACAAATGAGTCAACGAAAGATTTTTCTCCTATTTACATTAGAAGCATCCAGTAAAACCATTCCCAAACAAAAATTTAACATTTAACAACTTCACCAAATATGTATTTCTTTATTTACTGAAACCTACCTAGATACATAGAATTATAGTATTAGAACTCTATTGTGTAAGCCCAGTTTCAAATGAATTAGATTCCACAGTTTTTAAAAATCTCATTGGAATTAGAGGGTGATTGGGAAAGCTTTTAGTTCCAAGAAACTTTGTCTAGTTTTAGTCCTTGTTTGTTCCTTGCTGATACCAGATAGAAGTAGGGTTATATGGATACCTTTTAAAATAGCCTAAGTTGGCCAGGCACGGTGGCTCACGCCTGTAATCCTAGCACTTTGGGAGGCCGAGGCAGGTGGATCACCCGAGGTCAGAAGTTTGAGACCAGACTGGTCAACATGGTGAAACCCGTCTCTACTAAAAATACAAAAAGTAGCCAGGTGTGATGGTGCATGCCTGTAATCCCAGCTACTCGGGAGGCTGAGGCAGGAGAATTGCTTGAACCTGGGAGGCGGAGGTTGCAGTGAGCTGAGATCATGCCACCGCACTCCAGCCTGGGTGACAGAGTAAGACTGTGCCTCAATAAATAAATAAATAAATAAATAAATAAATAAATAACATAAAAATAAAATGGCCTAAGTCTAACACTCCCCCCAAAAAAAGAAAAAAAAATAAGGGCTGCGAGGGCTGGCTCACATGTAATCCCAGCACTTTGGGAAGCTGAGGGGGCACAGGTCACTTGAGCCTGGGAGTTTGATACCAACCTGGCCAAGACCCCATCTCTACAAAAAATACAAAAATTAGCCAGGTGTGGTGGTGTATGCCTGTGGTCCCAGCTACTTGGGAGGCTGATGTGAAGGAATCACTTGAGCCTACGAGGTCCAGTCTGCAGTGAGCTGTGACCACGCCACTACACTCCAGCCTGGGTGACAGAGTAAGACCCTGTCTCAAAAAATAAATAAATAAAAATACATAAAATAAATAAAATTACAAACCCTAGGTAAAACAAAAGCTGATAAAGAAATGTAGCTTAAAAACATTTCTGAGCTCTGCAGTGAACAACGTTTATATTGTCATAATATAAATCCTGTTTATTAAATTTCAACTTTAAGAATCTATAGTTGGGCTGGGCGCAGTGGCTCACGCCTGTAATCCCAGCACTTTGGGAGGCCGAGGCAGGCGGATCACCTGAGGACAGGAGTTCAAGACCAGCCTGGCCAACATGGTGAAACCCTGTCTCTACCAAAAATACAAAAATTAGCCAGGCATGGTGGCATGTGCCTGTAATCCCAGTTACTTGGGAGGCTGAGGCAGGAGAATCGCTTGAATCTGGGAGGCGGAGGTTTTGGTGAGCCAATATCATGCCACTGCACTCCAGCCTCGGTGACAGAGTAAGACCCTGTCTCAAAAAAAAAAAAAAAAAAAAAAGAAAGAAAGAAAGAAAGAAAAAAAAAATCTGTAGTTAGACAACATATAGATGCAATTTTGATTATAGGACAGAAAATAAATGCTATTCACTTTGTCAATCTAAAATTAAATTTCAAATGATAGAAGTTGAAAAGTAAAAGGGAGAAGAGCTCAAAGTGTGTGAGGGGCTGATATTCTCATCTCATGAAACAGGAACCAAAAGACACTACATAATTAATAGAATTAGAAGTAAAACTGTTAGCATATGACCAAAGTTACTGGAGCAGACACACTACATAACCAATATTTATTCCCCTTTACTTCCTTGTAACAGAACCCTAGTTTTGTTCAGGGCATCAATATGGTGTAATCATGATATGTAATGGATCATTCAGAAACCAGTGAATCTTAACCCTGGCTGCACATTGCAACCACGTAGAAGAGATTATAATTTAATTGGTCTAGGGCAAGGTTTCTCAACTTGACACTACTGACATTTTGAAGAGAATAATTCTGTGTTGTTGGGGGCTGTTCTGTGTGTTGTAGGGTGTTTTACACCATCCTGGCCTCTATCCACTTAATGGTGGGCGCACCTCGCCCCCAGTTACAAGGATCAAGACTGTACACAAACATTGCTAACTTACCCTTGGTTGAGAACCACTGACCCTAGGATAAGACCATGTTCAGAGACGTACACTTAAAAATATCCCTAGGAGATTCTAATATGTAACGAGGGTTGAGAACTATTGATATAAGCCAATTAGTCAATCCAGTTTCTTGTAGGTTTTTCCAGGTTCCCTTGCAGCTATGTGTGGTCATGTGACTTAGTTCTGGCCAGTGAGATTTAAGTGGAAGTTTGCTTTGCTAGAGGGTTTGTGAGAGGAGGTCTAAGAAAGCTTGTACTTTATTGATGAAAGGTGACAGACATAGCTCTTGTTTCCTGCCTACTCTCCTCTTTTTCCTGTTTGTATGAAGCTGTGATGTTTGGAGTTGTGGCCACCAACTTGTAATCAAATGAAGACAAGCATGAATATAAAAACTAGCCTGTTAAGGATGGCAGACAGGAAAGACAGGGAAGGCATAAAATAAAAAATTTATTTAAATTTTTATTTTATTTTAAACTGGGTCCCTGCTGGCAGTTTTTGGCAGCTGAACCAACAATAAGCAGGACTTGTTTAGTGAGTACAAATTTCTCCCTGTGTGTTTAAGCTGCTGTAGGCAGGTTTTTGTTATCTGAGTGAAAATCAATCACAATTACTACAGTTACGAATGTAATAAAAGGAAGAAGAAAAATAGATTACTGGTAGGATAGAGATGGGAAGGAAAGAGAATACTGTAAACAAGCTAAATCCTCATCTCTCATAACAGGAAGTATAAAGGGATGAATAAAAACAGTTGTATATATATCTCCAAAAGAATTGAAAACATATGTGCACACAAACACTTATATATGAACGCTCACAGCAGCGTTATTCATAATAGCCCCAGGTGGAAACAGTGTAAATGTCCACCAACTAATGAACGGATAAACGAAATGTAGTCTATACATACAATGTAGTCTATGCATACATTACTTTATGACCAGCTGTCATAAAGTAATGGGGCACTGACACACGCTACGACATGGATGAACCCTGAAATCATTACACTAAGTGATAGAAGCCAATCATACAAGGTTACATATTATGTGATTCCATTTGTATGAAATGTCCAGAAAAGGTAAATCTATAGAAACATAAAGTAGATGTGCCTGGCGCGGTGGCTCACCCCTGTAATTTCAGCACTTTGGGAGGCCGAGGCAGGCAGAGCATTTGAGGTCAGGAGTTCGAGGCCAGACTGGCCAACATGGTGAAACACCACCTCTACTCTATATACAAAAAATTAGCCGGGCGTAGTGGTGCATGCCTGTGATCTCAGCTACTCAAGAGGCTGAGGCAGGAGAATCGCTTTTGCCCGGCCAGTGTGCTCCCGAAGCCGGCTGAGGGCCGCAGCTCTGCCGGGATCAGGCTTCACGGTGGCGCGGCCGCTGTCCCGGATGCTGCGCCGGCTCCTAAGGTCCAACGCCACGGAGCTGCAGCTCACGGGTTCCGGTGATGCCGCCCCGCCCGGGCGAGTCCCCGCAAGCTGCCTCACAGGAGCTGTCCAGGTGGAGGCAGTTCTCGCGGGAGCACGAGGCCCCCTTCTCCGCCTTCCTCACAGACAGCTTCGGCGGGCAGCACAGCTACCTGCGGATCTCCCTCCCGGAGAAGTGCAACCTCAGATGTCAGTACTGCATGCCGGAGGAAGGGGTCCCGCTGACCCCCAAGGCCAACCTGCTGACCACAGAAGAGATGTTGACCACAAAAGAGATCCTGACCCTCGCCTGGCTTTTTGTGAAGGAAGGCGTCGAAAAGATCTGGCTCATGGGCGGAGAGCCGCTCATCCAGCCGGACGAGGTGGACATTGTGGCCCAGCTCCAGCGACTGGAAGGGCTGAGGACCATTGGTGTCACCACCAATGGCATCAACCTGGCCCGGCTGCTGCCCCAGCTTCAGAGGGCTGGTCTCAGCGCCATCAACATCAGCCTGGACACACTGGTGCCTGCCAAGTTTGAGTTCATTGTCCGCAGGAAAGGCTTCCACAAGGTCATGGAGGGCATCCACAAGGCCAATGAGCCAGGCTACAACCCTGTGAAGGTGAACTGTGTGGTGACGCGAGGCCTTAACGAGGATGAACTCCTGGACTTTGCGGCCTTGATCAAGGGCCTCCCCCTGGACGTGGCCTTCATAGAGTACATGCCCTTTGATGGCAACAAGTGGAACTTCAAGAAGATGGTCGCTATAAGGAGATGCTAGAAACTGTATGGCAGCTGTGGCCAGAGTTGGAGAAGCTGTCAGAGCAGGAATCCAGGACAGCCAAGGCCTTTAAAATCCCTGGCTTCCAAGGCCAGATCAGCTTCATCATGTCCATGTCTGAGCATTTCTGTGGGACCTGCAACCACCTGCAAATCACAGCTGACGGGAACCTCAAGGTCTGCCTCTTTGGAAACTCTGAGGTATCTCTACGGGATCACTGTGATCTGGGGCCTCCAAGCAGGAGCTGCTGAGAATCATTGGCGCTGCCGTGGGCAGGAAGAAGCAGCAGCATGCAGGCATGTTCAGTATTTCCCAGATGAAGAACTGGCCCATGATCCTCATCGGTGGGTGACCCCCATCAAGACATTTTTGATGTTCCACGATTCCCCACCAGCCAATCCAAGCATTTCCTCCTGGGACCCCCTCCATGTTCAAGGTCTGAGATCCAGAATGAATTTCTCCAGTCAGATGGCCACTTTATGGAAAGGATACAGGGTACCCCAGACCCCTCTTCTAGCCCAGCAGCAGCTAGGTTCTGGCTCCTTTCAGAGACACTACACTTCCCATGCAGACTCAGATGCCAACTCAAAGTGCCTTAGCCCAGGTTCCTGGGCTCCTGCTGCCCCCTCAGGACACCAGCTAAACTCAGAACAACTAACTCATGTGGATTTGGAAGGACGGGAAGCTATGGTAGATGTGGGCAGGAAGCCAGACACAGAGTGGTTGGCTGTGGCCTCAGCCATGGTCATCCTGGGGCCTGTAGCCTTCAAGCTTGTCCAGCAGAACCAGCTCAAGAAAGGAGATGCCCTGGTGGTGGCCCAGCTGGCTGGAGTCCGGGCAGCCAAGGTGACCAGCCAGCTGATCCCTCTGTGCCACCACGTGGCCCTGAGCCACGTCCAGGTGCAGCTGGAGCTGGACAGCACATGCCATGCTGTGGAGATCTGGGCATCTTGCCAGGCTCGGGGCCCCCACCAGGGTGGAAATGGAGGCCCTGACCTCTGCTGCAGTGGCCGCCCTCACCCTGTGTGACATGTGCAAGGCTATCAGCAGGGACATCGTGTTGGAGGAGATCAAGCTCATTAGCAAGACTGGAGTTCAGTGGGGGGACTTCCATTGGGTTTAGCTTCTGCCCTTCTCACCCATGGCCCAGCCAGGTCTGAAGATGGGGTGCAATTTAAGCTGAGGGAAAGACATCAAGTTCCTTTCATCACAGTCACTGTTTACCTTGAGCAGTAAACCTGAAGTCAGCCTGCTCTACTACTAGGCCTGCTGCTAGATGATCTTTAATGACCAATGGGGCTTCCTTTCTATAGGGAGGATACCAGGAGGCCCTTAAGCCTTCCAGGACACTAAGTTCATGGGAGCCAGACTGCAACAAGCAATGCTAGATAACTGAGAAATCATGTTCTTTCTGGACTATTTCAGACAAACAGTCTCAGACAGTCCAGCCCAGAAATGTTCCTTCTCATTTTGGGTTTTCTCTTCTCCTACTTTCCTGGGGAGAGATTAAGGGCTCATTAAGCGGAGGAACCCACTTTGAGGAGAGTAAAGCCCAAGCTTGCCTGAAGAATGCATCTCCCCAGCAGCTCTGCCTCCCTAAGTCTGTGAAGCCACAGCCCTGCCCTGTCCTGACTTTATCTCCCTTCTGCCCAAGTCTATGTCCCATCAAACTTGCAGCTTTTCAGCTTAACAGTTGCCTGGTCCTGCTGGCCCCCTTTTCTCAGGCCCCCCTCCTCTGAAACGGGATGTGAACACGTGGGCCACAGCCCTAAGGACTCCTGACAGACCACATAGCCCACAACTGGCCCTGCTCATGGCTGTTCCACCCACCCCTCTTTATTCTGGAGCATATCAGGGAAAGAAGAGTTGACGATAGATTGCCTTCACCCTCACAGTGCACAAATAAAGCTACGATGCCAACTTTGCATATGCAATAAATAAATAAATAAATAAAGTAAGTAAGTAAATAGATGAGTAGTTGCCTGGGGTTGGGGGAGGGGCAATGGGGAATGATTGCCTAATGGATATCGGGTTTCCTTTTGGCATGATGAAAACATCCTAAAACTAGATAGTGGTGATAGTTGCACAACTTTATGAATATACAAAACCCCACTGAATTGCACTCTTTAAAAGGATGAATTTAATGGTATGTGAATTATACCTCATAAATAAAAATTAAAAAAAAACACAGAAACAGCTTTATAAGCTGAGTATTAGAGGCATGGAAGGATCCATCAAAAGGCAAAGTTGAAAGAGACTCCTTCTTAGGAGCAGGAAGAGGACTTGGGAGGGCAATTGTTTTTCATTATTAGTCCTTCTGGATCCTTTGAGACATACATATATATATATATTTTAAATGTATCTGTATTACTTTGGTAAAATTTTTAAAGAAAATTTAAAGGAAAAAAGTGACATAAGAATCTTTCTTTCTTTGTAGCCTTGGATAAGCTAGCAACTCATGTAAGCAAGAACTTTTCTCTCTTATTTCCAGGCAAGCTGCCAAATTAAATCCCTTTCTTTTCCTGCTGGCGTCTGCCAACGTGATGTCAGAGACTGAAAACTAGCTTCTAAGTAAATAGGAAAAAAGAAAAATAAAAAGCACATTCTTAACTAAAATCACACATTTATAATTCTTCAGGCTCATGACTAACACAATGTTTTTCATAACCCTGAAAAAGTGAGGAGCATGTCATAACTCACAAATAACCTCTAAAACCATTTAAGAGCTTTTTAGCAAGAGAAAGGAGAGTGTTAAACAGCAGTAAGCTGTCACATCAATCCAGATCTAAATTCCAAACCAGTAGGACAAATGTACACAGCCACGTGTACATGAACTCTGCAGATATCAAAATAGAAGTTTATGCTTTCAGCTGAGCAATCCATTTTCCTGGGGAGAACACTTTCTTCCTGCAAATGAGTATGAAAGGCCTCAAATTCAAGATTTCTGAGCAACTGCTCCTGAAGAATCCAGTTTCAACTCCTACAAAATGCAACTTAAAAACAAAATGTAGACATATTTTCTTTTCTTTCTCTTTTTCTGAGATGGAGTCTTGCTCTGTTGCCCAGGCTGGAGTGCAGTGATGTGATCTCGGCTCACTGAAACCTCCGCCTCCCAGGTTCAAGTGATTCTCCTGCCTCAGCCTCCCGAGTAGCTGGGATTACAGGCGCCCGCCACCACGCCCAGCTAATTTTTGTATTTTTAGTAGAGACGTGGTTTCACCATGTTGGTCAGGCTAGTCTCGAACTCCTGACCTCGCGATCCACCCGCCTCGGCCTCCCAAAGTGCTGGGATTACAAGCGTAAGCCACTGCGCCCGGCCCTTTCTTTCTTTCTCGATTTTCTTTTCTTTCTTTCTTTCGTTCTCTCCTCTCTGTCTTCTTCTTCTTCTTCTTTTTTTTTTCTGACAAGGTCTCACTCTGTCACCCAGGCTGGAGTGTAGTGGTACGATCTCGGCTCACTTTCAACTCTGCCTCCCAGGCTCCAGCGATCCTCCCAGGTAGCTGGGACTACAGGTGTGTGCCACAACACCCGGCTAATTTTTTTATTTTTATTTTTTTTGTAGAGGCGGGGATTTCCTCATGTTGCTCAGGCTGGTCTCGAACTCCTGAGCTCAAGCAACCCACCCACCCCGGCCTCCCCAAGTGCTGGGGTTACAGGTGTGAGCCACTGCACCCGGTCTCGGACGCATTTTCATTAGGTGCCCTCTGACGTCAGCAGCTGGTTGAAGGTTTAATGGCTTAGAGTGCGCACAGAGTGGGGTGGGAACTTGTGTGTCTCACCCCTGCCCCACCCCGCTTGGGTTTCCCTACAGTTTCTACCAGGTTCATAAGCAGAACCTAAAACAAATGGGTTTAGAAGTAACTTTAGCCTCTTTGGCTACTTCTGGTGCTCGCCGAATCCAGAAAAATGGTCTTTTTAAATGTCCTGTTATTTTGCACAAACGATTTCCTGCTTAGAGTGAGGAGCAAAACCTCTGGCTTTTAACCCTGCCAAAGACCTACTTGAAGTCAATCTGTGCATATTTAATTTTTCAGGCTCAGCAAGGTCTTATCTCATTCTATCTGCATTTTATAACAATCCCACATTTTCTCTCTACTTTCCTCAAGCATTCTAACCCTTCCGTGTCCTCGCTGCCCGCCACCCACTCAAGGGAACTTCACCTACTCAAGAGCCACAGGGGCTGGACAGAAGAACCTGGCAGCTGTCCAAAGCCTTCAGCGCCTAATTTCCCACCAAGTGCAAGACTGACAAGGTTCTTCCCTGCGGTCTCCTCTTGCCAATCCTCACCGCGTTCTTAGTTCCTGCCTCAGTGTTATTTTCTCCAAGCAACATAGCAAGTGAGGCCCGATGGGTCTGGAAGGCTTACACGGCCCAAAGGGACAATGACGGCAGGCTTCAGAGCTGT